>NC_000010.11:95446125-95749155 GCF_000001405.40 Homo sapiens | reverse complement strand
GATAATGAAAGACTAAAATTGGTAGCATTTGGGTATCACCATCTTGCAATACCTCACAAAGGAATGAACATAAACAATAATCATCAATGACTGTTCACATAACAAAAGGGGGTATAAACATTCATTCTCTGCCTTCTGATGGAAGCACACATCACATCCTCTGAAGCTGTCTTCCCAAAAATGGAAGCTTCTAAACCTAATACCAGTTTGTGGGGAAAAGAGGGCACGGATAAACACGTTAAAAAAATACAACAGGAATGCAATCAGTAAAATCCAGTTTGTAGGAGACTAGACTAAAACAATCAATAAAACAACTCAACTTCTTGAACAAATAAACTGCAGAGAAGAAAAAAGAGAATGAGTTACCTATAAATTAAAAGAGATTTAAAAGATATACCAATAAAATTAATACCAGGACCTTGAAATTCTGATTCAAACCAATGTAAAAGAAACTTAAAGAAAATCAAAGAAATTTGAAAACTGACTAGATATTTTATAATATTATAGAACTGTTAACTTTTAAGGTATGATAGTAGTATTGTGGCTATAATTTTTCCAAAGCCCTTATCTGCTGGAGACACACACAGAAATATGTACAGATGAAATCTGAGATTAGTTTCAAAAAGAGGAGGAATGGGTGAGGTACAGATAAAACAAGATTAGGGATGACATTATAACTGCTGAAGCTGGATGGTATATGGGGATATGTTTTATTATTCTCTCTACTTTCTATGTTTGAAATTTTTTGCAATAAAAGGCAAAAAAGAATCCTGGTGAAAAAGTGGGAGATTATTTGATGATATGCAGTGGTTATATGGGGTATTATTACTGTTATTTAAGAAATGTAACTGAATATTTCCTGAGTCAGTAGACATATGCAAAATGGACTTGGGTAGTTAAAAATAATGCTATAATTTGGCAAGATGATACTCACAAAATAGGCTATTTCACTTTAGGGGCAAATAGAAAAAAGAAATAATTTGGGCCGGGTGCGGTGGCTCACGCCTGTAATCCCAGCACTTTGGGAGGCCGAGGTGGGCGGATCACGAGGTCAGGAGATCAAGGCCACCCGGGCTAACACAGTGAAATTCCGTCTCTACTAAAAATACAAAAAAAATTAGCCGGGCATGGTGGCGCATGCCTGTAATCCCAGCTACTTGGGAGGCTGAGGTGACAGAATGGTGTGAATCCAGGAGGCAGAGCTTGCAGTGAGCCGAGATGGTGCCACTGCACTCCAGCCTGGGCGACAGAGCGAGACTCCACTTCAAAAAAAAAAAAAATCATTTGCCAGAAAAATATAAGTAATTGAACAATAAACTGATCAAAGCCAAAAAAAACTGTTAAACCAGTGTAAGCAAGAAAAGTATATTCACCATGCAATTTGTCTGTTGTGTAATAATCAGGCAGCAATATCAAGGTTTCCTTAGATTTCCCTGTGGAACTTAACATCAGATGTAGAAATCAGGAAGGACCATACACAATGTCCAATATGCAATATGCTATTGTGGTTTGATGGTTTAAGGCACACTCCATAAACCCAACAGTGACCAAGCAGGAACCACATAAATTGGACTAAGTAGTAATGGTAGTTTCTGCATCATTAGGGGCCAGATAGGGGGGACAGAAAGGACAGAGCTAGTCGGATAGGGTGGAAGATGAGCATTCTGTTCTCTATATTGTTTCCAGTTCTCCATTAAAACAGAATTCTATTGATAAAACTCATGAGAGGTGGTACTCTGGTTTTACGTATCCTAAAATAAATGCCCAAAGTAACTATTGTATGAAATGACATGTTTTGCCAATT
This sequence comes from Homo sapiens, assembly GCF_000001405.40. NCBI lineage: Eukaryota > Metazoa > Chordata > Mammalia > Primates > Hominidae > Homo > Homo sapiens. The sequence goes on along the minus strand of NC_000010.11, from coordinate 95,747,351 downwards.
CCAAGAATGCCTGTGTTTATGTATTCAACTTTAGTTATAGATGAATATACGAAGAGGTTCTTCATAACGTATGTCAAAGTGTTCAAAATATTATGACATTTGAACATTTTGATTTGAATCAAAATATTATGATGCTCATGGTCAATTTCAAGGTTAAAAGGAGACTGTAAAATAATGGATTTTTATAATTGAGATGCCATAGATATGGTAAATCGCAATACTTCAAAAATCTTGGGGTAAAATGTTACATGTTATATGGCAATTAACAAATCTAATCTCAGGAATTCAAAATTATTTTCCTACCAGCAATAGATCCATGCCCCATCTTTTTTATGATCCCTACAAACCAAGATAATAAGTCAGTACTATTTGGTGTTGGTGAATGCATATTCAACAAACCAAAGTTGTCAACAAATTTGGAAAACTGTATCAAATTTTCTTGACACTACTTGACATTGTGCTTTGACAGTCTATCAGCACTACATATACGTGTTTTATCAAAAGAGGAATGCTGATTAAATTAATTCAATTGAATTTGTATTTCTCCACTATCAATAACAACCTCTCTTCTCATTCCATCTGCTTACTTACAGATATCCAGAGATGAAAAGGACACTGTGGTGCAGGGTAGGAGGAGCAGAGAAAAAGGGATGGATCTGAAAGTGTTCCAAGAGTATTTAGAATGCACACTCGTTCAAAAAATGCCCCGTCCCTTCTTGTGGAAAGTAGTAGGAGTGGCACTGCCTCTTTAGTCAGAGCCATGGTTCTCAACTTCAGCTGCACACTATAATCACTTGGCCCAATTATAAAAAATACTAATGCCCATCCCAACCCTCAGAGATTGGAATTTAATTGAGTTTGGGGTAGGTTTCAGCCACGTTTTTTTTTAAAGGCCAAGATGATTTTAGAGTGCTGCCAGAGCATTAAGAAGATCTGGATTCAATTCTTTTTGTATGATCTTAGACAAGTTAGCGAGCCCTTCTGAACCCCAATGTATCCATAAAATAAAGGTCTTTTTTTTAATCTACTTCACAAAGCCATGTTGGAGGTAAAAAAGAGAATAAATATGTGAGAACTCCCAACACAGACTCTGGCACATAGGTGGCACTCAGTAAGGGTGAGTTCTCTTCCTCTTCACTATGCACTAATCTATGTTCAGATTAAACAAAACATTGCCTTTTGTACTTGTGTCTCTTGCTTTTTCCCCCTCTGATATCTTCCACTTATTTTTCAGAAGTAACCTAACGGTACTTGAAGGAAATGAGAGTCAAAGTCCTTTCCCTTCTATAGCACAAAGGGCCTCTCCACCCCTTTTCCCAAAGTTAAGTGATTCTATGTATTCAACCAGCAGCTGTGGGACTGAGGCCATGTTGGGAGAGGGAGTGAAGTATGACATGAGATCACCCATGTCTTCCTATTTCCAGGTAGTCAGGGAGGAATGCCCTAACTGAGCTTGGGGAAGCCCTTGAATGTGGCAGAATGGCCAACTCTTCCAAAGTGAAAGTCTACAACCCAACGTGGCAGCAGGAGAAGGTAAGCCTAGAGTACACAGCACAGCAGCTTCAAGCACAGCAGACACTCAATGAGAGTTTGCTGAACTGAAATGAAGATCCTATGCTACGGCAAATATCTAACCCAATGCTAGTACTCAATGAAGTCAGTGCTGTGTAGGCATTACCTTAGTTTTTTTAGCTATAACTACTTCCTCTCTCTTGCCTTGCATGAGTGGATTCTCTTACATAAATGTTCTGTTGAAATATCCCCTTTAACTCCTTTATCCTACTCCCACATCAAGTGCCTCAATTTGTCTAAATGTCTCAAAGGTCTGCAGAGATAATAAGTGACTGTCACTTCATCAAAAATGGTAAGATTGGCCAGGTGCAGTGGCTCAAACCTGTAATCCCAGCACTTTGGGAGGCCAATTCAGGAGGATTGCTTGAGGCCAGGAGACCAGCCTGGACAACATAATGGATCTCGTCTTTAAAAAATGAAAATTAAAAAATTAGCTGGGCATGGTGGCTCATGTCTATATCCCATCTACTTAGGAGGCTGAGGCAAGAGGATCACTTGAGCCCAGGAGTTCAAGGCTGCAGTGAGCTATGATTGTGCCACTGCACTCCAACCTGAGAAAGAGAGCAAGACCTTATTTCTAAAAATAAAAAAACATTTAAAAAAAGTAAGATGTTATTGCTGCTTCAAAACACAAATCCAAATCTGTGAATTGCAAGTATAACTGATAAAAGCTATAATTTCTTTAAGGTCAAAGATACTCATTTTCAAACAAAGTACTCATTATCTATGAAAGACCAATCAACTTATTAGAGCTCCAAAACTTAAAAATATTTTTAAAAATTTAAATTTTTTAAAAAACTGCTTACTTTAAAGAGAGACAATAAATAAATGAGTGATTACCAAAGATTCATCAGGGTAGGGAAAGGTCGAATAAGTAAAGCAGAGGGGATATTTTCAGATTGATAAAATTTTTCAGTATGATACTGTAATGGTGGATACATGACAATATGCATTTGTCAAAATCTACAGAAATTTAAATCACAAAGAATGAACCTTAACCCATACAAAGTTTTCAAAAATTATTCAGGAAGTCAAGGGAGCCCAGAATGAAATTTAAATTCTGACAAAATAATGGAACTGTATTACAAATGTGTGAAAAAACCTCACAGAGGGAGGTAGAGGAAAAGGGTGCTGACCTAGTCACTTTTTTTTTTTTTTTGAGACAGAGTCTTACTCTGCCACAGAGGCTGGAGTTCAGTAGCATGATCTTGGCTCACTGCAACCTCTGCCTCCCTGGTTCAAGCAACTCTTGTGCCTCAGCCTCCCAAGTAGCACACCACCAAGCCTGGCTAATTTTTGTATTTTTAGTTGAGATGGGGTTTCACCATGTTGGTCAGGCTGGTCTTGAACTCCTGGCCTCAAGCAATCCACCTGCCTTGGCCTCCCAAAGTGCTAGGATTACAGGCATGAGTCCCCACTCTCGGCCCCAAGTCACTTTAGATGTGAGTAAAGTCTACAGGACCAAAGGCAAAAGGAACTGTGTAAAAGTACATTACTCTGTCTCCCAAGATTCATAATTCTGAAACCACTATACATGTATACTGGAATCAGAAATTATGTAAATGGATGACAGACAATAGGAGTCAGGCTTCTCACTGTTAGAGTGGAAGGTTATAGACAAGTAAGGGGAAATGGCTAGAATGATCCATGTGGTAATGGATTAACGTTAGAGACATCAGTATGAACTCAGGTTTAGCTTAATAGGGATACATATGAATAAATGTAGAACTATTTATAGTTGTGCATATATATATATATATATATATATATATATATATATATGGTTTAAAATACATCTATATTTTCTTGCTCTGTCAGCAGAGTGGGCCTATAAGCAATGATACTGCAGTAGCAATAAGCACATCTAACCCCCAGATTTTTGTTTCTATAACCGTTCTCCAGTAAAAGGAACCAGAATTCCCCTGATAAATAGGTGACTCTAGGCTGGGGACAGGAAATATTACAAGACAATCCTGGAGTATCTTATGGGGCCAGAAAGTAATTAAGAAAAAAAAAGCTTACAATGATGGGGTGTGTCAAAGTGACACAGGAGCCAATAGAGCTTCCAATAGCCAAAATTAGAATAATTTGAACAATAAAATAGAACCATATTCAAAGATAATCCAAAGTATAAAATAAATATCCACGAGTCTATACTGAAATAGACTATTAGTGTATTTATGAAATAGAATATTTAACAAATGAATTATTAAATAAACAAATGGGAGAGAATAGACAAATCCATACAGAAGAATTTCAAATGAGTTACATAAATACTCCACTCTCTAGGAGGTAAAGCATAACTCCTCACTCCTTAAGTATGGCCTGCATAGTGACTTCTTTCCAAAGAGTGCAGCAGAGAAAAAGAGTAAGAAAGAGTGACTTTACAGTGGAAAAACCTGACAAACACTACCTCAGCAAGGCCATCTAGATTAACATCAACAGTGATAAATCATGTTGATAACACATATCCTTGGTATGATGTGATGAAAATGGCACTCTGTGGTCTTCCTCCAAAAAGTGCATAACTCGAGCCTAATCATGAGAAAGATATCAGACAAATCCCAATTGAAGGACATTATACAAAAATTTCTGACCAGTATTTCTCAAAACTGCTACGGTCATCAAAAATAAAAAGTCTGAGAAATTCTCACAGCCAAGAGGAGCCTAAGGAGTCATGAAGATTAAATGTAATTTGGAATCTTGGAACAGAAAAGAACATTGGGTAAAAACTAAAGAAATCTGAATAAAGTATGGACTTTAGTTGATATTAAGGTATCAATATTGGTTCATTTATTGTATCAAATGTACCACACTAATGTAAGATGTTAATAATCAGGGAACTGGGTAGAGAGTACCTGGTAACTTTCTGTACTATCTTCATAACTTTTCTGTAAATTGAAAACTATTCTATAATTAAAAGCTTATTTTAAAAAATATGTTAACAGTGTATAGATATTTAACTGCAGCTGTTGTACCGGAAACCCCTTGTGAAGCCCATCTTTATTAAAGTAACTGCTTTAATGACGACATGATTTTGCAAAAGCATTTGTTACACATGATTTCTTGTTCAAACAGAATTCATTGTATCCACATCCAGCAAAGCAAAGTTAACTCAGGCTGTGTGCCAAGACACGGAAATGGCCTTGTTACATTGAACTCAATGTGAAAACATAGTAGTATTCAAATCTTTCCATCCACAACACACAATATTCCCATTGGTCTAAAAAAAAAAAAAGAAAAAAGAAAAAGAAGAAGAAGAAGAAAAAGAAAAAGAAAGTTTCTAAGTTGATTTTCTAGTATCTTAAAAAGTTTCCAAATACATGTCACTGGAGAGCAGTCAGCAACTCTAGGGGGAGGACAGGAAGGAGTAGCGACTGCTGGTTGCAGCACTTGAAAAAAAAAATAACAAAAGGAAGGAAAAGGCCTAGGCTTCTCCAGACGGGGTTACCCTTATTTGGGAACATTGCCAGACAACTTAAAGTAGCTCTGAGATGCAGAAAAGCTAGTGTTAAGCAAAATTTACTACACTAACCAACCGTTAAGTGCCCCAGAATTGTATTAATACTTGCCAAGCAATCAAGACTCCAAACAGCATAAATCTCTGTCTTCTACTTCTGGACCTTGCTGGGCCTAAGAGTCAGTGGAAAGTTTTGAAGAACACATGGCCCTTAGACTAATGCCGATGACCTTATCAGCATGGCCCACACACCCAGCTTTTGAGGACAATAATATCCCACAATACCAGAACAGTCTACAGCAGGAAGCTCCTATGTTGCTGTTAACGCCTCCGCCTTTGCAGAGATCAGCCAGGGGTGACAAATCTTTGAGGTAATGCCAAAATCAGGCCTCCTGTTCTCCTTTACATTAGGCCCTTCATCCTCTGGGGGCAGCAAAGTCTGAAGAAATAGGAAAACAGAAAAAGATAATAGTAATAGCAATTTTTATACTTTTGAGATCATTACTTAACCTAAGATGATTGTCTCAGCTCATCCTTCAGGGTCTGGCTCAAACCTTGAATCTTTCAAGTCTTCCAGCTAACCCTCTCTCCTCCAAATTCTAAGAGACTTTCATAAGTGCCAAGCAACCTGGGAACTGCTTAATGCCTCACACTGCTGATTTTTCATATTTTATGTTTCTTACAGGCATACTCCACTTGCTTGTGCTTGGCTTTATTGTGTTTCACAGACGTTGCGATTTTTACAAATTGAAGGTTTGTAGCGACCCTGCATTGAACAAGTCTATCAGTGCCATTATTGCAGTACCATGTGCTCACTTCATGTCTCTGTATCACATCTTGGTAATCCTTGCAATATTTAAAATTTTTCATTATTATTATACTTCTTATGATGATCTGGGATCAGTGATGTTTGATATTAAAATTGTAACTGTTTTGGGGCACCATGAACCATGCCCATATAAGATGATGAACTTAATTGATAACTGCTGTTTGTGGTCTGATTGTTCCACTCACTGTCTGTCCCACTATCTCCTCCTCTCCTTGGGCTTCCCTATTCCTTGAGACACAATATATTGAAATTAGGCCAATTAATAACCTTACAATGGCCTGTAAGTGTTCAAGTAAAAGGAAAAGTCACACATCTCTCACTGGAAATCAAAAGTTAGAAATGATTAAGCTTAGCAAGGAAGGCATGTCGAAAGCTGAGACAGGCTAAAAGCTAAGCTGCTTGCAGAAAACAGCCAAGTTATGAACGCAAAGAAAATTTCTTTAAAAAAAGTAAACACAGTGCTCCAGTGAACACACAAATGATAAGAAAGAGAAACAGCCTTATTACTAATATGGAAAATGTCTGAAAGGTCTGGATAGAAGATCAAACCAGCCACAACATTCCTTTGAGCCAAAACCTAATCCAGAGCAAGACCTTAACTCTCTTCAGTTCTATGAAGGCTGAGAAAGGTAAGAAAGCTGCAGAAGAAAAGTCAGAAGCCAGCAGAGGTTGGTTCATGAGGTTTAAGAAAGTAAGCCACCTCCGTAATGTAAAAGCGCAAGGTGAAGCAGCAAGTGCTGATGGAGAAGCTGCAGTGAGGTATCCAGAAGATCATGCTAAGATCATTGATGAAAGTGGCTACACGAAACAACAGATTTTCAATGTAGATGAAATAGCCTTCTTTTGGAAGAAGATGCCATCTTGGATGCCACATTAGGCCCTTCATCCTCTGGGGGCCAGTAGAGTTTTTCATAGCTAGAGAGGAGAAGTCAATACCTGGCTTCAAATCTTCAAAGGAGAGGATGACTCTCTTGTTAGGGCCTAATGAAGCTGGTGACTTTAAGTTAAAGCCATTGTTAATTGACCATTCTGAAAATCCTAGGGCCTTTAAGAATTACGTTAAATGGGCCGGGTGCAGTGGCTCACGCCTGTAATCCCAGGACTTTGGGAAGCCAAGGCAAGCAGATCACCTGAGGTTAGGAGTTCGAGCCCAGCCTGGCCAACATGGTAAAACCCCATCTCTAAAAATGCAGAAGAATTAGGAGGGCTTGGTGGCACGTGTCTGTAGTCCCAGCTATTCGGGAGGCCGAGGCACGAGAATCACTTGAACCCAAAAGGTGGAGGTAGCACTGAGCCAAGATCATGCCACTGCACTCTAGCCTGGGTGACAGAGACTCCATCTCAAAAACAAAAAGGATTATGTTAAAGCTACTCTGCCTGTGCTCTGTAACTGGAATAAAAAAGCCTGGATGACTGTAAATCTGTTTACAGCATGGTTTACTGAATATTTTAAGCTAACTGTTGATGGCTGCTGCTCAGAAAAAATATTCCTTTCAAAATATTACTGTTCATTGACAATGCACTTGATCACCCAGGAGCTCTGATGGAAATGTACAAGAAGATGAATGTTATTTTTATGCATGCTAACACAACATTTATTCTGCAGCCCATGGATCAAGAAGTAATTTCAAGTCTTATTACTTAAGAAATACATTTCATAAGTCTGTAGCCATCATAGATAGTTCCTCTGTTGGATGTGGGCAAAGTAAATCAAAAATTTTCTGGAAAGGATTCACCATTCTAGATACCATTAAGAACATTCGTGATTCATGGGAAGAGGTGAAAATATCAACATTAACAGGAATTTGGAAGAAGTCAATTCCAGCCCTTATAGATGACTTGGAGGGGTTCAAGACTTCAGTGAAGGAAGTAACTGCAGATGTGGTGGAAATAGCAAGAAAACTAGAATTAGAAGTGGAGTCTAAATATGTGACTGAGTTGCTACATCTCATGATACAAATGGAGCAGATGAGGACTTGCTTCTTATGGATAAGCAAAGAAACTGGTTTCTTGAGATGGAATCTATTCCTGGGGAAGATGCAGTGAACATCGTTGAAATGACAGCAAAGGATTTAAAATGTTACATAAACTTACTTGATAAAGCAGCAGCAGGGCTTGAGAGGACTGACACCAATTTTGAAAGTCCTACTGTGGGTAAAATGCTATCAAACAGCATCACATGCTACAGAGAAATTGTCATAAAAGGAAGAGTCAATTGATGTGGCAAACTTCACTGTTGTCTTCTTTTAAGAAATTGCCACAGCCACCCCAACCTTCGGCAACCACCACGCTGATCAGTCAGCAGCTATTAACATAGAGGTAAAATCCTCCAACAGCAAAAAGATTACAACTCACAGAAGGTTTAGATGATCATTAGCATTTTTAACAATAAAGTATTTTTAATCAAGGTATATACATTGTACTTTTGCAAATAATGCTATTGCACACTTTATAGACTATAATATAATGTATAATATAATGTAAACATAATTTTTATATGCCCTGGGAAACCAAAAAATTTGTGTAACTTGCTTTATTGTGGTGGTCTGGAACTGAACTTGCAATATCTCTGAAGTATACCTGTGTATACAATCCAAAGTGTGACTTCAAATTCTCGAGTCTGAGTGCAAATTCTTTTTCTCTCCTCCTCATCTAAATCCTTCAACATCCCACAGCACCTAAACCAGAGTGTGCCTATGTGCTTAATAAATAGGTAATCTTCTTTGGCTGTTGTGATCTCCCTCTAATTGTCATTTTAAAAAGTGTAAATTAGATCTCTTTTCTCATCTTACCCTTCTGGCAAGCTACTCAAAATAGTCAGATCATCATGAGTATGCATAGCCTATTTATGGTGAGTCTTGGTTTGAGGTGAGAAGGAATAGGTCTTCTCCATCTCACCAACAGGGTATGCATTTCTCTGACGAATTTTGCCTTTCTTGACCCTGACCACACACAACTCCTTGGCTCCCTGCTGACTGCCCACTATATCCAGCTTTGGTGCAGGAAAATGATGGGACCTAAGCCTTTGGACAGTGACTCCTGATCTGGCCAAGCAAGGGGCCTCCCTCACTTCAGTTTTGGCCCTAGGTTTGCCTACTGCCATACTTCATTAATATCTGACAATTACCCCATCCTGGTAAAAGCTGGTTCATATTCTTATCTGAGCCCTTACCATCTAGAAATCAAGGCAGGCACAGGACATTACCAATCTAATCACCAGACAACCATGCACACACAGAGATTCCAGGGGCTAATGCAAAACAGTGTTTTCTCCCTATGAGGCTACTGAGCAGTCCATGTGAGCTCAGTATCCATATCCCTGCTGAGCATCATTCACGCAATCATTTATTCAATAAATATTTACTGGACACCTACCATATGCCAGGGACTTTTCCAGAACATTGGGATCCTCTCCTGGTCTCCTTCATCTTCCCTCCCTTCCTTTCTCCCTACCCAGAAGTCCCAGCCCTCAACTGATTTGTTCCACCAGGTTTTCCTCTTACAGAGTGGTGGTGCTGGTGGTGGGATTCAGATGCTCCAGGTACCCCAGCATGATACGTTTACAAGTCAAACATTTTTCCAGCTAATTTGGCCACCTATCATAGTTATAGATTTTCTGTTGTTCCATCATAAGGGTTTGAGAGGAATTCTGCAACAAAGGTGGCTGTTCCACAGTCATTGCAATTTAGAGCAAAACTCAATTCCAAGTCTATTCAATTCAAATAAATACAAAACAAAATTCTTTAGAATGAATTTTAGGGCTGTGTAAATAATTTAAACATTGGGGAAAAGTTTTAATTTTTAGGCCGGTTGCAGCAGCTCAAGCGTGTAATGGCAGCACTTTGGGAGGCCGAAGCAGGTGGATCACCTGAGGTCAGGAGTTTGAGACCATCCTGGACAACATGGTGAAACCCCGTCTCTACTAAAAATACAAAAAAATTAGCCAGGAGTGGTGGCAGCCACCTGTAATCCCAGCTACTCAGGAGGCTGAGGCAGAATAATTGCTCAAACCCAGGAAGCAGAGTTTGCAGTGAGCTGAGATCACACCACTGTACTCCAGCTTGGGGGACAGAGCAAGATTCCATCTCAAAAAAAAAAAAAGTTTTAATTTTTTTTTCTACTGTCAATTCTCCAGAGAGGTTTTTCCATTTCTAAATTAGGCCCCCAATTAACTCTCACAGAGCACCTTCTATTCATTCTTCATAGCACTTATTCAATTTGCAAAGATTTACATATGACATCATTGCTTAATATCTTACTCCCCCACTAGACGAGCTCCACAAGGGCAGGAACCATTTCTGTTTTGTCCTGCACTGAATAGTAGACTGTACACAGAGCCTGCACATAGTAGGAAAACAGTAAATACTTGTTGAGAGGACAAAGATTCATTTGCCTAACCCCCCATAAATCCTTCTTCATACTTCTAGCTCCACTACTTTATCTCAATATTGTAGAAAGTGGCTTAGTTCAACTTCAGTAGACTCAAGTGGAGGCTCTCTTTCATGCACACACACAGACAAAATTACTTTTGGTAAATATATAGAATATATGTAGACAGTTTTATATTATAGCATTGTTTTTAGTGTCAGAAAGCAGAACAAAGCTGAGAAACTACTGGGAGTAATTGACTAAATTATACTGATGAGGGGGTCAAGAGCTGAAGTTTATATTTTTGCACCTATCAGTCATTAGTTAAGGGTTGGGGGGTGGAAGCATAAATTCAAAGGCACTTATGGCCCCCGATGTGCATAAATGAAGCACATTCCAGTAACCTGAGGGTCATTTGCTCATAAAGTGATGCAGGGCTGGGCTGTTGGGAGGATAACTACACCAGGAGTTGGAGTGCACAGAAATAGTGAAGAGATCTGAAGGGGTGTGCGTGCAACCATCATTGCTACATTTTAACAAAAACCTATATATGCACATCATGCAAGAGCATGAAAAAAGATGAACAAGAATCCTCTGAGGGAGGAACAGAAGAGAAAATGGCTGGAGGGGTGGGAAAGGAGTTTATTAACTTTTTCTTTATGTATTTTCATATTATTTCTATTAAATATTAAACATTTTAATAAACATTTTAGGGGAAAAGGTTAGCTAGAAACTTTTAATAGATGTACCATTCCCAAGCAAAACTCCTCCTCAGCACACGAATTGGTCACACACATTGCTCAAAACTTTGAAAATTTTCTAGCTGGGCACGACAGCTCACATCTGTAATCCCAGCACTTTGGGAGGCCGAGGCAGGTGGATCACTTGAGGCCAGGAGTTTTCAGAGCAGCCTGGGCAACATGGGGAAACCCCATCTCTACTAAAAATACAAAAATTAGCCTAGCATGGTGGCATGAGCCTGTAATCCCAGCTACTCTGGAGGCTGAGGCAGGAGAATTCCTTGAACCAGGGAGGCGGATGTTGCAGTGAGCTGAGGTCATGCCACTGCACTCCCATCTGGGCAACAGAGTGAGACTCTGTCTCAAAAAAAAAAAAAAAAACTTTGAAAATGTTCTAAAATAGACCAAAGTACGTAACAACTCCTATTGTTTTCAAATTCATTGTTCAGCTAAAACAGGCAATCTTCCATATTAAAAACTAAAGTCAGCCGGGGGCAGTGGCTCATGCCTGTAATCCCAACCCTTTGGGAGGCCAAGGTGGGTGGATCACCTGAGGTCAGGAGTTAGAGACCAGCCTGGACAACACGGTGAAACACTGTCTCTACTAAAGATAAAAAAAATTAGCCGAGCATGGTGGTGCGCACCTGTAATCCCAGCTACTCGGGAGGCTGAGGCAGGAGAATCACTTGAACCCGGGAGGTGGAGGTTGCAGTGAGCCGAGATCGCACCATTGCACTCCAGCCTGGGCAACAGGGCGAGACTCCATCTCATATAAACAAACAAACAAACAAATAAATAAATAAATAATTGTATTAAATATTTAAAAGGTTTTAAAAGCCAATTGGAGGTCTAGAATTTAATTAAAATTTACCTGCATCAACTACTGTTACAAATAACTTATCTGCTTTGGCAATCAGATTAAATGATATCTTCTATGAAATACTACGCATACTTGTGCACAATGACAAACACAGTATAACTTGAGATTCTCTGGAAACAAATAGATTTCTTTTGACTTTGACTGAAAGACACATCTTGATTTCCAAACACTAAAAATCTATTTTTGCCAGGCATGATGGCTCACGTCTATAATCCCAGTTGAGGCGGGAGAATCACCTGAGGTCAGGAGTTCAATAACAGCCTGGCCAACATGGTGAAACCCCGTCTCTACTAAAAATACAAAATTGGCCAGGTGTGGTGGCACACACCTGTAGTCCTAGTTACTCAGGAGGCTGAGGCAAGAGAATCACTTGAACCATGGAGGTGGAGGCTGCAGTGAGCCAAGATTGTGCCACTGCACTCCAGCCTGGGCAAGACAGAGCAAGACTCTGTCTAAAAAAAAAAAAAAAAAAAAAAATCTATTTTCATCAAGTGCTTTGGAATCCAGGAAATACAGATTCAATGTAGAAAATGCCTGTAACCCTACCCACCCAACTGTAATTTCTTCCATGAAAAACAGAAATTGCACAGAGGTCTCTGCTCTGAAGCCTGCACAATGACAAAGGAGTCTGTGAGATGGAGAACTAAAAGAGCGAAGGGATCTTCACCCTGTGTGCCATGATGCCTTGACACTGACACCAAACAATGTTGTGTCTGTCTCTATAATCCGGAGGATGGGCAATATGGATTTTGTGACATAAAAATCAGTGTGACATATGACTACCATAAAAGAAGGAATTAACAGACTAAGTATTTTCTTCATACTTGACTAATAAACATTTACTACATGTACAGTTACTTGTTACTGTACTTTATGTTATGAAATCGGAGCAAGCAAGAAAAGAATCCAAGAGAAAATCATTCCTTCCCCCTTCTCCGTTTAATTGTTCTTTCCTCTGCCCAGCTGGAAGAAGCTCTGTGGAGAAGAGCCTGCAAGGTTTCCAAATTGCAAATAACATATCATGATTTATTATAGATACATTCCATTGCTTAGCCTCCCCTAGAGCCCTTGCCATATTCTGCCCTTTTTGTCTCTGTTTTTTATGCATGGAGCAAGTTCCATCTTAATCCACCACATATAGGTGTCCAAAAAATTCTGCTCTTTATTTTCTTTATATCAACTTAAATTCATCTCAAGTCTCTGGCTCTCTGAGCTGGCAAGAAACTCAATCTGTCATTACTGGAGTCCTCTTACCTCCTTGGCTTACACCAGAATCTGGGGAAAGTGCATCTATAGAAACTGGGAGAAGGGTTTCTAATCTCACACCTAGCTTGATCCCATCTGATATTCTCACTGCCCAACCTTTCTTTCCCCATGCTAAGTAGGAAAGGGGGAGTGTGGTGAGGGGGCTTTGCCTCAGCTGGACGCCCTGGTGCTTGGAGTGGAGCATCTCTGAGACACCATGCAGCTGTCCTTTCTGACGTATTACCCAGCAGGACATGACCACAGAACAGGCAAGAGTCCCCATTACCCATAGACCCATGAACCTTCATCCCTTCCCAGTGACCCAAAACTTTCACTCTTTCTTGGTCTTCAAAGGTACCCCTTTATTCTTCCCTATTACCTTATTGCTTTAGGGAAGCTTGCATAATTTTGACAATGAGCCAGGGTAGGACTGGGAACCCACAATAATTAACATCTTAACAAAGAATTCTGCCACTCACACTTATGTTATCATTTCTTCCCACACAGAATTTCTCTTCGCTCCTCACCCCATCCTCCATTACTACCAAACCTGGAGTTCCAGAGAGAATGTTGCAGGAAGTCAGGGACCCGGAAAAGAGGGACTGACTGAAGCCATGGCAGGAGAACATAAATTGTGAAGATTTCATGGACATTTATTAGTTCCCCAAATTAAAACTTTTATAATTTCTTATGCCTGTCTTTACTGCAATCTGTGAACATAAATTGTGAAGATTTCATGGACATTTATCACTTCCCTAATCAATACTCTTGTGATTTCCTATACCTGTCTTTAATCTCTTAATCCCATCATCTTCATAAGCTGAGGATGTATGTCCACTCAGGATCCTGTCATGATTGCGTTAACTGCACAAATTGTTTGTAACCATGTGTGTTTAAACAATATGAAATCTGGGCACCTTGAAAAAAGAACAGGATAACAGTGATGTTCATGGAACAAGGGCGATAACCATTAGGTCTGGCTGCCTGAGAGCCAGGTGGAACAGAGCCATATTTCTCTTCTTTCAAAAGTAAATAGGAGAAATATTGCTGAATTCCTTTTCTCAGCAAGGAACAGCCCTGAGAAAGAGAATGCATTCCCAGGGGTAGGTCTCTAAACTGGCCGCTCTGGGAATGTCTGTCTTTTATGGTTGAAGATAAGGGATGAAATAAGCCCTGGTCTCCAGTAGCACTCCCAGGCCTATTACGGTGAGTAAATTCTCACCTAGTAAATTTTTAGTCAGACTGGTTGTCTGCTCTCAAACCCTGTCTCCTGATAAGATGTTATCAATGACAATGCGTGCCTGAAACTTCATTAGCAATTTTAATTTCGCCCCCGTCCTGTGATCTCACCCTGCCTCCATTTGCCTTGTAATATTTTATTACCTTGTGAAGCATGTGATCTCTGTGACCCATACCCTATTCATACACTCCCTCCCCTTTTGAAAATCACTAATAAAAACTTGCTGGTTTTGCGGCTTGGGGGGCATCATGGAACCTGCCGACATGTGTGTGTCTCCCGTGGATACCCAGCTTTAAAATTTCTCTCTTTTGTACTCTTTCCCTTTATTTCTCCGACTGACCAACACTTAGGGAAATAGAAAAGAACCTACGTGAAATAACGTTGAATTATTGGGGGCGGGTTCCCCTGATAAGGGAAGAGTCTGTTTATTACTTATTTTATCTTTCCTAAAATACCTAACATGGGGATTCACGACCACTGCATTTGAGAGAGCAAATCCCTCCCAGCAGCCCCTACAAATTTTCATTGATATGTAAAAAGAAAATTTTTATTTTTGCTACAACTGAGTGTAAATATTGTCACAGTAATGCCTGAGATGAGAAACAAAGTAGGTTAGATGGCTGGGTGTGGAATAGCTTTGTTGTAACTAAGACGTACATGGTTAGTGTGTCATCAGGTTGGCACTACAGAAAAATTGCAAGAACTTTGCCTCCATGAAGAATACAGCTAGGGCAGAACAAGCTCTTCTCTAACAGCCACCATCCTGACAGCCACCAATAACCCCAACCTTGTACTGGCATTATGGTGGCAATAGCACTGTAATCATTGCTGGCCTAATTAGTATTGTTGTCAATCATTTAATTATCTCATGTGTCTCAAAAAAGTATAGTATTCGAAGCATGCCTCTGTTGCAGTTACTAAAGGATGTCCACTCTGGCCGGACACAGTGGCTCACACCTGTAATCCCAGCACTTTGGGAGGCCAAGGCAGTTGGATCACCTGAGGTCAGGAGTTCAAGGTCAACCTGACCAACATGGTGAAACCCCGTCTCTACTAAAAATACAAAAATTAGCCGGGCGTGGTAGCAGGTGCCTGTAATCGCAGGTACTCGGGAAGCTGAGACTTCAGAATAGCTTGAACCCAGGAGGCGGAGGTTGCAGTGAGCCGAGATCACACCACTGTATTCCAGCCTGGGCGACAGAGCAAGACTCTGTCAAAAAAAAAAAAAAAAAAAAAGGATGTCCACTCCTCTAATTCTTACCTTCTTCCTAACTAAAAGAATATCCAATGTTAGACACACTCAGCATTTGGGGCTCTGTCTTGATAGGGACCCCCTGGGAAACAGGTGTAGAATACAGCTCATAGCTGTTCCAACTCAGGGGAACAGAAAGAGAGAAATTTATCCACCAGTTCCTACACATCATTCATTAAGGGGTGTTCCCTGGAGAAAGCAACTATCCAGAACCTCTGGCCGGTCCTGTGCATGGGCTAAGCGTGTTTCTATGGCCAGAAAAAGCCATCAGGCAGAGAGTGGCAGGTATTTTCAAAAGAAGAAGCCACCACCATTCATAAGGAATGGTGAGGGCTGAGGGTACATGGGTAGGGGGCCCAGAGGGTCGGCTACATCTTCAGTTAAAGAGTACAGCCACTACTCATCCATGGCCCAGCAGGGAAGGAGCTGAGGAATAAATACCAGATCTTGCTCTGCTCCCAGCCTCCAATCTCCTGCTGAACCTAACCAGAAGCCCCCTGATGCAGTTCACTCTGGCCGGTCTCTCAGGACCCAGAGCAGGGTGGAGGAGAATGGAGAATGAATACAGAATATCCAGCACACTAGCCTTCAGGCATTCTCAAGTCTCAAGATTTAAAATCTCAGACAGCACTGTTTGGCTATAAAAATATTATGACATGTTTATATATTAGCTAAAACTAGTGAAACTGGAAAAGATCTTGGAAAAGTTACCTGAGAGACCAAACAGTTGAAGAAAAATCCTAAATAAGAGGAGACTTGAATTCTAGTTCTGGTGCTGATAATTATTAATGACGCTACTTTAGGCAAGTCCTTAGCAGCATGGGCTGTTTCCTCACCTTCACAGTAGAGTAAGATCTATTGACCTAATGAAGCTATTATGAAAATCAAAAGAATGGGAAAATGCTCTGTAATCACAAAGGTTATACAAGTGTGAGGTATTAGTATACCTTCACTTTTCCAGACAGATAGGAAGCAATTCCATTGTTAAACACAACACTGTTAAAAAGAAATGCCACTATTTTTGTTTCATTGTGTTTTTCAATTAGGAAGACATTTACATAAATATTTACCACCACATATCTTTTTTAAAATAAGAATGGCTATAAATAAATAACACATATTTACTTACAATTATTTTCTTACCACTAATCTCTCACCAAAAATCTGCATTCTAATTATATATCAGTTTCTAATAAAGTCATAGTTTTTTCCCCATTATTTCCTTTTATTTTTCACTGTACTTTACTTTTTCAGCCACTTCCTCTTTTGTCCTTATATGCTTTAACATTTCTGATGACCCAGTAATTATGCCCAAGATTATGATTGATTCTTTGTCCTTTCTCTTTTCACTTCCCTTTTAATGTAGAAATATAAGCCAAATGGTGGTGGCACCACTTGATTATAGTGGGAAATACTGGCACAGTGGCTCACACCTGTAATCCCAGCATTTCAGGGGGCTGAGACAGGAAGCTCACTTGAGCTCAGGAGTTTGAGAACAGCCTGGGCAACATGGCGGGACCTTGTCTGTAACAAAAAAAAAAAAACAAAAGAACACAGAAATTAATGAGGTGTGGTGGCATGCATACCTGCAGTCCCAGCTACTCAGGAGGCTGAGGTGGGAAGATCACTTGAGCCTGGGAGATTGAGGCTGTAATGAGCTGTAATCGTGTCACTGCACTCCAGTCTGGGTAACAGAGTGAGAACCTGTCTCAAAAAGAAAGAAAGAAATACTGGGAAGAATAGCTTCTGTGTGCAATAATCAAATCCAGTGAATTAGGAAAAACATTATTAATGTTCCTAAGTGGAGATTTCAGTGTTTCTGACTTGCTACAAATCAGGAATCGGGATATCACTAAGTTAGAGAAATTCATGAAACAAAAGGCAATTATTTCCTCTAAGGCTATCTCGCTGTTATTGTCTTAAGATCCTCCCAATGTAAAGTCACTCTTTTGGCTGGAATAAAGTTTTTGAAAAGGAACATTAGGGGAAGGGAGATTGTTTTTAAATGTACCACTACTAGGAAAATAAGCATTTGTCAATTCTTACCTACCCAAGACAACATAGAGTGAGGTAGAGACTTAAGGAAACAAAATTAGAAATTTCATAAAAGGGAACATAAAGTTGCCATTCTTTTTGCTGACTCTATTGTTTCAAGTCTTTGCAGTGGGTGGGAGTAGGAAATTTTTCTGGGAAGGAAAAGGTTTTGCCCGCTTCCTTAAAGCAAGTCTACTCTATTTTAATTAGCTTTCTAGCTGTTATCTCTTTACTTCACATAAGGAACACTGCCAACACTCCATTTTGACACCATCCTGAGGAAACAGATAGTGCCCTCCTGAACTTTGGTAAGAAGCATAACACATACAGCAGCTTAAGACTGACTACTCCAGGAAACAGTTTTTGAGTAGAACCTCCTTCCCAATAAAGTTAAAGGAAATTACTTTCTAAAAATCTCTATGAAGTGATAAGCCACTTTCCATATAGGTACTTTTCATGCTTCATACTGTGTTTCTCTGAATATAATTGGTAGGAACTCCATTTAAAATGTTAGGATATTTGATGTATTTAAGGACAGAAAGAGAAAGGCTGGAGAGAATTCAAGTACCTTTGAACAACTCAAGTTTGAACTTTGAGAGTCCACTTACATGTGGATTTCAAAAAATATATATATATTTTAAAATTTTTAGAAATTTGCAACAATTTGAAAAAACATGCAGATGAACCATGCAGCCTAGAAATATTGAAAATACTAAGAAAAAGTTAGGTATGTCATGAATGCATAAAATATATGTAGATATTAGTCTATTTTATTGTTTACTAACATAAAATATATGTAACTCTATTATAAAAAGTTAAAATTTATCAAAACTTACACAAACACAGACTATACATAGTGCCATTTGCAGTTGAGAGAAATGGAAATAAACATAAAGATGCAGTATTAAATCATAACTTCATAAAATTCACCGTAGAACATACTGTACTATTGTAATGATTTCATAGCTACCTTCTGTTGCCATTGTGGGGAGCTCAAGTGTTGCAAGAATCTGCTTAAAACACTGTGTGACGAACATCATCTCTGTGTGAGCAGTTCATCTTTCCAGTAAATTGTGTGTCACAGTAAAAACTGATCTCTCATGGCTCTCACATATTTTTCATTGTGTTTAGTGCAATACTAGAAACCTCGAATAACACCGTGGGATCCATAAAAAGTGCCACTAGTGATGCTGGAAGTGCTCCCAACAAGCAGAGAAAAGTCATGCCATTACAAGAAAAAGATGAATTGCTTGATATGTACCATAAATTGAGGTTTGCGGCTGCAGCTGCCCACCATTTCAGATGGACAATTCACCTTTTAAACAGACAACATAAACTTACAGTATCCATAAATACAGTATAGTACTGTAAATATATTTTCTCTTCCCTACAATTTTCTTAATAATCTTTTCTTTACTTAGCTTACTTTATTATAAAAATACAAAATATAATACATATGACATACAAAATATGTATTAATCAACTGTTTATGTTATCAGTAAGGCTTCTGGCCAATAGTAGGCTATTAATAGATAAGTTTTGGGGAAGGCAACAGTTACATGCTAATTTTTTATGAGGCTCAGCGCCTATAGCCCCCACATTGTTCAAGGGTGAACTGAAATATGAAACAAATTCAATAGTTAGATAGCCTAAATAAGCTATTATTTTCATATTCCCAAACTTGCTAAAGATTGCTCCAGTTTGTAATAACTAAAACTACAATGAAGTTGTCTTAGGATTTAAAAAATATTTTGGATGGGAAGGATAATAACTTAATAATAAACTTAGATAATTTAACTTATACAAAATATTTATGTGAATACTGTGATGTTTGTACAACTGTCACTCCACATATAAAAATTCTAGATTTGTTTAGATTTTGGCATCAGACTGCTAGGAGTAACCATTTAGGTAGATGATATTATTGCAGCATTATTTTTAACATGCTGCTAAGAGAACTTCTATTAAACAACCTCTATCACTTGCCTGCTGACATCTTAAATTTTTTTAAACATGGCTAAATTCATTTACTCCACAATTAGTTGTAAATAACCATGAGAAAAGTAATGCAAGCATATATCATTTCTAGGTTAAAATAATAAGAAAATACATGTGCTTAAAGGAGTTAAAACATTGATCTCACAAGCAAATGGTGGGATTGGAGGTAGAGAGATTGCATTCTTCCCACGGCACATCTTGAGTCCTTATAACTGATTGACACGTGAGGGAATTCTTTCCACAAAGAAATGGGTAATAAATGAAACAAATCTTTATGATCGAAAAATATGAATCACATATAAGTTATCAAAGGGATTTCCTAGACAACTTCCAAACAGGAGGTAGAGACCTTGAGGTCATCTGTAGACTGAATTTTGACCACCATTCTCAGATACAGAGAAAAAATTTCTAGAGAATAAATATGAATGGAAGCCTTATGTTTTGGAGGTGGTCTAGTCTTGTTAATAATACAAGAGTTGGTCTTGATTAAATGAGTCTCTCCTTTCCTTCTCCTCAAATAAATGGGAAAATTCAGTGTACCAAAACTATGACTCAAATCGAGAGGTCACACTGTGAATCTCCAAATGTTAGAGCTCCATGTTTTGTCCAAACAAATCTCATAACCTGACTAAACTGCTTGGACTACACGGGACAAATTGGCATTTCATCAACTTCTGAACCTGAGCTGGGGCATAATTTACTGTGGAAACACTGACGAAGGAGCTTCATGTTCTTGGGAGTTCTCTGGATTTTAAATTCTAAACTGAAGATGGCAGTGAGCCAGTGACCCTAACCTGAGTTTGAAGGTGGTGCCACTTCTCTGGGAGCACAAAGTTCAAAAGGATGAATTTGGGAAAAAGCATCACTTCTGGTGGGCACTTCTGTCACTCAGGACCCAGTGTGCAGAGATGATACTGGGAACTCAAACACCTAAAAATTCAAGAAACTGAGTGAACCCTCTCAGAGATAAACCCCCCAAAATGCACCAAAACACATCAATCATCAAACTTTTGAAAATTAAAGACAAATAAAATATCTTGAAAGTAAAGAGAGAGAAACAACACTTTACTTTTAGAAGGAAACTAATTTGACTTACAGTAGCTTTCTCATCAGAAACCACAGAGGCCAGAGAAAATGGCACAGTATTTTTCAACTACTAAAATAAAAGAATTGTCAACACAGAATCCTATATCTAGCACAAATATTCTTGAGGAATGAAAGGAAAATTAAGACAGTCTCAGATGAAGGAAAATGAACAGAATCTATCACCAGCATATATACCCTAAAAGAATAGTTACAGAAGTTTTCTATGCAGAAAAGAAATGTTAAATAAGAATTTTTGGAAGACAAGAAGAAAGGAAGAACACAACAAAAATATGAATAATTATAAAAAGCTTTCCTTCTCTTTAGTTTTTAAAATTATATTTGATGAAAGAAGCAAAAGTTATAACACTTTCACTATGGTTCTAGTATATGTAGATGATATATTTATGAACATTATAAATAGAAGAGGGTAAAGTGATCTAAAAGGAGGTAAGGTTTCTATTATCAAGCACAGCCATTTCAGTGCACCAGAAATTGAGCAAAGGCAGACAACAAGTTGAAAAGCATTTATTCATGAAAAGTCTCCAAAACTTTGGGTAACAACAATGGGAAACTATGACCTGCTTGCCAGGGATGACTCCCCTTTAGTCTCTACCCATAACATGGACACAGCTTGGCAAGATAGTAGTTCAGCCATGAAAACCAGCAGCTTTCCTCCAGAGAGGGCAGGCTCAACCCAAGGTGGGAAGAGAAAACCACTTTTGCCAGCTAGATGTGAACAGGGAAAACCCCACGGTTTTGTAGTTCCAGTTGGGATGTGAAGTGTACCAACCAAAAATTTAATGGAATTATCTGAGAAGATATAAGCATTCCACATATCTCTCTCTGACCTGTGTATAGTGGAAATCCAAGACAGGCTAGCAAAAAGTGAAAGCCAGAGATTTGAGAACTGGCTATAACTTTGAAAGCATTCCCTAACTCACAAACAGATTGAGCAGGAGTGGGTGGAATCCCTGTGGACTCAGTTTTTTTAACACAACCTCTCCTAAAGTGTAGGCTGTCCACTAAACTAAAGTAGACATGAGGGCAACTTGCAGAAAGCCAGGCTAAAAATTAAGAATAAAAAGCTGAGCAGAGGTATCAGTAGCTACACACCACAGAGAAGAGAATCTGCAGTTTAATCCCAGACAAATTGCTAGAAAACAACAATCCTCAGAAAAATAAAACAGAATCCCGAGTTGCTATATTAGTTCATATGTCCAGTATTTAATTAAAAATCACTAGATATGCAAAGAACTATAAGAGTATAACCCATACTCACCGAGGGGGAATAAAGAAGTCAGTATAAACTGACTTTGAATGGGGCCAGATATATAGGATTTAGCAGAGATTTCAAGAAGTTATTATGATGTTAAAAAATCAAAGAAAAATATGATAATGATTCAGCAATAGGAAATATCAATAAGAAACAAAAGCCATAGCAAAGAATCAAATAAAAATTCTAGAGAAGAAAAGCAAAATAAGTGATATGAAAAATTCACTAGATGGGCCCAAAAGTATAATAGATTGAAAGTATCAGAATAAGGAATCAGTTAATTTAACAATATATCAATAGAAAGGATCTGATTCAAGTAACAGAGGGAAATAGATTGATGAAAAATAAAAAGAGCCTCAGAGATCTATGGGACCATTTCAAGTGTCCCAACACACATGTAAGAGGTGTCCCAGACAAAGAGGAGAGAGAAAAAATGAGCAGAAAATGTACTGGAAGAAATAAAGGCCCAAAACTTCTCAAATTTTACTTTTAAAAATTAACCTGGGCAACCCCCTTTGGGTCCCCTCCCATTTTATGGGAGCTCTGTTTTCACTCTATTAAATCTTGCAACTGCACACTCTTCTGGTCCATGTTTGTTATGGCTTGAGCTGAGCTTTCGCTTGCCATCCACCACTGCTGTTTGCCACCGTCGCAGACCCATCACTGACTTCCACCCCTCTGGATCCAGCAGGGTGTCTGCTGCACTCCTGATCCAGCGAGGTGCCCATTGCCACTCCCAATCAGGCTAAAGGCTCGCCATTGTTCCTGCATGGCTAAGTGCCCAGGTTCGTCCTAGTTGAGCTGAACACTAGTCGCTGGGTTCCATGGTTCTCTTCCATGACCCACGGCTTCTAATAGAGCTATAACACTCACCACATGGTCCCAGATTCCATTCCTTGGAATCCGTGAGGCCAAGAACCCCAGGTCAGAGAACAAGAGGCTTGCCGCCATCTTGGAAATGGCCCACGATCTTGGGAGCTCTAAGAACAAGGACCACCCCGCCCCGGTAACATTTTGGTGACCACGAAGGGACATCCAAAGTGGTAATATTGGACCACTTTCACTTGCTATTCTGTCCTATCCTTCCTTAGAATTGGAGGAAAATACCAGGCACCTGTTGGCCAGTTAAAAACGATTAGTGTGGCCGCTGGACTTAAGACTCAGGTGTGAGGCTATCTGGGAAAGGGCTTTTTTTTTTTTTTTTTTTTTTTTTGAGACAGAGTCTTGCTCTGTCACCCAGGCTGGAGTGCAGTGGTGCAATCTTGGCTCACTGCAAGCTCCACCTCCTGGGTTCACACCATTCTCCTGCCTCAGCTTCCCCAGCAGCTGGGACTACAGGTGTCCACCACAACACCCAGCTAATTTTTTTGTATTTTTAATAGAGACAGGGTTTCACCGTGTTAGCCAAGATGGTCTCGACCTCCTGACTTCGTGATCTGCCCACCTCAGCCTCCCAAAGTGCTGGGATTACAGGCGTGAGCCACCGTGCCTGTGCTGGGAAAGGGCTTTCTAACAACCCCCAATCCTTGTGGGTTGGGAATGTTGGTCTGCCTAGAATCAGCTTCCGCTTTCAATTTTCCTGGGGAAGCCGAGGGCCAACTAGAGGCAGAAAGCTGTTGTCCCGAACTCCCAGCATTAGCTGGTTCAGATCATGGCACAGCCAGAAGTCTCTACTCAACAGTTGCCCATGTGTGTGCCCCTACCTTTCCTTCTGACCCATACCTCCTGGGTCCCAACCACGACTTTCTTGAAAGTGTAGCCCCAAAATTCTCCTTACCTCTGAATCTACTTCCTCCCATCCCTGCCTCCTAGGTACTAATGGTTCAGAGTTTCATTTCCTCTAGCAAGTTGTATCTCCAAAGGGATCTAAGGGAGCTCTACACTGCATCCTTAGGCCCCTAGGCTATGAACCCAGAGAGTCTTGTCCCTGGTATCCCTCCCAATTTAGGTATACAGCTCTAGACATGGGCAGTTATGTGAGACCCATTCCCCACCACCCTTGCCAGGGCCCCAAGTTTGTAAAGGGCTAGGAGAAAAGAGAGAGAAAGAGAGAGACAGAGGGGAGAGAAAGAAAGAGAGACAAAGAGGGAGTCAAAGAGAGAAAGAAAGAGAAAGATAGAAGTAGTAAAGAAAAAACAATGTGCCCTATTCCTTTAAAAGCCAGGGTAAATTTAAAACCTATAATTGATCATGGAAGGTCTTCTCCATGACCCTATAACACTCCAATACTACCTTGTTGTCAGTGTAAACAAGGGCGTAACAGCCTGAAAACACTGAGACCACTGACAACCCGCAGCCTTCCTATCAAAAATCCTTAACCCAGTAACCCGCAGATGGCCCAAATGCATTCAATCTGTAGCAGCAACTGCTTTGCTAACAGAAGAAAGTAGAAAAATAACTTTTAGAGGAAACCTCATTGTGAGCACACCTCATCAGTTCAGAATTATCCTAAGTCAAAAAAGCAAAATGGTAGCTTACTAACTCAAATCTTACTCGTATGGGGCTATTCTGTTAGAAAAGGGTGATTTAACCTTAACCACTGAAAATTCCCTTAACCCAGCAGATTTCCTAACAGGGGATTTAAATCTTAATTACCATACAAAGGTCCGACCAGACCTAGGAGGAACTCCCTTCAGGACAGGACGATAGAGGTTTCCTCCCAGGTGATTGAGAAAAAAACCACAATGGTATATCTCCCAGTGCTAACCCTCCCCCCTCCCTCCAACCCACAACAGTCCCCAGAGTGTGATGTTCCCCTTCCTGTGTCCATGTGTTCTCTTTGTTCAACTCCCACCTATGAGTGAGAATATGCAGTGTTTGGTTTTTTGTTCTTGCGATAGTTTACTGAGAATGATGATTTCCAATTTCATCCATGTCCCTACAAAGGACATGAACTCATCATTTTTTATGGCTGCATAGTATTCCATGGTGTATATGTGCCACATTTTCTTAATCCAGTCTATCATTGTTGGACATTTGGGTGGGTGCAGCACACCAGCATGGCACATGTATACATATGTAACTAACCTGCACATTGTGCACATGTACCCTAAAACTTAAAGTATAATAATAATAAATAAAAAATTAAAAAATTAAAAAAAAACAAAAAAACAATGAACTTGGGATAATAAAAAAAAAACCACAATGGGTATTCAGTAATTGATAGGGAGACTCTTGTGGAAGCAGAGTTAGGAGAATTGCCTAATAATTGGTTTGCTGAAATGTTCGAGCTGTTTTCACTCAGCCAAGTCTTAAAGCACTTATAGAATCAAAAAAATCTATCTCAATCCTGACTCAAAATGTTACCTACACCCTCTCTGACACAAATTTGCATAAGAACTGTTTTATTTATTGGAATGTATCTTGATGGGGCAACTGGGTTGTTATGAAATACTCAGGAACCCAGCCCAGCTCTACAACTCACCCCTGAGCACAAAGGCAATGTTGGGCATGCTGGTAAAGGACCACTAGAATACAGCAGCCTGGACCCTTTTCTTTGTGGTCAAGAAAGGCGGGAAAAGGGGTGCAGGACTGCTACTTGGTAAGCGTAACTAACCCGATAAGCAGAGGTCCATGGGTAGTTACGCACCCTGGAAAGCAATAAGCATTAGGACCATAGAAGACGCTCTAGCACTAATGCTCATCAGAGAATGACTAGGGGTGATGGCATCCCGGTTTTTTTTTTTTCAGATAGGAAACATTACCCCTAAGGCAAAAACGCCCCTAAGATGTATTCTGGAGAATTCGGCCCAGTCAGAGTGTATGTACCTTTTTCCCTGTCAGACTTAAAGCAAATTAAAATAGACCTAGGTAAATTCTCAAATAACCCTGATGGCTATATTGATGTTTTACAAGGGTTAGGACAATCCTTTAATCTGACATGGAGAAATATAATGTTACTGCTAAATCAGACACTAACCCCAAATGAGAGAAGTGCCACCATAACTGCAGCCTGAGAGTTTGGCGATCTCTGGTATCTCAGTCAGGTCAATGATAGGATGACAACAGAGGAAAGAGAATGATTCCCCACAGGCCAGCAGGCAGTTCCCAGTGTAAACCCTCATTGGGATGCAGAATCAGAACATGGAGATTGGTGCCACAGACATTTGCTAACTTATGTGCTAGTAGGACTAGGGAAACCTAGGAGGAAGCCTATAAATTATTCAATGATGTCCACTATAACACAGGGAAAGGAAGAAAATCCTACTGCCTTTCTGGAGAGACTAAGGGAGGCACTGAGGAAGCATACCTCTCTGTCACCTGACTCTATTGAAGGCCAACTAGTCTTAAAGGATAAGTTTATCAGTCAGTCAGCTGCAGACATAAAAAAAAACACTTCAAAAGTCCGCCTTAGGCATGGAGCAAAACTTAAAAAACCCTATTGAACTTGGCAACCTCGGTTTTTTATAATAGAGATCAGGAGGAGCAGGTGGAACTGGACTAACGAGATAAGAAAAAGGCCACCGCTTTAGTCATGGCCCTCAGGCAAGCGGACTTTGGAGGCTCTGGAACACAGAAAGGCTGAGCAAATCGAATGCCTAATAGGGCTTGCTTCCAGTGTGGTCTACAAGGACACTTTAAAGCAGATTGTCCAAATAGAAATAAGCTGCCCCCTCGTCCATGCCCCTTATGTCAAGGGAATCACTGGAAGGCCCACTGCCCCAGGGGACGAAGGTCCTCTGAGTCAGAAGCCACTAACCAGATGATCCAGCAGCAGGAATGAGGGTGCCTGTGGCAAGCACCAGCCCATGCCATCACCCTCACAGAGCCCCGGGTATGTTTGACCATTGAGGGCCAGGAGGTTAACTGTCTCCTGGACACTGGCACGGCCTTCTCAGTCTTACTCTCTTGTCCCGGAAAACTGTCCTCCAGATCTGTCACTATCCGAGGGGTCCTAGGACAGCCAGTCACTAGATATTTCTCCCAACCACTAAGTTGTGACTGGGGAACATTACTCTTTCACATGCTTTTCTAATTATGCCTGAAAGCCCCACTCCCCTGTTAGGGAGAGACATTCTAGCAAAAGCAGCGGCCATTATACACCTGAACACAGGAAAAGAACACCCATTTGTTGCCCTCTGCTTGAGGAAGGAATTAATCCTGAAGTCTGGGCAACAGACGGACAATATGGACGAGCAAAGAATGCCTGTTCTGTTCAAGTTAAACTAAAGGATTCTGCCTCCTTTCCCTACCAAAGGCAGTACCCCCTTACACCCGAGGCCCAACAAGGACTCCAAAAGATTGTTAAGAAACTAAAAGCCCAAGGCCTAGTAAAACCATGCAATAGCCCCTGCAATACTCCAATTTTAGGAGTACAGAAACCCAATGGACAGTGGAGGTTAGGGCAAGATCTCAGGATTATCAGTGAGGCCATTGTCCCTCCATACCCAGCTGTACCTAACCCTTATACTCTGCTTTCCCAAATACCAGAGGAAGCAGAGTGGTTTACAGTCCTGGACCTTAAGGATGCCTTTTTCTGCATCCCTGTACATCCTGACTCTCAATTCTTGTTTGCCTTTGAAGATCCTTCGAACCCAATGTCTCAACTCACCTGGACTGTTTTACCCCAAGGGTTCAGGGATAGCCCCCATCTATTTGGCCAAGCATTAGCCCAAGACTTGAGTCAATTCTCATACCTGGACACTCTTGTCCTTTGGTACGTGGATGATTTACTTTTAGCCGCCCGTTCAGAAACCTTGTGCCATCAAGCCACCCAAACGCTCTTAAATTTCCTCGCCACCTGTGGCTACAAGGTTTCCAAACCAAAGGCTCAGCTCTGCTCACAGCAGGTTAAATACGTAGGGCTAAAATTATCCAAAGGCACCAGGGCCTTCAGTAAGGAACGTATCCAGCCTATACTGGCTTATCCTCATCCCAAAACCCTAAAGCAACTACGAGGGTTCCTTGGCATAACACGCTTCTGCCAAATATGGATTCCCAGGTACGGCAAAATAGCCAGGCTATTATATACACTAATTAAGGAAACTCAGAAAGCCAATACCCATTTAGTAAGAAGGACACCTGAAGCAGAAGCGGCTTTCCAGGCCCTAAAGAAGGCCCTAACCGAAGCCCCAGTATTAAGCTTGCCAACGGAGCGAGACTTTTCTTTATATGTCACAGAAAAAAGAGGAATAGCTCTAGGAATCCTTACACAGGTCCGAGAGACCAGCTTGCAACCCATGGCTTACCTAAGTAAGGAAATTGATGTAGTGGCAAAAGGTTGGCCTCATTGTTTACGGGTAGTGGTGGCAGTAGCAGTCTTAGTATCTGAAGCAGTTAAAATAATACAGGGAAGAGATCTTACCGTGTGGACATCTCATGATGTGAACAGCATACTCACTGCTAAAGGAGACTTGTGGCTGTCAGGCAACCATTTGCTTAAATAACAGGCTCTATTACTTAAAGGGCCAGTGCTGCAACTGCACACTTGTGCAACTCTTAACTGAGCCACATTTCTTCCAAATAATAAAGAAAAGATAGAACATAACTGTCAACAGGTGATTGCTCAAACCTATGCCACTCGAGGGGACCTTCTAGAGGTTCCCTTAACTGATCCCAACCTCAACTTGTATACTAATGGAAGTTCCTTTGTAGAAAAAGGACTTCGAAAAGTGGGGTATGCAGTGGTCAGTAATAATGGAATACTTGAAAGTAATCCCCTCGCTCCAGGAACTAGTGCTCAGCTGGCAGAACTAATAGCCCTCACTCGGGCACTAGAATTAGAAGAAGGAAAAAGGGTAAATATATATACAGACTCTAAGTATGCTCACCTAGTTCTCCATGCCCACACAGCAATATGGAGAGAAAGGAAATTCCTAACTTCCGAGGGAACACCTATCAAACATCAGGAAGCCATTAGGAGATTATTCTTGGCTGTACAGAGAAACCTAAAGAGGTGGCAGTCTTACACTGCTGGGGTCACCAGAAAGGAAAGGAAAGGGAAATAGAAGGGAACCACCAAGAGGATATTGAAGCCAGAAGAGCTGCAAGGCAGGACCCCCTCCATTAGAAATGCTTATAGAAGGACCCCTAGTATGGGGTAATCCCCTCCAGGAAACCAAGCCCCAGTACTCAGCAGAAGACATAGAATGGGGAACCTCACAAGGACATAGTTTCCTCCCCTCAGGATGGCTAGCCACCGAAGAAGGAAAAATACTTTTGCCTGCAGCTAACCAGTGGAAATTACTTAAAACCCTTCACCCAAAACTTTCACTCTCACTGCACCTCCTCCATGCCACTGTACTACCAGTAGCTCCCCTTACCAAGAGCTTCCATGGAGAATGCAGCTTCCTGGAAATATTGATGCCCCATCATATAGGAGTTTTTCTAAAGGAAACCCCACTTTCACCGCCCACACCCATATATGCCCCTGCACTTCAGGCCATACATTTCAATCCCTGTATGTTTAAGCTCCTTGTTAAGTTTGCCTCTTCCAGAATCGAAGCTGTAAAATTACAAATCGTTCTTCAAATGGAGCCCCAGATGCTGTCCATGACTGAGATCTACTGCAGACCCCTGGACCGGCCTGCTAGCCCATGCTCTGATGTTAATGGCATTGAAGGCACCCCTCCTGAGGAAATCTCAACTGCACGACCCCTATCATGCCCCAATTCAGCAGGAAGCAGTTAAGAGCGGTTGTCGGCCAACCTCCCCAACAGCACTTGGGTTTTCCCGTTGAGAGGGGGTACTGAGAGACAGGACTAGCTGGATTTCCTAGGCCGACTAAGAATTCCTAAACCTAGCTGGGAAAGGTGACCACACCCACCTTTAAACACGGGGCTTGCAACTCAGCTCACACCTGACCAATCAGGTAGTAAAGAGGGCTCGCTAGAATACAAATTAGGCTAAAGCAGGAGGTAAAGAAAGAGTCAAATCATATATCACCTGAGAGCACAGGTGGAGGGACAATGATCAGGACATAAACCCAGGCATTTGAGCAGGGAGCGGCAACCCCCTTTGGGTCCCCTCCCATTTTATGGGAGCTCTGTTTTCACTCTATTAAATCTTGCAACTGCAAAAAAAAAAAAAAAAAAAAAACCCTGCAGATCCAAGAACCTCAATGAACAATGTGTGTAAGATAAACACAAAGAGAACCACATCTAGGTAGCTAGGCGAATTGCTGAAAACAAATTTAAAAGGTGAAGGATTTGGGATTGTAGCTTACTTAAAGCTTACAGTTATCCTGACACTGTCCCATGGAAACAGGCAGAAGACACAAGATTCCTGCATCATAAACAAAAGACTTTATTACTCACAGAACAGCAAGAAGAATGCACATCAACATATTTGCCTAAGTTCCTTATGCCTAAATCCCACACGGCCCATGCCTACCCACACAGTGGGTTGCAACCCAGGCAAAGGGCCCAACACTTTTTGAGCAAGCAGCAAATCCAGTTTCCCTGCCTCTCCTTAGGTAGTGAGCAGGGACACAGTACCACTCTATGGTCACCTTGACCAGCTAGTTGACTATATGACTAGCTACAGAAATGGCTCAGTGTCAGAAGACAAATAAAGCTTGCCATCTGTCACGCTCAGCAAGGATATGCATGTTTCAGTTCATTTTACATTGCTATAATGGAATACCTGAGACTGGGTAATTGATTTTAAAAAGAAGTTTATTTAGCTCATGGTTCTGGAGACTGGGAAGTTTAAGACTGGGAAGCCACATCCGACAAGGGCCTCACGTTGCATCATAACATAGCAGATGGCATCACATGGCAGGAGCACACATGACAGTGGCAAGCAAGCATGTGGAAAAGAGACAAAACATGAGAGGAAACTTCACTTTATAACCACCTGCTCTCTCAGTAATTAATCCAGTACTGCAAGAGACAGAACTCACTCACTCCCACAATATGGCATTAATCCTTTCATAAGAGCAGATCTTTCATGACTCAAATGCCTTTTAAAGTCTTACCACCTCTCAACCCGTTACACTGGGGACCAAGCCTCAACATGAGTTTTGGTGGCGACAAACCATACTCAAACCACAGCAATGCAGGAACAAATAGGAACCAAAGGACTGCCGTTCGCAACCAAAATCAAAAGGAGAGAACTGAGCTATAGTGGAGCAAAGTTGCCATATCTTATCACAGGTAAACCACCATTAACCTGAAGTGGATTTTAAGTTAAAGTTATGAAGTTCAAGAAAAATAAAAATCCCTAGAGTAACCACTGAAAAATGAACTTTAAAAATATACTTAAAAATGAGCTGGGCACAGCGGTTCATACCTGCAATACCAACACTTTGGGAGGCCAAGGCAGGAGGATTGCTAGAGACCAAGACTTTAAGACCAGCATGGGCCACATAGTGGGACCCCTGACTGCACAAATTTTTTTTAAATTAGCTGGATGTGGTGTCACACATCTGTAGTCCCGGCTACTCAGGAGGCTGAGGTGGAAGGATTGCTTGAGCCTGGGAGGTCAAGGCTGCAGTGATCCATGATCACACCACTGCACTTCAGCCTGAGTGACAGAATGAAACCCTGTCACAAACAAGCAAACAAAAATACAAATATAAATAAGTAGTTGTCAGGGGATGAGGGAGAGGGAAATGGTAGTGGCTGCTTATAGATACAGGATTTCTTTTGGGAGTAATTAAAATGTTCTGAAATTAGATAATGACTCTATAAATATACTAAAAACCACTGAATTGTACACTTTAAAGGGGTAAATTTAAAGGTATGTGAATTATATCTCACTAAATGAATTAAAATATTGATTTAAAACAAAAGAAGGCAGTAAAAGGGGAACAGAGGAAAAAGAAGAAATAAGACATATAGAAAGGAAATAGCAAAATAGACAAATCCAAACATACCAATAACTACACTGAATGTGAATGAACTAAACAGTTTAATCAAAAGACAAAAATTGTCAGGATGTATTAAAAAAAAAAACAAGATCTAACTACATGTTGCCTAAAAGAAACACAGTTTAGTTTAAAATATACAGTAGGTTGAATAGCATGCACAAATAGCTGCTATGAAAGAGCTGGAATGGCTATATGAATATAAGATGAAATAGACTTTATGACAAGGCACATTAAGACAAGGAAGGACATCTAATCATAATAAAAAGGTTAATACATCTGAAAATATAACAATTATACACATATAACACCTAACCACAGAGCCCCAAAATACATGAAGCAAATACTGACAGAATTGAAAGGAGAAAGAGACAAGAGGGTATGACTCAGTTATCTGAAATGACTCCTGATTAAGTAAAGTTCACAAAAAATAAATATTGTTATCATGAAGTTCCAGGAGAAATCAAAAAGGCATAACAAGAATCATTGCATAAACCTTTTATTTAAACAAGTTTATAAACTATAATGTTTCCAGATTCCAGGGATAACCGAGGGGAATAACTCTCTCCAGTGAAAACTTAACGATTCTTTTCATTCCCGTTGTCCTTTTGCAAAACAATTCCAAGGCTTACTGAAACAGTAAGATAGTATCCAGAATGTACATTCTCACAAGATGTAAGAAAGCAGACCTGAAAATACTATTTTGATAATATGTGGGCTAATCTTATTCTTAAACTGTTGTTGCTGCTGCTGTTGTAGTTTTACAAACACTGCATATTCTAAAAAAAAAAAATTTTTGAAATTCTGTTTGAAAAACAAATAAATGATAAATATATTCCTTCCATGAAGTAAAGTAATGCACAAATGAATAAATAAATGATAGCATTTGTGCAAAGATTAAGAGGTTGTAAACTTATTTAGTTTCATCTCTGTTTGGTATAATACATAATATCATAAAGTGTTATAAGCTATTCTATTTTTCAACATAATCTTAAACTCAGGAAAAAATTAGCTTCTTTACTGCTAGACTGCAAGTTGGCAACAAACACATGGTTTGGTAGACAAAATAATACATTTATTAAGGCACTATGCCTCCAAAAGAGAACAGTGGTTAGTTACAATCCAAAACTGAGACCTGAAAAGAAGTAATGTATTACTAATTAAATAAGAAAAATAACTGGTAAATTAAGTTTTCAAACTTTAACGTTTATTTATTTATTTATTTATGTAAATTTTATTTTTATTCCTTTTTCGAGACAGGGTCTCATTCTATTGCCCAAGCTGCAGTAGTAGTGGTGCAATCATATAGTTCACTGCAGCCTCGTCCTCCCAGGCTCAAGGGATTCTCCCACCTCAGCCTCCCAAGTAGCCAGGACCACAGGCCCATGGCACCACATCCAGCTAATTTTTGTATTTTTTGTAGAGATGGGGTTTCACTATGTTGCCCAGGCTGGTCTTGAACTCCTGAGCTCAAGCAATCTGCCCACCTCTGCCTCCCAAAGTGCTGGGATTACAGGAGTGAGCCATCATGCCCAGGCCTCAAACTTTAACTTAAGAAAAATGTAGATGTCATTTCTGTGATAATGGTGACATTATTCTAGACTAAATAAATAAAATAGAGACTTACTACACTTTGAGCTGTACAAAAATTTGGAC
The DNA here is from genome assembly GCF_000001405.40 of Homo sapiens. Classification (NCBI taxonomy): domain Eukaryota; kingdom Metazoa; phylum Chordata; class Mammalia; order Primates; family Hominidae; genus Homo; species Homo sapiens. The sequence continues at coordinate 95,713,910 of NC_000010.11, read as the reverse complement.
TTATGCCAAAATAGCTGTAACTATTTAAATTGATGAATGGATGGATGGCTATATGGATGGATATAAAAATAGTTGATAGATTTTTTTTCCTTTCTGCTGCTGCTTCATGGTAGAGCTAACCCACCCCTTGTCTCTCACTCCAGCTGCAGTGGATATCCTGTCTACCTTTTTTGTGGACATTTGTCCATCAATAACAAATGGGTACCCCAAAAGTCAAGAGTCACACAAATATTAAACCAAGTTTTATAAATGTTTGTGCTGTTGAGTTAAAGAGCTTACAAGTACTACAGGGACTGATTCTCTGACAAGGAATCAAACCCAGGCCACAGGTGTGAAAGCACAGAATCTTAGCCACTGCACCACAAGGTGGAATGCCTTATTTGTAAATCCCACAGGGAATTCAAAGCAGGCAGTTTGAGTGTACAAAGGATTTTAATTTTGTTTTGGGTTAGATTTTTGCATTTTAATTTTGTCAAGAGAATTTCTAAGCCAAGACACTATTGTGTCTTTCTTTATTTTGATTGTCCCATAAATACAAGTAAGACAATTGTTTAGAATGAGAGATCTCCAAAATCTTCTTTTTAAGAAAAAAAAATTAAAGTTCTTTCTAATTTAAAGGATCCATCTTTTGGCCACTGATGATTAGAATTTCCAATGGTTTACAAATTCCAGTAGTGACTCAACAATAAGCCTCTTCATGAAAAGTCCAGGAGATAATTTTCCAGGTTTAGAATAAGTTTTTACTATATAAACAAGAGGTGTTCCTTGAGAGCATATGGAGGAGACAGTCTCCATGATCCCCGAAAATTCACTGAGAAGTAGACTTAAGATAACAAAGACTCTTGCCGCCACAGCCTATTTTTTTTTTTTTTTTTTTAAGACAGAATCTCGCTCTGTCGCCCAGTCTGGAGTGCAGCGGCGCAATCTCTGCTCGCTGCAAGCTCCGCCTCCCGGGTTCACGCCATTCTCCTGCCTCAGCCTCCCGAGTAGTTGGGACTACAGGCGTCCGCCACCACACCCGGCTAATTTTTTGTATTTTTAGTAGAGATGGGGTTTCATCGTGTTAGCCAGGATGGTCTCGATCTCCTGACCTCATGATCTGCCCACCTTGGCCTCCCAAAGTGCTGGGATTACAGGCGGGAGCCACAGTGCCCAGCCCACCACAGACTATTAAGGCTGGTGTTTGTGCATATGGTGCCACTAGTAACCAACAAATTTGCCAGGGACCACCAGTCACAGACCCGTTAATCCACTGGCACCAGGTAGGCCCTCCTGGGATTAGAATTTTCCCAGCCTAACCAGGCAACAGGAGCCCCTTACAGATGGAACTTAAGACAAACTCCCCTGAGAGCTTGACATAGTTGGAACAAAAAGTATACCACTTAAAATCTTATGTGACCAGCCATTTTTAGACTGGTCACCTAATGTGACCTGAAAATCATGCTCCCTAAAATCGCAAGGACCAAGAGAAAATGCTCTCAAAAGTCAAGGTCTTATACGGACATGAAATAAGACAATAGGAGAACTTCATCTGGTTTTTATTTTGGGGACTACAGCAAAGTTTATAGACACAGGTCTAGTCAGAACCGCAAAACTGATCAGTCTGCAGTGCCAGCTCAAATAGAGAGTTTATGGGGGTTTAGGCCCATGTCCTACCCTATGGCATCCTTCTTTATGACACAACAACACGGAAAGACAAAGACTATTTCTGGAAGGAAAGGGACCGAACAATGTGAATATTCATACCAAAAAAGGACACCAGAGTCGCTACACCCAAAACTAGTCACACAAATCCTTTTTTCTCATTAATCAAGGTTTTGGAGATGAAAATGAGACAAACAGTGATTTTTACCATCGGCTCTACCAGATTCCACAGAGGGAGAGAGGCCGGGAGCCTGACTGGTAAGAATTTCTTACCCTTCTGCTGGCTTGTCAGGTCCTTGGTTCCCTTCATTGCAGCTTCCAGAAGAACAGAGCAGCTTTGGTATCCTGTTCACAGCACCAAAACTGGAGGGGCCAAGGAAAACTTCCCCTTTGCCCTCTGAAGTTTCACTGACAATCGCTGACAAAAAAGGCAGGTTAATAGGAGAAAAGGCATACAAATTTATTTGATCATAATTTTACACGTACACAGGAGACTGCAGAATGAAGACCTGAAGGGGAGGCTGGGCACAGTGTCACATGCCTGTGACCTCAGCACTTTGGGAGGCTGAGGAGGGAGTATGCCTTGGGGCCAAGAGTTTAAGGTCAGCCTTAGGAACAAAGCAAGATTCCATCTGTACAAAAAATTTTAAAATTAGCCAGGTATGCTGGGCCCAGGAGTTTGAGGCTGCATGAGCTGTGATTGTGCCACCGAGCTCCAGCTCGAGTGACAGTGTGAGACCCTGTCCCTAAAAAAAGTGAAAATAAATAAAATAAATAAAAGATATAGGGGAATTGTCCACTTTTATGCTTAGGTTCAACCAAGTATGAACAGCCATGTAGAAATATAACAGGATAAAAAAAGAGTGTGATCTAATGCTATAGACTGAGTGGGAGAAACTCAGCAATGCTGTCTATCTAGATTCTTCTTGACCTCTGTGCCTTCCTTCCTTCTGGATGTGGGACAGGACCCGCTCTGCAATGGGATTCAACAGTCTAAATGTGGGGTAGAAGCCTCTCCAGAATGGGTTTCAACAATCTGGAACAGTCAGACGAGGCAGGTCAGATCATTTCTTTATGGCCAGTTTTTATACAGAAAGGCTGGGAGAAAGAGAAAGTTAAAGTGATATTTTTAGGTTTTGTTGCTGGCTTCTATGACCCACCTGGGGGAAGAGGAATTCTAGTTTCCATTTCTCGGGGGAGAATGAGAGGCCAGAGACAGAAGGGCAAGAGAAAGTCCGAGAGGGCACCAGCACAGTAAAGATCCAGGGCAGTTCTGCTTCAGAGGCCTTCATTTGTGGCTACCATTTTCTGGGATCCTGGAATAGCCACAGCTATCTGCGAAAGAGGCTGGGCAATGTCATCTTTTGGCTATATTGTGCTCAGTAAAAAGTTGGGGCTCTGTTTATTTGAGAGAAGAGAGAACAAATGTATAGTCAGCAATAAACAGTTTCTGCCATAGAGTCAAAATTACACAGATTCAAAACTGGACAAAATGTGGGACTATAGACAGTCTCCAAGGGATGAAATGAGGAAGAAGAGCAAAGAAAAAAAGAAAAGGAGTAGAAACCCCTCTTCCCTTGTTATTAATACTACTTCCCTTGTTATTAATACTAAATGGCTAAAGAAAAATTTTTAAAAAGGTTTCAAAGTGAAAACATACTTCTTTCCTCTACAATGTATTCATTGTTTATTAATCTCTTAAAAAGCAAGGAGATGAATTCTGCCAGAGCTACTAAACATTTGTTTTCTACTAAACATGTAGACACCGTTTATTCAACTTACTTAGATAAATGCTTGTAAACAATAATTTAGATAAATTACATAGTTATTTTAATCATGAGTATCATTAAAAAAAATTTTTTTTAAAACAGTCTGGCTCTGTTGCCCAAGCTGGAATGCAGTGGTGTAATCTCTGCTCACTGCAACCTCCACCTCCTCTGTTCAAGTGATTCTCCTGCATCAGCCTCCTGAGTAGCTGGGATTACAGGCCAGCACCACCACACCCGGCTAATTTTTGTATTTTTAGTAGAGACAGGGTTTCACCATATTGGCCAAGCTAGTCTGGAACTCCTGACCTCAAGTGATCTGTCCGCCTCCGTCTCCCAAAGTGCTGGGATTACAGGCATGAGCCACCGTGCCTGGCCTATCATGGTTATTATAAAAATTAATGATGGTTTAAAATTACGTCTTGGGGGCTGTGCACAGTGGCTTACGCTTGTAATCCCAGCACTTTGGGAGGCCGAGGGGGGTGGATCACCTAAGGTCAGGAGTTCGAGACCAGCCTGGTCAACATGGTGAAACCCTCTCTACTAAAAATACAAAAACTAGCTGGGCGTGGTGGCACATGCCTGTAATCCCAGCTACTGGTGGGGGGGGCCGGGGCTAAGGCAGGAGAATTGCTTGAACCCAGGAGGTGGTGGTTGCAGTGATCTGAGATGGCACCACTGCACTTCAGCCTGGACGACAGAGGGAGACTCCGTCTCAAAAACAAACAAACAAACAAACAAACAACAACAAAAAACACTGCATCTTGGGGAGCAGGAGTGGGAAAAGAAAGGTGGGTTTGGTTATGAAAAGACAAGAGGCCCAGGCCCGGTGGCTCAGGCCTGTAATCCCAGCACTTGGGAGGCCAAGGCCGGCGGATTGCCTGAGGTCATGAGTTTGAGACCAGCCTGACCAACATGGTGAAACTTCGTCTCTACTAAAAATACAAAAATTAGCCGGGCGTGGTGGCAGGCACCTGTAATCCCAGGTACTCGGGAGGCTGAGGCAGAAGAATCGCTTGAACCCGGGAGGTGGAGGTTGCAGTGAGCCGAGACCAGGCCATTGCACTCTAGACTGGGCAACAAAAGCGAAACTTCGTCTCAAAAAAACAAAGAAAAAACAAACAAACAGAAAAAAAAAATAAGGAAAAGAGGAGAGATTTTCAGGGAGACAGAACTGCTCTGTATCTTTACTGTGGTGGTGGAAACATGAAACTACACATGCATTAAAATTTCATGAACTAAATATACACACACACAAATAAAACTGGGGAAATCTTGAAGATTGGTGGGTTGTATCAATGCCATTATTCCACTTGTGATATTGTATGATAGTTTTTGAAGTGTTACCTTTGAGGGTACACAGGATTGCTCTGAGTACTCTCAATTTCCTATAACTTCATGCATCTACCTGAAGGTTGTAGGTTGCATAACCTACAACTTCATCTATCATGAAATAGAAAATTTAATTTTAAAAAGTCTCAGCTGATGACAATGATTCTACAGGTACTCAGTTAAGTTTTTAAAAATGAAGAAATGCTCAATTTGTAATTATTGTATTGAGAGAGCTCTCACCGCTGTTCTTTTGCTACCAGAGCAGAATTTTTTTCACGAAATTATTATTAACTGTTTTTCAAAATCTAAGTACCACACAACATACATACTACCACACAAACATTGTTTAACTTTTTATTAGACACTGGGTTAAGAGTTTAAATGTGCCTTTTTTAGTGTAAATGATAGTATGCTCTGTGTACTGTTCTGTAACTTGGTTTTTTCATGTATTTGTCTTGGAGATATTTCCATTTCACTAAATAAAGAACTACCTCATTCTTGCTATTGCAGAGTATTCCATAATGAATGCATCATAGTTTATTTATCCACTCTGCTACTGATAGACATTTACATTGTTTCCAATATATATGCTTCTATTTGCCTCTTCTACACTTGTGTGGATTTCTCCGGAATAGCTATCAAGAAGTTAAATCTCTGGGCCAGGCGCAGCAGCTCATGCCTGTAATCCCAGCACTTTGGGAGGCTGAGGCAGGCGGATCACAAGGTCAGGAGATTGAGACCATCCAGGCCAACATAGTGAAACCCTGTCTCTACTAAAAATACAAAAATTAGCTGGGCGTGATGGCACATGCCTGTAATCCCAGCTACTCGGGAGGCTGAGGCAGAAGAATCACTTGAACCAGGGAGTCGGAGGTTGTAGTGAGCCGAGGTCACGGCACTGCACTCCAGCCTAGGGACAGAGTGAGACTCTGTCTCAAAAAAAAAAAAAATAAAATAAAAATAAATAAAAATTAAAAAAAAGAAGTTAAATCCCTGAATAAAGGGGCATATGCATATAAAAACTTAATAGATACTGACCTATGGCCCTCCAAAAAAGGCTATAACAGTTTACATTCCTAATGCAGTGTACCCATTTTTTTATATCATCATTTGATGTCATCAAACTTTTTCATTGTTGACAATCTAATTTGGAAAAATCTAGTATCTTTTTTTAAGTAAACTTTTTTGTTGAAGTATAAACATGAATACAGAACAACGCATAAATCAAATGTATATATAGCTCCACTAATTTTTACAAAGTGATGGCTAGGAGAGGTGGCTCACACCTGTAATCCCAGCACTTTGGGATGCCAAGGTGGGCAGATCACTTGAGGTCAGGAGTTCAAGACTAGCCTGGCTAGCATGGTGAAACTCCATTTCTATTAAAAATACAATAATTAGCTGGGCATAGTGGCACATGCCTATAATCCCAGCTACTCAGGAGGCTGAAGCACGAGAATCGCTTGAAGGCAGGAAGTGGAGGTTGCAGTGAGCCAAGATTGCACCACTGCACTCCAGCCTGAGACACAGAGCAAGACTCTGTCTCAAAAAACAAAACAAAACAAACAAACAACAAAAAAAGTGAGCCTGCCCATGTAACCCTAGCCCATTTGAAGACATGATTACCACCAGCTCAGAAATCTCCATTGTATTCCTACCCAGTCACTACTCCTCTCAAACATAACTGATGGCAGCGGATGCTACCATCACACTAGCTGCAGCAGGGAGGCCCCGCTGGGCCTGGGCACTCCATGGAGCCAGTGGGAGGCCTGCCCTTTCTGAATTGGGGTGGGAGCTACCCAGGTACCACTGCAGCCCCCCCAAACTGTGGCTGCAGACCCAGGCCTCATGCTCTATGGAGCAGGTAGAAGCTCCACCCTCCTGGGCAGGGCTGCAGCTGCCCAAACCATGGCTGTGCATCTGAGCCTCCCTGTGCTCTTGGAGGAGGCCAGGAGCAGGCAGGATCTGCCCTCCCGGGTGCAGCTGCAGCCCCCACGACCAACAGCTGCAGACCAGGTCCCCGCTGCATGGAGCAGGCAGGAGTTGGGAACAAGCGGGATCCCTGAGTTGGCAGGGCGGGAGCTCCCAGGTATAGCTGTGGCCACCCTCCCAGGCACAGGACCCGGCCATCTCTGCAGCCTGCACCCTCGGGTGCCCAGGAAGGCACCCCCCTCAGTCCCTGCAGGCTTAGGAGCGTCTGCTCCCACTGCCTGACCTCTCTTCTCTCCCGGCGCCTGCTCGGATCTCTCCAAGTGGGGTTGGGCTGAACACCCGGGCCATGAATGGCGGCGGAAGGCAGACAGGTTGCTGGGCAGAAGGGGGTGGGGTCCCCAGTAAGGCACCACCTTCAGGCCATGGAGGGCCTGAAAGCTGAGGGCCAGGCCACCAGTCCCACACACCAGAGTGGGGACTCCCTGCTGCCTATGACCACCCATGGACCAATCTGCATGTACTTACTACCCTATGAGCCACAGGACTAGAGAGGATGGCCAGAGCAGGACAGAGGATGCAGAGGACAGAGATGAGGGGACAACAAGCTGCAAAGAAGAGCTACCATCTGCTGACAGTTTGAGAGGCCTGCAGAGACCTCCAAACAACCTGTCTGCAGAGAAGAGCCACCCTCTCCAGGGCCTCCTCTCTGCTGAGAGCAGCAGATGATGGGACGACCAGCGGGCAGAGAGGAGCTACCCTCCCCAGGGCCTCCTCTATGCTGAGAGCTGAACACTTGACTGGAGGATCTGCAGAGAGGAGCCACCCACTGAGGGTCTCCTCTGAGCTGTTCTAACACTTAATAAAGTTTATCTTTGCCTTGTTCATCCTTCACTTGTCTGTGTACCTCATTCTTCCTGGACGCAGGACAAGAACTTGAACAAAGGCGCTACTGGCCACAGAGGTTTCTAGGAAGAAAATTGACAACCCAAAGATCCCATAACATAACCACTGTCCAACATTCTAATAATATAAGGCAGTTTTGCCTATTTTTTGAATTTTATATAAATGAATTAATATAATATGTTCTTTTGTGTATCTTGCTTTAGATCAACATTATATTTGTTTTTGTTTTTGTTTTGAGACAAGGTCTCACTCACTCACCCAGGCAGGAATGCAGTGGCATGATCACTGCTCACTGCAGCCTTGACCTCCCAGGCTCAAGTGAACTTCCCACCTCAGTTTCCCAAGTGGCTGGACCTATAGGTGCATGCCATCACACCCAACTAAATTTTTAAATTTTTCATAGAGACGAGGTCTCACTACATCGCCCAGGCTGGTCTCAAACTCCTGAGCTAAAGCAAATTCAACCACCTTGGACTCCCAAAGTGCCATGAGCCACCATGCCTGGCCAAATCAACACGATTATCATTTAGATTGTCTAAGTTGGCCTGGCGCAGTGGCTTATGCCTGTAATCCCAGCACTTTGGGAGGCCAAGGTGGGCAGATCACCTGAGGTCAGAAATTCAAGACCAGCCTGGCCAAAATGGCGAAACCCCATCTCTACTAAAAATACAAAAATTAGCCAGGTGTGGTGGCAGGCGCCTGTAATCCCAGGTACTCAGGAGGCTGAGGCAGGAGAATCGCTTGAACCCGGGAGGTGGAGGTTGCAGTGAGCCGAGTTCACGCCATTGCACTCCAGCCTGGGTGACAGACTTACACTCTGTCTCAAAAAACAACAACAACAAAAAAAATTGTTGTGTGGCAGTACTTTGTTCATTTTCATTGCAATATTATTATTCCATTGTATGAGTATACTACAATTTATATACATTTTGCTTTTGATGGATAATAAGGTTGATTGTAGTTTGGTGCTATTTTAAATCATGCTGCTATAAATGTTGTCATACAAGTCTTTTGTTAAATATATGTATTTACCATACACACACACACACACACACATTTTCTACTGGGTATACACCTAAAAGTGTATATTTTGCTGGGTCATAGGGTATGTATATGTTTAGCTTTATTATATGAAGCCCAACAGTAAATGGTAGCCCCAATTTATACCCCTATCAGTAGCAAATGAAATATCCAGTAACTCCATATCCTCCACCTTTAAAAAGTTTAACCACTTTAAAAGATATGGAATTCTATCTTATTATTGTCTTCATTTGAACTTCTTTGATAATGATGTTGAGTTTCTCTTTTATGTTTATTACTCATTTATATATCCTCCTTTATGAAAAGTCTGGTCAAAATTTTGGTCAATTTTTTGGGGGATTGTACATGGATTCTTTACGTATTCTGGGTACACATCCTTCTTTTTATATGTGTGTATGTGTATATTTACATATATATACATATATATATATAATATTTTACCATTGAGTAGCTTGCCTTTTTACTCTCTTAATACTGTCTTTTTATTAAGAGAAATTCTCAATGTTAACAAGACACAATTAAACAATCTTTTTCTTTATTATCAGTGATTTTTGTCCAGCTTAAAAACCCTTTGCCTACCTCAGGATCGTATTATCTTACATCACGTTCTAGAAGCTTTATTTTTTCCCTAAGTATAAAATCTATGTAAAATTGATGTTTGGGTATAGGTAAGGTAGGAGTACAGATACACTGTCATCCCTATAAATATCCAATTGGTACAGCACAGTTTATTGACAAAATCACCCTTTCCTCACTGTACTGTAATATTACCTTTGTCACAAATCAAGTGACTACATATGTGTGGGTCTTTTTCTGGACACTATTCTTTTCCATTGATCTATTTGTTGATCTTGGAGCCAAAGCGATACCATTTTATTCTAACAATTATTTTATCTTAATAATAAGATGTGATATCTAGTAGGTAGAGGCCTTCTAGCCTTGTTCTTCTTTAAGATTCTCTTGGTATTTTTGACCTTTTGAAATTACACGTAAATTTGAAATCAGCATGTCAATTTTTACCCAAAAATGCTGAAATTTTTACTGGACTGTATGAATCTATACATGAATTTGGGAAGACTTCACATGTTTTCATTAATAAGTCTTTCTAGCCATGAATTTGGTGCAGCTCTCATTTAGGTTTTCTATTATTCCTCTCAGAAATATTATATATTTTGATATGTAGTTTTGTTTTGTTTTGTTTTTTTGACAGAGTCTTGCTCTGTTGCCAGGCTGGAGTGCAGTGGCGTGATCTCAGCTCACTGCAATCTCTGCCTCCCGGGTTCAAGCAATTCCCCTGCCTCAGCCTCCTGAGTAGCTGAGACTACAGGCATGAACCACCATGCCTGGCTAATTTTTTGTATTTTAGTAGAGATGGGGTTTCACCATGTTGTCCAGGCTGGTCATGAACTCCTGACCTCAGGGGATCCACCCACCTCAGCCTCGCAAAGTGCTGGGATTACAGGTGTGAGCCACTGCGCCCAGTCAGATCTTTTTTTTTTTTTTTTTTTTTTGAGACAGAGTCTCGCTCTGTCGCCTAGGCTGGAGTGCAGTGGCACGATCTCAGCTCACTGCAATCTCTGCCTCCTGGGTTCAAGTGATTCTCCTGCCTCAGCCTCCCGAGTGGCTGGGATTACAGGCGCCTGCCACCACGCCTGGCTAATTTTTGTATTTTCAGTAGAGACAGCGTTTCACCATGTTAGCCAGGCTGGCCTCAAACTCCTAACCTCAAGTGATCCACCTGCCTTGGCCTCCCAAAGTGCTTGGATTACAGGCGTGAGCCACCGCGCCCAGTGATATGTAAAGATCTTATACTATTTCAGATTTATTCCTGTGTATTTAGTGTTTCTTCAGGTAATTGTACATTTTATCATCTAAAAGTTTTACTTTATTATGGCTATAATATAGGAATACAATTGAATTTTCTATATTGACATTATATTTATTCTTTCCATTGCTCTTCATTTATTTCTGCATTTCCATGCATCCGTCTGAGATCATTTTCTCTTTAGCATGAAGAATTCCCTTTAGCAATTCTTTGTGTGGGTCTGTTAGTGGTAATTTTTCCCTCAGTTTTTGGTTTATAAATACATTTTTATCTTATCTTCATTTTTGAGGAATCTTTTGCTGGGTATACAATTTTAGGTTAGCTTCCTTAAAGATATTCTACTTTTTATAACTTCCATTATTTTTGTTGAAAAGTCAGGTGTAGGCCGGGCGCGGTGGCTCACACCTGTAATCCCAGCACTTTGGGAGCCCGAGGCGGGTGGATCACGAGGTGAGGAATTCAAAACCAGCCTGGCCAAGATGGTGAAACCCCATCTCTACTAAAAATAAAAAAAAAAATTTAGCCTGGCGTGGTGGCAGGTGCCTGTCATTCCCAGCTACTCTGGAGGCTGAGGCAGAGAATTGTGTGAACCCAGAGGCGGAGTTTGCAGTGAACCGAGATCGCACCATTGCACTCCAGCATGGGCGACAGAGTGAGACTCTGTTTCAAGAAAAGTCAGGTGTTATTGTTGCTGTTTTGAAGGTAATATGTCTTTTTAAGCTATACATTTTAAAGATTTTCTCTTTGTCAATGTTTGGGATTTGAGTAAGATATCCCCATGTATTATTTTCTTTTAAATTTATCTTGTTTGGGTTTTGTAGAGCTGGAATCTACAGATTGATAACATTCATTTATTTGGGAAAATATTCAGCCAAAATATCCTAATATATTGCTGTGTCTACCCCATTATCTCTCTCCTTTCCTTCTGGGGCCCAATTACATATCAGTATTTCTACCACTCTCCCCACATTGTCTCTTACATTCTTTTCTGAATTTTCAACACATTTTCCCATGTTTTATACTAGATCTTAACAAATAATCTAGTTTTTCAGTTCACTAATCCTGCCCTCTGCTGTGTTTAATCCACTGTTAAACCAATCTAAGAGTTCTCAATTTCCATTATTGTACTTTTCAGTTCTAGGATTTACATTTGATGCATTTTCATAGGTTTCAGTCTCTGGTGAAATTCTCCATCTTGTCAGCTATTTTACTGAATGTATATTAATCATATATATATTTTAAGTCTATACCAATTGTTATGACCTCTTATTGGGACCTAATATTATTAATTTGTGTTTTTTAATTTGATCTTCTAAACATTTGTCTGTTTATCTTTTCACATAACCAGCTATTGGTTTTATCAATTACTCTACTGATTTTTTATTTGTTTTTAATTTTTAATTTCCTCTATTATCTTTATGAATTCTCTTCTTTATCTTTTAATTTGTAATTTGTTTGCTTACTAAATTGTAAGATTAAGTTTAGGATTATTTTAAATATTTCTTTTTAAAAAATAAAAGTACTTGAAAATATAAAAGTTCTCTAAGTTCTATTGGCTTTGTTCTATGTATTCTAGTTGTTTAACTTTCATTTTTAATTAGTTTGTAATTTTTGTGTTTATTTTCTTTTAACTCAAGATTTATTCAAAAATGTGATTTTTTCCCTTAATTTCCAAGAGGATATTTTGCTGTCCTTTTATGTTAATTTCTAATTTTAATGCATTGTGGCAAGCAGAATGTACTATAAAATCTTTGCCTTTTTTCTCTTCATTGAGATTCCCTTTGTGGCATAATACATGGTCAATTTTTGTCAATGCTCCAAGTATGATTGAAAATAATTAGTACTATTTGCTTATTAGGTTCAAGTTCTACACCATCTATAGATAAATTGAGAATTTTAAAATCACTTATTTAAATCTTTTTCTCTATTTTTATTATTTAATCTATCTATTTATGGAAGAGGTATGATAAAAATCTTTTACTCTGATGGTGGATTTACCTAGTCTACTCTTTCCACTACTTATTTGCTTTTATATTTTAAAACAATGTCTTTAGATCCACAAGGATTCATTAATTTAACATCTTCTAGGTAGTCTGTAACTTTTATAAAGATGAAATATATATTGCCCTCAAATATAATTCACTTAGAATTTTATTTTTATCTTTATATTTTTAGAGATAAGGTCTCACTATGTTGCCCGGCTGGTCTTGAACTCCTGGTCTCAAGCAGTCCTTCTGCTTCAACTTCCCTTCCTGAGTAGCTGAAATTATAGGCACAAGCCACTGCACTAGGCTGGAATTCTATTTTGACTGTCATTACTATTACCACATCTGTTTCCTCCTTATTAGCATTTGCCTATTAAGATTTTATTTCTGGCTGGGCACGGTGGCTCAGGCCTGTAATCCCAGCACTTTGGGAGGCTGAGGCGGGCAGATCACCTGAGGCCAGGAGTTCGAGACCAGCCTGGCCAACATGGCAAAACCTCATCTCTACTAAAAATACAAAACATTAGCCAGGCGTGGTGGTGGGCACCTATAATCCCAGCTACTTGGGAAGCTGAGGCAGGAGAATTGCTTGAGCCAGGGAGGTGGAGGCTGCAGTGAGCCGAGATCATGCCACTGCACTCCAGCCTGGGCAACAAGAGCGAAACTTGGTCTCAAAAAAAAAAAAAAGAATATACTTCTTAATAGATGAATTAAACTTATTCATATTTATTGTAATTATTTATATATTTGGACTTATTTGTTTTATTGTTTTTCCATTTTCTTTTCTTTTTAATAGAGACAGAGATTTGCTCTATTGTCCAGGCTGGAGTGCAGTGCTGTGATCACAGGTCACTATAACCTCAATTTCCTGGGTGCAAGCGATCTTCCCAACTCAGCCTCTTGTGCAGCTAGGACTATAGGCACGTGCCACCATGCCCAGGTATTTTTTTTCATTTCTTGTAGGAACGGAGTCTCACTATGTTGCCCAGGTTGGTCTCAAACTCCTGGCCTCAAGTGATCCTCCAGCCTCAAGCGATCCTCCTGCTTCAGCCTCTCAAAGTGCTGAGACTACAGGTGTGAGTTCCTAATATTTCCTTAACCAATTTAATTCTTCCATTTTCTTTTTTTTTCCTGGAACTCATATTAATCAAACATTGGACTTGTAGATTTAATCCTCAGTGTCTCATATTTTCTATTTATTTATCTTTTTGTTCAATAGATTAGATGTCCTTATATTTATCTTCCAAAATTTTAAACAAAAAAGTTAATAGTTTTAATTTCCAAGAGCTTTCTCTTATTCTGATTGCTCCTTTGCCAAATATTCTGCTCTCATGAATGTTTTATTGATTACTTCTCAAATCTCTCTTATATTAACTAGTGTATCAATTTCTAGAAAGAATTCTCTATTTTTTCCTCAAAGAAAATATCTAGTTATAGGTCCTTTTGAGTACAAAGGCAAACTATTCCATATACCATATAGACCTTCGATGTATTTTCTTGATTTCCATCAACTTTACCTTTTATCTTCTCTCTTACTTGCTATCGCTAGTTCTGGCTACTCTGTGGTATTCTGCTGGAAGGCAGCTGTCTCCTTTGGCTGCAGTCCCTTTCCATGGATATTCTAGGCTGCTGCTTCTTCAGTCAATATCCTTCCAATTTCTTCAAAAATGTATGAAAAATCTTCCATACTGACCATGCTGATGGTCAACCACACCTCCTACTTTTTGTTTTTATAAATATATACCCTTTTAAGTCTTTTAACAGGTATTTTAATAAAATTTCAAAAGAGGGGTCAAATGTGCATCTTTCTTTCCTTCTTACCTCCTTTCTTTTCTTCTCTCTTTCTCTCTCTCAATCTCTCTCTTTCTTTTTTTTTGGACAGGATTTTGCTCTGTCACCCAGGCTGGAGTGCAGTGGCACAATCAAGGCTCACTGCAGCCTCAACCTCTTGGGCTCAAGTGATCCTCCCACCTCAGCCTCCTGGGTAGCTGGAACTACAGGTGTGCACTACCACACCTGGCTAATTTTTATTTTTTGTAGAGACAGGGTTTCACCATGTTGCCCAAGCTGGTCTTTAACTCCTGAACTTAGGCAATCACCCTGCCTCAGCCTCCCAAATTGCTGGGATTATAGGCATGAGCCACCACACTTGGCCCAAATGTGCATTTTTCTTCCATCTTTAATCACAATTCCTAGTTGATTCCTCTCTAATAGATGCAAAATTCTCATGTCTCTCTATAAATGTTAATTATATTTGTTCTAAACTATTTTTCTAACTTGTCCTTTTTAAATTTTTTTTTCCTTTTTCCTTTACTTAAGAGACTTTGTCACCCAGGGCAGAGTGCACTGGTGTGATCATGGCTCACTGCAGCCTCAACCTCCCTGGCTCAAGCGATCCTCCTGCTTCTGCTTCCCAAATGCTAGGATAACAGGTGTGAGCCACTGTACTCGGCCTTGGGTTTTGATGTTTCTTGAATATTATACCCTTTTTTTGTTTGCTGGGTTTTTTCTTTTTCAAATGTAGATCTTTTGAGTGTGTGTCCACCTTGGTAACTGAGATTCCCTGTTAGCCTATGCACAGGCGGGATCTGCTTATTGCATTCCACCTGCAGGGTTTTTGAAGAAGAAAATGGTAGATGTGGAGTTTGACAAGGTGTGTATCTTAGTCCATTTTCTGTTGCTTATAACAGAATACCTAAAAATGGGTAATTTATAAAGAAAAAAATTGATTTCTTACAGTTATGAAGCCTGGGAAGTCCAAAGTCAAAGAGGCATACCTGGTGAGAGCCATCTTGCCGGTGGGACTCCCTTGAGGTGGCCCTGGGCAGTGAGCCTGTGGAGAGTACCCTGACCTGTCCTCTGAAACTATTCTGTCCTCCTATGCCTCTGGGCCTGTGATGGGAGGGGCACCCTCTAAGATCTTTGAAATGCCTTTGGGATCTTTCTTCCCTTGTCTAAAGGAATGGTATCTGTCTCCCTTTTATCCAAACTAATCTCTTTAGCAAACAGTCACTGGGCTGCACCCTTGGTTTCCTCTGCTGAACGTGCTTTTTTACTCTTCATGTGGTCAGGCTGAGAGTTATCCAAATCCTTCCACTCTGCTTCCCTTTTCATGATAAATTCTACCTTTAAATTATTCCTTTGCTCCTGAATATCAGCATAAGTTGTCAAATGTAATCATGTAGCTCCTTCTATATTTGGCTTAGGAATTTCTTTTGCTAGATACCCTAGTTCATTAATCTCAAGTTTGGCCCTCCACAATTCCCTCAGGCATGGACACAGTTCAGCCAAGTTCTTTGCCAATTTATAACAAGGATGGCCTTTACTCCATTTTCCAATACCACCTTCCTCAGTTCCATCTCAAATCTCAGCAGAATGGCCTTTACTGTCCATATTTCTATCCGTATTCTGGTTACAATCATTTAACAAATCTCTAAGAAGTTCCAAATGTTCCCTTGTCTTTTTGTTTTCTGAGTCTCGCCAGAATCACCCTTAATACTCCATTCACTGAAATACAGTCACTTTATAGCCTGCTCCTTCAAACTCTTCCAGCCCCTGCTCATTACCTAGTTCCAAAGCTGCTTCCCCATTTTCAGGTATTTGTCATCAGCAAAATCCCACTTCTTGGTTCCAATTTTCTGTCTTCGTTCATTCTCTGTTGCTTATAACAGAATGCCTGAAACAGGATAAGTTATAAAGAAAAGGAATTCATTTCTTACAGTTGTGGAGGCTGGGAAGCCCAAGGTCAAGGGGGCATCTCTTAAGAACCTTCTTGCTGCTGGCAACTCTCTGCAGCATCCCAAGGCAGCACAGGGCATCACATGGTGAGGAAGCTGAGCGTGTTAACTTGCTAACTCAGGTCTCTGTTCCTCTTCTTGTAAAGCCACCAGTTCCTCTCTCATGACAACACATTAATCCATTAACCCGTGAATGGATTAGTCCATTCATGAAGGCAGAGACCTCATGATCAAATCACCTCTTAAAGGTCCCACCTCTCAATACTGCACATTGGGGATTAAGTTTTGAAATGAATTTTGGAGGAGACACGCAAACCTAGTAGTGGGCTAGGACCAGTCTCAACGTGTGGGGCCTCTCTCTTCCTCCTAAATGTCAGAAGCCATCCAGGGCACTGTCCTGCCTTTTCAGTAAAAGTATACATGGACTGCCTCCCGCCACCCCCACCACCACCTTTAGGGGAAAATTCTTCTGCTATCCACCGCAAGCACAAGTAGGGATAAGCTTGAGAGGCTGACCTGGCTCTTCCTACAGTGGTACTTCAATCAATAACTCATAGAATTGTCTAAGGGCCACTATTGATAACAAATACCTTCTTTCTGTGTGCTTAGAGCACTCCAAGAGTCACTTCCATTTCTGTATAAGGCCTTTATTATGCAACTGTTGTTTGTCCACCTTCAATTCCATCCCATGTGCCTTCTATTTTTCAAGTATTCTTATAATGTCTGGCCCATGAGAGCACACCTTCATGTATTTCAATTCTGGGCATGTTCATGTATGCACAAGTGTGTGTGTATCTAAGTTTTCTGTAATTTTCAGAGATTTTTGGAAAAGGGGGGAGAAGTGGGAAAAGGACAGAACTTGTTGTCTGCCATCTCAGTACAATCTCCTTGCTAAATTTCCAATTACATATTAAACTCTTTTAATCCCAAACACAGACAACTGCTAGTATCATATGATCTAATTTGGAAATCTCTGCTTCTGAGATGATATTATATGATCTCAATTTAAGACTTGGTCCCCATACTAAACCTGACATCTGCATGACACATGTGAATAAATTTCATTCTTCATCCACAAAATTATCTTTCAGATTTTAATACTGGATCTCAAAAGTATTGAGAGTTCTATATTACAGAGATTCTTACAAATACAAAACAGCAATACATGCCAGGCACGGTGGCTCATGCCTGTAATCCCAACACTTCGGGAGGCTGAGGCAGGCAGATCACTTGAGGTCAGGAGTTTGAGACCAGCTTAGCCAACATGGTGAAACTCCGTCTCTACTACAAATGCAAAAATTAGCTGGGTGTGGTGGGTACACCTGTAGTCCCAGCTACTAGGGAGGCTGAGGCAGGAAAGTTGCTTGAACCTGGGAGGTGGAGGTTGCAGTGAGCCAAGATGGCGCCACTGCACTCCAGCCTGGGTGACAGGGCAAGACTCTCTCAAATAAGTTAATTAATTAATTAATTAAATCAATAAATAAAACAAGTTTAAAAAACAGCAATACAAATAATCTTTTTGCTTAACTATAACAAAAGAGAAAAAAATAACTTTTCTAAAAAAAAGTTGTGTTAAAATTCAAAAATAAGAAAAAGCAACTCAAAAAGATCCGGAAACATTACTTCCTTATCACTCATCTCTAAAATTACTTCAACCAACAGTCTTTTGCCAACGCTAATAAATTCAGAAATAATTTAACACTATTTGAGAGTTGCCATTTAAATTCCAAACTTTGAAATCTAAAATAGTCTCTGATCAGATGTACAATGGAAATTTTATAGAAAGATCATTACATGGTAAATTGGTTGCAAAAAGAAGAAATTTTATAGAAAGAAATACAATCCTGAAATAAAATAAACTAAAAATATTCCTAAGGATTAATTCTAAAGAGTTCAACAAAACAATTTTTAATATATTTTTAAAATATTTAATGCACATCTAACATGTCCCAGACACTGTTCTAGGCATGGGGATATTTCAATGAACAAAACAGACAAAACTCACTATTTTTGGAATTTACATTCTAGTATATACATATGATCATATAATCTGAATAATATGAACTTGGCCTTTTCCTATAGAAATTACTAATAAGGTAAATAAATGTTTTAAGACCAAACACATATCTCCCATAGCTGTCTATCACACAACAACATAAAAACATATTTGAAAATATTTATAACACAGAGAGACTTTTAGCTACTGACTTCAAAACATTAGAAAATAAAGATCTTGTAAGAGAATTCAAGTAAAGTCAAATGTCCTAAAACTTACCTGAGTTAAATGATTCACTTGTAAAGGGAGGTGTTGACCAGATTTTAGGTAAGTGTACTAGATTTTAGATAACTCTTAACAGATGTTAATTTATATACTAAAACTAAATATCCAAAATAATCCAGATGTCAGAACCGTGGACATAGGAAAATACTGGGTCTAGGAGGAGCAATATTTTGATCATCTACAGTCCCACTGTACAATATGGTAGCTACTCACGTCTGTGGTTAACTTTGAATTAATTACAATTTAAAAATTAAAAATTCAGGCCAGGCACAGCGACTCACAGCTGTAATCCCAGCACTTTAGGAGGCCAAGGCGGGAGGGTCACTTGAGGTCAGGAATTCGAGACCAGCCTGGACAACATGGTGAAACCCCATCTCTACTAAAAATAAAAATAAAATTAGCCGGGCGTGGTGGCGCGTGCCTGTCATCCCAGCTACTCAGGAGGCTGAAACAGAAGAATCACCTGAATCCTAGAGGCAGAGGTTGCAGTGAGCTGAGATCACACCACTGCACTCCAGCCTGAGCGACAGAGCGAAACACCGTCTCAAAAAAAAAAAAAAAAAAAAAAATCAGCTCCTCAGTCACGCTAGCCACATTTCAAGCGCACAATTGCCACATAAGGCCGGTGACTACCATGCTGGACAGTGCAGCTACGGTACATTTCCAATACCGAAGGAAAGTCCCATGGCCCGCGCTGCTGTGGGGAATCGGAAGAGGCACGCCATTCCCGGGAAGAACAAAAACCTCCTAGAGAGGCTTAAAAAATTTGCCATTAACACGGGGAAAAAAATCTTCTATTTCCATTCCTCCATCTTATTTTCTCACCTCCTAGACAATGTTTCTTTTTTTTATTCTTTCTCTCCCTATTTTCTCACATTTTTCCTGCCCTTTTTTCTTATTTTTCTCTCACTGCTTTTTCTAACAACAAACATGCAGTCCATCTTTAATGATTTGATGCATTTCTTTAGGGTTTTCAAAATTTCTCAATGTTAAAATGTAAGGAGCTGAATGAACATTATTTCTAATGTGTTTTTTTTTTTTTTAAAAAAGCCATATTTAGAGGAGACTGTTTTTTAAGGTATGTGACCTTAGGTGTGTTTCCCCCACCTGAGAACATTATTCTTCCATAGAAAGGGTTTCTCACCGTTGGAATCCGGGGTGAAAAAAAATTTGCAATTCTAGTTCCGGCCTCTGGGGTTTCCTTGCACCGGAGGCCGGGCTCAGTCCTCTGGGCCGCGAAGTGGGCGCGGAACCTCTCGGTCCGCCGAACTCCTACCGCCACCTAGCGGAAGGAAGGCGCAAGGGCTTCTTCGTCACTGACGGTTGCCAGGCAACGGAGGCACGGCCCGGCCCGCGTTAAGGAGGAGGGCGCAGACCGAAGGACACTGAAAGAGCTGTAACAACCCCACTTTCGATTGGTTGAAGAGCTCTCAGCCTTCTCATGAGCCAATGAGAAGAGGCACGCGGATGGCGTCAGACGCTATGCGACTCCTCCCACCCACGCTCTGGCAATGCGATTGGAGACCGCGGAGGCCTACGTCGGACCCGGAGGCCCTGAATGCCCCATGCGCACCCCACAGCTCGCGCTCCTGCAAGTGTTCTTTCTGGTGTTCCCCGATGGCGTCCGGCCTCAGCCCTCTTCCTCCCCATCAGGGGCAGTGCCCACGTCTTTGGAGCTGCAGCGAGGGACGGATGGCGGAACCCTCCAGTCCCCTTCAGAGGCGACTGCAACTCGCCCGGCCGTGCCTGGACTCCCTACAGTGGTCCCTACTCTCGTGACTCCCTCGGCCCCTGGGAATAGGACTGTGGACCTCTTCCCAGGTGAGGGAAAACGTTGTGGGGGTGGAAACTTACTTCTGAGATCTAAAATTCTGTGAGCAAAGTTGAGCTGCCACAAAGCAGGAGTGGGGCTGTCGGAAGAAGGAGGGTGAGCACCTGGGAGAGTTTGGGGATCTTCATCCCACTCACTCTGTGTCGTACTTTCATAGTCTTACCGATCTGTGTCTGTGACTTGACTCCTGGAGCCTGCGATATAAATTGCTGCTGCGACAGGGACTGCTATCTTCTCCATCCGAGGACAGTTTTCTCCTTCTGCCTTCCAGGCAGCGTAAGGTGAGCTTCGTTGCTCAGACTGAATCCTAAAGGGGTTTGGGGCCTACAACGGGTAACATTTGGATGTAAGAAGAGTTAGTCTTTGTGCCTCCCACCCGTACTTCCACTCCTAGGACATTCCCTTGGTTTTTCCTAGGAATTGCCTTTTCTGATTCTCTAGAGCAGGGCTGGCCAGTAGAATAAGACCTTCGTGTCGTCCTATAGGTGCCCAAGGAGTCCTCTTTGGCATCATCTGGCCGATATTGCTGGGACACTCTTTTTTGGACCTGCCCCGCCCCTTCTAAATATATCTTCTCCCTCCTCTTTCCTCACAGGTCTTCAAGCTGGGTTTGTGTAGACAACTCTGTTATCTTCAGGAGTAATTCCCCGTTTCCTTCAAGAGTTTTCATGGATTCTAATGGAATCAGGCAGTTTTGTGTCCATGTGAACAACTGTGAGTAGAAACATGTTGGTTGTTCTCATTTTCTAACACAGGAGTGTTATATTTTGTCTTCCCTGGCCCACATTGGAAGAAGAATTGTCTTGGGCCACACGTAAAATACACTAACGATAGCTGATGAGTTAAAAACAACAACAAAAAAAAAGCAAAAAAAATGTCAAATGTTTTAAGAAAGTTTACAAATTTGTGTTGTTGGGCTGCATTCATAAGCCGTCCTGGGCTGCATGCGGCCGGTGGGTTGCAGGTTGGACAAGCTTGGTCTAACATTTATTGAGAATTGGCTTTTATTCTGGCCTTTTTTCCATTTCTTTTTTTTAAACTTTTTTTTTTTTTGTCCTTTGAATCTCTACGCCTCTTTCTGCCTCTTCTCTCTTATTACGGAATACATTTGCATTTTTGTTTTTTTTTGAGACGGAGCCTCCACCTATCGCCAGGAGTGCAGTGCAGTGGCACGATCTCAGCTCACTGCAACCTCCACCTCCCGGATTAAAGTGATTCTCCTGCCTTAGCTTCCCGAGTAGCTGGGACTATGGGTGTGTGCCACCATGACCAGCTAATTTTTGTATTTTTAGTAGAGACGGGGTTTTGCAATGTTGGCCAGGATGGTCTTGATCTCTTGACCTCATGGGCCACCCACCTCGACCCCCAAAGTGCTGGGATTACAGGTGTGAGCCACCGCGCCTGGCCACATTTGCAACTTTTTATGTTCTGTTGGCTATGGATCAGAAAACTCATAAAGAACTTTAATTTCAATCATTTTAATCATTCCTCTTAACTCAGATAATCACAGATAGACTATATTCCCCACTTACTACAATCTCCATGAGGGTACTAACTGAATCCCCAGTGCCTAACACATAGTAAGCACCAAATAATGTTTGAATGAACATCTTTGACAAATGAGTCTATGCCAACCTTATTTTCATTTCATGAGGCAACAGTGTAGGAGGAGCATTAGATTAGGATCTCAGTCCTGCCATTTCCTTACCAGCTATACAGACTTGGGCAAATCCCTTAGCATTTCCAGGCTCGTTTCTTCAACTGTAAAGTGAGAAATAATATCATTGGCTTTGTATATGAAAGCGCTCTACAACTGTAGAGTACAATAAAGATTAGAGGTTATTATTATTGGGGATGGTTAGTGGACTTAGAAATTTGCTGGTGATGGCTATAACATTTCTAAAGATATGAAGCTAATCTATCTTTTTAAAATGTCTATGAAGCAAAATAATGTTCCTGCACAAAATGGATTTAAATGTCTCTTGCATCCTGGAAGTCACCTCATCCTGATTTCATCTGACTGTTAATAAGAATTGCAAAACTATATTTGTCTCAGAAAACAACCAGTTTTTGGTTTTGGGGGACTTGAATTTCAAAGCAGTTATCAGAAGCCTTGTGGTTATTTAGATGGTAATAGGGTAAAGGGAACAAGATGAATACTTCATTTTCAGATAAGGTTGTGGCCTGACGCGGTGGCTCACTCCTGTAATCTTAGCACTTGGGAGGCTGAGGTGGGCAGATCACTTGAGGTCAGGAGTTTGAGACCAGCCTAACCAACATGGTGAAACCCTGTCTCTACTAAAAAAACAAAAAATTATCCAGGCATGGTAGTGGGCACCTGTAATCTCAGCTAGTTGGGAGGCTGAGGCAGGAGAATCATGTGAGCCTGGGAGGCTGAGATTGCACCACTGCACTCCAACCTGGGTAACAGAACGAGAGTCTGTCTCAAAAAAAGAAAGTTGTCTCTTCTTTTCCAAACATTTTACTGCCTTTTAAATCCAGCCTTATGATCATGCTCCAGGGTTATTGCAATGGCACCTACCTGGTGCTCCCTGCTTTTGATCCCCACTCCTGCCCCCGACACCATCCTGCACACTCCTTCGGGATCAGTGGATCTGAACTTTCTTTAAACACCTGAGGGAGGAATATGGCCACTTCCAATAGTAGTTATGGTTCATTACATCAATGAACTTTTTCCTGAACGAGGGTGGGGTGTACATTCATGTTTAGTATGAAAAAGGCAAAAATTTCCCTTTGGTTCTGATTATTTACCTACCTTCCTCACATATACACACATAGCATCTACACACAGTATACACAGTTGTGGAGAATCATTTCACTAGATAAATCTTTCCATAACATTGCATTATGTTGCTTCCTTACTGAGAAACCTCCATTACTTCCCACTATCCATAAAATAACATCCAGCTTCTTAGCCAGCCTGTCAGATCTCCTATTTGATCCAACTTAGTGTTCCTGGCTCTTTTAGCATTACTCTGTACTTGACCCTCTGCTTTGGCTGAACTCATCTACTCGTTGTCCTCAAGATATGCCCTGTATTTTTCCCAAGTTTGTATTTGCTTTTCTTTCTGACTCTATAGTTCCTTTTTCTCTTTGCATTTTGAAATACCTATATTTTCCACGAGTGTTTTCTTGCTCATCTTTTGGAAGTAAGCCCATCCTCAGAAGTTCTAAAGCATTTATTGTTTGAGTCACCGTCTTAGAACCTATAGGATTTATTATATTGTTATTAGTTTATGTAAACATCATGTCTTTCCAGGTAAATTGTCAACACCATGAAAGGATGGACCATATCTTTGTTTCCCCATGGTGCTTAGTATCTATTGGTACAGCCAGGCATGGTGGCTCATACCTGTAATCCAGCACTTTGGGAGGTCAGGGCAGGAGGATTGCATGAGCCCAGGAGTTCGAGAACAATCCTGGCAACATAGCAAGACCCAGTCTTTACAAAAAATAGGAAAATTAGCTGGGTGTGGTGGTGCATGCCTGTAGTGCCAGCTACTTGGGAGGCTGAGGTAGGATTGCTTGAGCCCAGGAGTTCGAGGCATGCAGTGATCATGCTACTATACTGCAGCCTGGGCAACAGAGTGAGATCCTATCTCAAAATAAAATAAAATTCAAAAAAATATGTATCTACGATAATGATCATCAGTAAATTACGTTTTTAGTCAAAGTCTGTACAGCATGATGGAGTGGGGAAAAAACACCAGGAATAGGAGATCTGCAATCTACTCTTGGCTCTGCAAGCTGGCCCTCTGGCTTTTTGCTACCCTTTTACCTCTGAGGATCCAAATTTCCTCATGGGATTAGGTCAGATGGTCTGTAGGCTTCCTTTGACATCTGAAATTGTAATAGAAATCTAAATACCTTTAAGCTCTTTTAGGTGTAATATATCATCTGTGATGGTAGAAATTTTAGGCAAAAATTCTACTTAGCCTATGTTTACCATCACTACCGCCAATATCTTTGCACTGAAGTGAGAGACAAAATGTAAACTTTCTCTTATTCATTTAAGCCATGAAAAAATAGCCAGATAGATATTTTGCCATCTCAGTTCACCTTCTTTCTTAGCTTAACTTTAACTTTTATTTCATGTGTAAAGATACAAATAACTGCATTTTACATGAGGTAAATATCTCCTCCATGTGGTTTTCAGGGTATGAGTTCCGAAGGAAATGTTTAAATAGCTCTTGGAAGCGTTAGGGTTTGAAGATTTCAGATCAGAGGTGGAAAGTGGCCCACAGAACAGCAGCATCAACATCACCTGTTTCAGAGCAATGCTTTTCAAATTCTAATATGCATACACATTACCTGGAGATCTTGTTAACATGAAGATGTTGACTGAGGTCTGCGGAGTGGCCTGAGAGTCTACATTTCTGAGAAGCTCTCAGGTGATGCTGGAGCTACTAATGTGTGTACCCCACTTTGAATAAGAAGGATCTAGGAGATGTGTGGAGAGTGAGTAGTCTGAAAGGCCCCAGAATTGAGAGCCCCATTCATGCTGACTTTTCAGCAAGCTGAAAAGTCAGGTAATTAAGATGTTATCCATTATCACAGAGGGTAAAGGTCAGGTTCATTTAACGTGGAATCCTCATTTGCTTTCAATGATGCAGGTATTGTAACCTCTTTTACTCTGTACAAATGACCATTACTTATATGAAGAATGAAACTGGCAAGGGGCATGTTTCCCTATGTTCTTTTTTCAATTTAGCAGACTTGGAGTAGTAAAGCAGACAGAGTGTTGTCAATCACCTGCCATCTTCTGGGCAGGGGACAGCATCACAGCCCTTTTCCTACATCTCTCTACTGGTTCTGAAGTGCCATAAAGAGATGACTGCAAGAGTTTCGGTAGATTTATACATTGCTATCATAGAAATTAGAGAATTCTTCCAGAAAATACCCTTTTGAAGTATCTAAAATCTTGAATGGAGGAATTATAAGGCTTAAGGAATAAAATGCAACAAATCTCTAAACTTGAGAGATGGCAACATTGTTAGGACTCGTCAGTTGTTGTTAGGACTTGTCAGTTGAAGTGTAGAGGAAACAGGAAGATTTGGAAAGGACAGATCAAATAATTATCATAATTGTCTCTAATTGTCCCATGTTCCTATGGAAATAGTGCGATTCTGTTAGAGACTCATCTGGTATGGGGCAGACATGAGCATTATCGAGCTTCCTATTTTCTTTTTTTTTCTTTTTTTTTTTTTTTTTTTTTCTTTTTTTTGACAGAGTTTCGCTCTTGTTGCCCAGGCTGGAGTGCAGTGGTGCGACCTCGGCTCACTGCAACCTCTGCCTCCCAGGTTCAAGCAATTCTTCTGCCTTAGCCTCCTGAGTAGCTGGGATTACAGGCGCCTGCCACCATGTCCGGCTAATTTTTTGTATTTTTAGTAGAGATGGGGTTTCAGTATGTTGGCCAGGCTGGTCTCGAACTCCTGACCTCAGGTGATCCACCTGCCTCGGCCTCCCAAAGTGCTGGGATTATAGGCCTGAGCCACCATGCCTGGCTGAGCTTCCTATTTTCATTACAAATTGCTGATCATACACATTCTTGACCATCAATGACTTGAAACTGACTGGCATTCATGACCATATTCTTATCTCAGATCTGCATATTAAAACAATAATTCAGTTAATAGATTGTGAATAAGAAGTGATGGAAATCAGAATTGTTATTTCTGGAGATGGAGTATTGATTGGGAGCCTTCTGGGGAAATATTCTGTAACTTGATCTGGATAGTGGTAATACAAGTATATAAATTTGTAAAAATTCTTTGAGTTTACACTTAAGATTTGCACCCTGTATATTATGCTTCAATAAAAATATTTTTTAAAATTAGTTACTTGGCATGTTTTTCTTTTATCTAAACGCTTTTTCTTTTAAAAAACATTTTAGCAAACTTAAACTATTTCCAGAAGCTTCAAAAGGTCAATGCAACCAACTTCCAGGCCCTGGCTGCAGAGTTTGGAGGCGAATCATTCACTTCAACATTCCAAACTCAATCACCACCATCTTTTTACAGGGTGAGCCTGGGGAAGGGGATGGGATTGTTTGGTTTAGTTTTTACTCTCACAGCAGACAGCTGACAAGGTAACTTTGCAGCACTACCCTGCAGCTAGCTAAACCATTGTCAGCTCTTTGGAGGGCAGTACTGTCCACGTAATCATGCCCTTGAGTTAACCTTGTTTCTACTCTTTCTTTTCTGTTGTAGTTTAGTCCAGTCTCACTGTGAACAAAGTTTCTTTTATATTTTATTCAGGCTGGGGACCCCATTCTTACTTACTTCCCCAAGTGGTCTGTAATAAGCTTGCTGAGACAACCTGCAGGAGTTGGAGCTGGGGGACTCTGTGCTGAAAGCAATCCTGCAGGTGAATCCAGAGCAAAAGTACCAACCTTTTCATTCAATTTAAAACAGGCTTTCTCATTTACCACTCTCTTAATTATTTGTGTTTAAGGTTTCCTAGAGAGTAAAAGTACAACTTGCACTCGTTTTTTCAAGAACCTGGCTAGTAGCTGTACCTTGGATTCAGCCCTCAATGCTGCCTCTTACTATAACTTCACAGTCTTAAAGGTAGGTGTCCTTTCTCTCCCTACACTGTCACTACTATGAAGTTGAAGTGAACATGCTTCTCACTGTTGTGGGTTGTGGAAAGAGCATTGAATAAAAGTCAGAATCCCCAGGAGCCACGTAAAAGACAGAGGGCCTGGAAACCACATCTGAAGACAAATGAAATAATTGGGGATATATATGCAGGATAAGAGATCATCACCCTTCTCACTAATGGGATTGGCTTGCGAGGGTGGAAGGGGGAAAACACCCATCTCACCAAACTTCTTGCTTTTGCTATTCAGTAGAGCCCTGTCAGAGTAAATAGGCATCACAGTCTGTCACCCTCCTGCCTGGCTCCACTTCCTGGCATTTTAGTGTAAAGAAGAGTCAGGTGGAATAGAGGAAGTAAATCATTCTAATATATTGACTCCCCTGCCCGCCAAACCAAAGCCTATTGGTAGTAATATGAAACCACAAGCTCCTGGTGATTTTTGGTAAGGTATATGCACATTCATGTCCCTGCTGTTCTCCTAGGTTCCAAGAAGCATGACTGATCCACAGAATATGGAGGTATGATGCTGTTGTACCAGGAAAAAAGAAAAAGAATATTTGGCTCCTCTGCATCTGAGGCAATTTTAGTCTAAGTTGTACTGTTGAAAGATAAATGTAAGCGTGATGTAGCAAACAATTAAGTAGGGATCTAAAACGGTGCCTTTGCAAGTACGTCCTATACAGTTAATAGCCTCGTATGAAACCAGGATCCATAAGGTGTTAGATAAGTTTGTAAACATTGGGTTAAATAAACTATATTTAGGGTGGGCTTCTTAATTTTTTTGAGAGACAGGGTCTTGCTCTGTCACCCAGGCTGAAGTGCAGTGGCACGGTCACAGTTCACTGCAGCCTAAACCTCCTGGGCTCAACTAATCCTTCTACCTCAGCCTCCCAAGTAGCTGGGACTATAGACGTGTGCCACCATGCCCAGCTAATTTTTTAATATTTTGTAGAGATGGGGATCTTGCTATGTTGTCCAGGCTGGTCTTGAACTCCTGACCTCAAGCAATTCTCCTGACTTGGCTTCCCAAAGTATTGGGATTATAGGCGTGAGCCATCTCACCCCTCCTGGAGTCTTTAATTTGCTAGAGGGCCTTATTAATCTCTAAGGGGAATACTGAATATAGTATTTCTAACAATTATTTGACTATGGAACCCTTGTTTTATATTTAATAGAACTAGTGTTCTGAGAAATAAGTTTTGAGAAGTGCTCGTTTAGAAAGACTTGAATTTAAGTTGTTGGCTGGCACTGGAAGAAGAGAGAGAGAGGGTGGTCAAGGGGAAGGAAAAATACTCATCTTAGCATGATATCTATTAATAGATACAAGACAAAATACCGCCTTCAGTTTTAGTTAATTTGCTTCTTTTCGTTGCTAGTTCCAGGTTCCTGTAATACTTACCTCACAGGCTAATGCTCCTCTGTTGGCTGGAAACACTTGTCAGAATGTAGTTTCTCAGGTAGGGATACTGACCTCAGATTCTGGACTGATGTGTGTTAATCAACACTGCCAGAGGTGCCTCATCTTCCATTAAGTATCAGACTGACCCAACTGAATTTTGTTTGCATTCTCTAACAATGTTGGGAATGCAAACTTGTTGTATTGGTAGATTCTTGGTTGCAATCCTTGGTAAAAGTAGCATATTGTGAATTTCAACAATTCCCAACAAGTTTGAAATTAAACTTGTCAATAATTGAGCCCATTATCCTCCCTACCACGTTTCAGTTATTTCCATCACCACCATCCTCCAGTATTTCAGGTCCAGGACATTAAAATTATTTCTGACACCTCTTCTGTTGCCCACTTGCAGTCTGTTACTGATTCTTACTGACTGACCACATTTTATTCTCTTGACACAGTATCATCTGAAACTCTGAAGTAGATTAATCAACTTGTATTCCTCTGTTCTCTAAACAATCTAACCTTAAAAAGTAAGAATTATCTTAAAGCATCTTCTTAAAGACTATGCTCAGAAATTTAAGGTTACTTTCAATTGCCTGCAACTTGTATCCCCAGCAATGATCTTTATTAATTCTCAAACATTGTGAGAGCCAAGTAAACCAGATTTCTGTTCCATGCTCACCTCTGCCTGTTTCTACTTGCCCTCCTCTGTCCGTAATCAACTTATTTTTCTTCCCTTTCAGTTCCTACCAAAAACTCACCTACCCGTGAACCCTTTTAAAGAGCTCTATCCAGTTTCTTTTTCATATACAAATATAATATGAAATCATCTTTATCTTTCATAGTATTTGTGTTTGGCATTTTTAACATTACTGTTTCAGTCTGCCTCATTTAGTTATAATAACACCCTTGAAGACAGAAAATCTTCTGTCCTAAACATATTCGGCCCAATAACTACTTTTTATTAATTGATTCTTTTTGCATTTCAGGTCACCTATGAGATAGAGACCAATGGGACTTTTGGAATCCAGAAAGTTTCTGTCAGTTTGGGACAAACCAACCTGACTGTTGAGCCAGGCGCTTCCTTACAGCAACACTTCATCCTTCGCTTCAGGGTTAGGGCCCTTCTCTTATAGGGGATTTAGAGGGGAAGAAATATTGGGTTAGAAATAATTTCTTTGCTTCTGTAATACATGTGAAATAGAATAAGAATATGAAGGCCTAGTTCAGTCTGTCGATTGAGGCCTCAACATTTAATATTCCATAATTTTACTACAAGTTGTGGTTATTCTACAAGTCTTTACTCATTAAAATTTTCTCCAATTCTCTGTCTGGCCCCCAACAAAGCAGGACTTCAATCTAAAATCAAAACTTTTTTTATAGTCATTTTGAATCATAAATTCAGCCAACACCTACAAAAATTCTTTAACTAGCTGTTCTCATATTTCTGGGCAGTCAGCATTTTACTCATTTCCCACTTAATCTGAGTGTTCACTCTTAATCACTGCCATTTGGCTTTCTGCTACTTCTTTCCTCTTTTTGAACCCAGCATAGATTTTCTCAACTCTACCCTCAGGTGATCAACCAACTGCTGTGTCTCTCAGAGCTCATCTCTGGAACATCTGTAGTTAATTAAAATATATATTTTTTAATTACATTTAAATTTTTCAGATTTTAACCAGGCTGTGTTATTATTGCTAAATTGCTAGTAATTTTTAAGGGATCCTTAGTAGATTCTTGGTTGTAATCCTTGGTAAAAGTAGCGTATTATGAATTTCAATATTCAGATCATGAAGGATTTATTTTAGTAAATTTAAAAAAGTGAAAGAAGCAAAATGCTACACTGTGGAAAGAAGCCAGATTGTTCAGTGTAGCTCACTTATTGCATTTCCTTGCCTTAAGGAAGGGTACGGTGAAGCCAAGCAGTGGGAGGTGGGAAAGTATGCTTATCTCCATAATTGACTTCTCTTCCCTCTTTCTGCAGGCTTTTCAACAGAGCACAGCTGCTTCTCTCACCAGTCCTAGAAGTGGGAATCCTGGCTATATAGTTGGGAAGCCACTCTTGGCTCTGACTGATGATATAAGTTACTCAGTATCCTTTTTAGAGCTGGGTGGCCTGTTGCAGCCTAATGAGAAAAGCTGCAAAGGCTTTCAAACTTATGTTAGACTAGCCAAAGGTGAGGAATTTTTTGTTCATTATAATGAGGTACTTATATACTAATATATGGTTAATCATTTTTGGAATCTAGTTGTCTCTCTGTGGTTTTCTGAGGAAAAAAATCACAAATTTGTGACTCGAACATTATGATAGTAATACAAAATAAATAGCATTAAAGGAGAATGAGAACATAAATTTTGCAATGCTGCCTCCTTTTTTTTTCTGTTATGATGTCCTTGATCATCACTTTTCCACCTTGGATGACCCTCTTACAGAGCCAGGGTAATGGAAGTTGCTCTGTTAAAAGACATGAAGTGCAGTTTGGAGTGAATGCAATATCTGGATGCAAGCTCAGGTAGTTCTTTGCTTCCGCATCATTTCCTGCAATTTCGGGAATATGTAGGGAATATGTTGATATGGTAACTTTTATATTTTTAATGACAGTTCGGAAAATGCTAGTCAGGAATAGTCTTTTAGTCTAAATAGTGTTGATATTGCTAAGAGTTTTCTGGCAATTGTTAATACCTACTAAGGATTATACCCTCTGGTCTATTTTATATTATTTCCAATGTTTGGTTTAACATACCGTACTAATATAGGTATATTATTATGTTAGCATTGGACTGCAGCCTCCATGGTGTTTAATTATAGGTTGAAGAAGGCAGACTGCAGCCACTTGCAGCAGGAGATTTATCAGACTCTTCATGGAAGGCCCAGACCAGAGTATGTTGCCATCTTTGGTAATGCTGACCCAGCCCAGAAAGGAGGGTGGACCAGGATCCTCAACAGGCACTGCAGCATTTCAGTAAGGAGAGAAATATACTTTCTGATGAAGACTCATTTTTACCCCTTTGTAAATCTTGGATAGTAAGTTTAAAACCAGCCTTGTCTCCATAGATAATGCATTTGTCATAGAAGGAAGAGTATAAGAAATCATGCCCACTTGAAGCCTTTTTTTTTTTGAGATGGAGTCTCACTGTGTTGCCCTGGCTCGAGTGTGGTGGCATGATCTCGGTTCACTGCAACCTCCACCCCCCGGGTTCAAGGGATTCTCCTGCCTCACTCAGCCTCCCGAGTAGCTGGGACTGCAGGCACCCGCCACCACACCCGGCTAATTTTTGTATTTTTAGTAGAGATGAGGTTTCACTATATTGACCAGGCTGGTCTTGAACTCCTGACCTTGTGATCCGCCTGCCTCGGCCTCCCAAAGTGCTGGGATTACAGGCATGAGCCACCGCGCCTGGCCTTTTTTTTTTTTTCTAAGTCAAGATCTTGAACTCTTACCTAGGCTGGAGTGCAGTGGCACAATCATGGCTCATTGCATTCTCAACCTTCTGGGCCCAGGCTATCCTCCCACCTCAGCCCCTCGAGTAGCTGGGACCACAGGCACATGCCAGCATGCCTAGATAATTTTTTGATTTTTTTGTAGAGACAAGGTCTCAGTATGTTGTCCAGATGGTCTCAAACTCCTGGGCTCAAGTGATCCTCCTGCCTTGGCCTCCCAAAGTGCTGGGATTACAGGCATAAGCCACTGTTCCCAGCCTGAAGTAGTTATTTCAGGTTAGGTTTAAAATACCTAATGTATTTTCCTTACTTAGAAAAAAATTTGAAGGCAGATAATCTACAGATTTCTGTTGTTCAAAAATCTCATATATTTCAAATATTTTATATTCTTGAATATTTGGTCAGCAC
This sequence comes from Homo sapiens, assembly GCF_000001405.40. Classification (NCBI taxonomy): domain Eukaryota; kingdom Metazoa; phylum Chordata; class Mammalia; order Primates; family Hominidae; genus Homo; species Homo sapiens. Next base: position 95,681,763 of record NC_000010.11, on the reverse strand, counting down.
AGAGTTTCATGAGGTTAAAATTGTGCTCTTTCTATTGTAATTATAAAAATTTACATTTTTACAATTATTTACATGAAAATGCATTATCTGGTTAAAAATCAAAACCATATAGAATGATATGCCTTTCTGCATTTTGCAATTAATCCTCCTGGAGTACTGCATTAGGTATACCATATTTCTATTCTGGAAACTTTCGAGGCTCTCTGATGGCTTCCAGACTACTTGGATGCACTTCATAATCTAACCCTTACGTATCATCTTCTTTGACTTTACACTGCTCCTGTATTCAAATCCTTTACTTTAGCCACATGATCTGCTCAAGCCAGTGCCTACTAAGCAGCTCACACATAGGAGATACTCAGTAACTGTTATTTAGATTAATCAAGGAAGCCAGGTGCCATGGCTTACACCTGTAATCCCAGCACTTTGGAAGGCCGAGGCGGGCAGATCACTTGAGATCAGGAGTTTAAGACCAGACTGACCAACATGGTGAAACTCTGTCTCTACTAAAAATACAAAAATTAGCCAGGTGTAGTGGTGGGCATCTGTAATCCCAGCTACTGGGGAGGCTGAGGCAGGAGAATCGCTTGAGTCCAGGAGGCAGAGGTTGCAGTGAACTGAAATCACACCACTGTACTCCAGCCTGGGCAACAGAGCGAGACTCCATCTCAAAAAAAAAAAGATCAGAGGTCGGGTGTGGTGGGTCTCGCCTGTAATCCCAGCACTTTGGGAGGCCAAGGCAGGCAAATCACAAGGTCAGGAGTTCAAGACCAGCCTGGCCAACATGGTGAAACCCTGTCTGTACTAAAAATACAAAAATAAAAATTAGGTGTGGTGGGCACCTGTAATCCCAGCTACTTGAGAGGCTGAGGCAGGAGAATCGCTTGAACCTGGGAGGCAAAGGTTGCAGTGAGCCGAGATCGTGCCCCTGCACTCCAGCCTGGGTGACAGTGCGAGACTTCGTCTCAAAAAAAAAAAAAAAAAAGATCAGGAATAATAACATAGTCTTATTGTGAACTTTTGTGTTCTTCCACTAAGCTACATTGCCTTCCTTATTACTGAATAATGCTTAAGAAACAATGGCTTAGTACTTGGTGATTGACTATAGGCAACCATCAGGCAATTCAAGCAGATGCTTCTTTACCCTTCTGCAGGCTATAAACTGTACTTCCTGCTGTCTCATACCAGTTTCCCTGGAGATCCAGGTATTGTGGGCATATGTAGGTCTCCTGTCCAACCCGCAAGCTCATGTATCAGGAGTTCGATTCCTATACCAGTGCCAGTCTATACAGGTAAGTCATGGCTCATAAAGGATCACTAAACCTTGCAAAGCCTAGATTGTCTTATCAGTCATTTGTTAACCAAATAATTTTTTACCTTCCAAGAGCTAATTTATGTTAGCAACCAATGTTTGTTTAAAGTGAGCTGACATAATTTGTCAAGTCTATTCACCCTGCCTGATTACTGAAATTAACATGATGTCATGAATACCGCTTATATCCTTTTTTAAAAAAAATCTGACCCCAGATTATAGTACAGGTTAATTTCTTTTCAGTAATCCTACCATTATTACTATTCTGATTGATTCAACCACAGAAAACACCTTCCATAATTGTTCAATCTGTCAGCCACACAGTTATATGTGAGTCCCTGAGCCTGTTGATTGTGATTAAAGTTACCGCTGTGACTAGTTTATAGTTACCAGCTCTTGGTTGTATCTGCTCCATTAAATGAACACTTTTAATCTGTAGCAAACATATACCTATTGTTTATTATGCGCCTTAGGAGAGCTTTAGCATCTGCCTTGGTGTTTAAACCAATCTTTAGCTATAGAAGTTTAAAAACATGGTATTTTCATTTTACTTAGAAATGACGGCCGGGCGCGGTGGCTCACGCCTGTAATCCCAGCACTTTGGGAGGCCGAGGCGGGCGGATCACGAGGTCAGGAGATCGAGACCATCCCGGCTAAAATGGTGAAACCCCGTCTCTACTAAAACTACAAAAAATAGCCGGGCGTAGTGGCGGGCGCCTGTAGTCCTAGCTACTTGGGAGGCTGAGGCAGGAGAATGGCGTGAACCCGAGAGGCGGAGCTTGCAGTGAGCCGAGATCCCGCCACTGCACTCCAGCCTGGGCGACAGAGCGAGACTCCGTCTCAAAAAAAAAAAAAAAAAAAAAAAAAAGAAATGACTAGGTCCTAGTGAAATTATTCACATATAAACTGGCATGCCAATTTAGTAACTTATAATGAAAATCAAACAGATTTAAATTCTTACCTGTTGCACTGTACTTACATCCCAGAAATAAAGTAAACTTGAGACTACATTTAGGTCAGAAGTAAAATACCTTTGGGTCTCCCTCACAACAGGGTTGGGCAAGTTATTTCTCTTTGCCTAGAAATGGGGTCAACACTCAGGTTACCAGAAACTGTATTAATGAGAACATTCAATTATATTTTTTGGTTACTGTGTTGTTTGGAAAGATACCCACAGGACTGTTCACTGTGTATTTCCACATCTCTGGTTCCTTTAGGCATTGAAGTCACTCAGTGCCTTTTTTTTGTCTGGGTATTTTAACTGATAGCTTTTTCTAGTATTTAGCAAAAGTTAGCTTTTCAGGTTAGTTTGTCCCCGCTACAAAACCACACTACAGTCATTCACTTTAACTGGCCTAAGTGGGCGAGAGTTGAGAATTTTAGCTGTGCTTCATTCATACATAATTGAAGAAACATTATCTGTTCCAATTATTAAGTAAAAATTAATTGTTTGAATGTATTAATATGTGGTATGATATACACAAAACCACGTTCCTTTACTAAGTGTGATTTGAGGGATTTGCAAAGGTAATTTTGTGTAAAAATTTTCACTTTATGGGCTAACCAGCTCATCCCCATGAAAGACGCTATGCTCCTATAAAAGTATAAGGAGTTATAAAATGATACTTATATCTTATAGTGCTTACAATAAGCTTATAATAAAACATCTTAAAAGTATCATTTCATACTTATATGAAACTTATATCATAAAAGTTTATCAAATGCAAGCATTTCCTTCTATAATAAATTTTTTTTACTTCTTCAATCTTGAATGCAAATTTTCTCCAGAAGTCAGATAAACATACTCACTTTTTCTTTATGCATTTATGATTATTTGTCCTTAACTTGAAATCACTTCTCCGTCCACACAGGCTTTTGTCTAGGACATCTTGTGAAATTTTTTTTTTTTTTTTTTTTTGAGACAGTGTTTCACTCTTGTTTCCCAGCCTGGAGTACAGTGGTGTGATCTCGGCTCACTGCAACCTTCGCCTCCCAGGTTCAAGTGATTCTCCTGCCTCAGCCTTCCGAGTAGCTGGGACTACAGGCACCTGCAACCACGCCCAGCTAATTTTTTGTATTTTTAGTAAAGACGGAGTTTCACCATGTTGGCCAGGCTAGTCTCGAACTCCTGACCTCAGGTGATCCACCCGCCTCAACCTCCCAAAGTGCTGGGATTACAGGTGTGAGCCACCACGCCCAGCCTCTTGTGAAATTTTTTTCTCAGAATAGCAATAGCTTATCCAAAGAAAGCTAGTGTACATCTTCCAAAGCTTTTAAAATAAAAAAGAGGAGGAGTTACACTTGCAGAATGTATATCTTCTGGGATGCTTCTCCCTACTCCACTGGACACTGTTTGAAAGTTTGTAGTTTATAATATTCTTACCTAGGCTGTGTTGGTCAGCTTAGAATATCTAAGTGATAGGATAAAACTAAAGCTGAGTGGCAAACTGCCAGTCTATATACTGCATTTAGTCTATAGGCTTGTTTTGTTTGGCCCACAAAGCATTTTATTATTTAAGTTTATGCCAACATTTAAGAATCAAGAATTTCCCAGACATTCAGATTTCTGACTTCAATTGAAAATCTGACAGTATAAACCCTATTATATTCCTGCATGGCATAAAATCTTCAGTTGCTGAATGGTGATATCCACTTTTAGAAAGAGTACTCTACCCTGTTCTGCATTCATACAACCTAAGCCAACCCGCCCTTCACCATCCCACTTCTCTTTCAGGTTATCTGCTTAGGCTGGTAGGCATTTGTGTTTATAAACCTTGAACTCAAGCTGCTAGATGGTCAGTTGCATTGTGAACTGAACTATCTGAATGATTTTTCATTGTAAATATATAGCTATAGAAACACTTTAAATTCCTCTTTCTATAAAAAGTGAAGTAGCAAAATTTTTGGACCATTCCCAAGGACAAACAATAAAATAGAGGGAAAATACAGCAAAAAAAAAAAAAAAAAACAAAAAAAACTGTAGACTTCACTATCTTCTTGTATGATTATTATAATATATAAACATTTATTGAACATTTACTGTGTGACCGATACTAGTGGTATTTTTAATCAGTGTTTTTTGTAAGTGTTGAATTCTCACAACAAACCCATGAGGTAAACAGCATTTGTTTATATGGTATTCTGCCACTTACAATTTTATACTATTTAGGGTTCTAAAGGGATCTTTAAATTTGAGAATTAATAAAACACATCATATGTCATGTCTACATATAAACCCTTTAAATTAAAAAATATATCTCTAGGAAGAAACAACTAGTTTTAAGGAATATGCAGTATCAATTGAAACCAAAACAATAAGTGAATTTAAAAGACAATGTAGCATCACAGGATCATGGCTCTAAACCTTTCTAAAATTATAATATTTAATTTGTGTTTATCACCAAGTGAATCATCTACTCTTTAGATTATCTAGGAGATCCATTGTCTGCAGTTTATATGGTAAGCATGGGCTTTGAGTCAGACAGACCTAGGTCTAAATCAAGTTATTTTACTTCTCTAAATCTGTTTTCTCTTCTATAAAATGGAAATTAATAATACTCATTGGGTTGTACAGATTAAGTGAGATCATTAAAGTAAAACAGCACAGTTCCTGGTACGTAGTATATATTCAGTAAATATTACTCTTGATATCATTATTATCAATTTTATCATCATTAACTTTTTTGGTTCCAAGCTTCTATAGAAGTAGCGTATCAAGAAGTTTTGAGGCAAAACAGAAAAGAGAAAAGCAGGTATTAAAGCAATGTTTTTCAACCTTTGTTGACTATCACCCATGGTAAGAAAATATATTTTATATCATGACCGAGTTTGCAACACACATGTACATAAAATAGACACAAAAGTTTTATGAAACAATGCCCTTACTATACCCAGTGCACCCACAATTTGTGATTTTCAGTATCACAACAGAAAATGTGATATTTTCTGGCCGGGCGCGGTGACTCACACCTGTAATCCTAGCACTTTGGGAGGCCAAGGTGGGCAGATCCCTTAAGTTCAGGAGTTCAAGACCAAGTCTGGCCAACATGGTGAAACCCTGTCTCTACTAAAAATACAAAAATTACCTGGAAATTACTCAAACCCGTGAGACGGAGGTTGCAGTGAGCAAAGATCCTGCCACTGCACTCCAGCCTGGGTGACAGAGCAAGACTTTTTCTCAAAAAAAAAAAAAAAAAAGATATTTTCTATTCTGGTTTATTCTGGTTTGTTTTTGTATTTTAAATGCTAGACAAAACCCACTAGTGGGTCACAATTTGCAATTTGAAAAACACTTTCAGAGGATACATCTCTGACTATATTTCATAACTAATTGTTTTATTTAATAAGCATCTTTTATTTATTATAATTGAAAGTTGGCTATGTTTTATACCACAGTCAAATAACATATGCTAGAAAAATTGCCAATCTAGCTGTCTGTCTTAGTGGTTCTGAATCTTATGGACCCCACTGAGAGAATCTATTTAACACTATTGACTTACTAGAAGAATGCAGACATGCAACATTCCTTATATTGTTCCAGGGATTATTGATTTTTCGAAGCCAGGCTAAGAACCTCTGCCACAATCTTGTAATTAAACAGGCAGCATACTAGGAAAGATAAGGAACAATAATTAAGAGTAATTCAACATTAGATTTTAGAAATAATTGCTACAGTAGAAGGGGCTAGGAAGTGACAGGATTAGTAAGAAGGGATTCTCTTTCTCCTTTTTGTTAATGTCTTGGAGAATACTAACTGACTTCTCTTTCAATAAGGGACAGTTGCAGCACCACCAGTAGACTTAATAACTATGACTCAGTAGTTTCTGTCACTGAAATCTTTCTTTCACAAGGATCAGTCAACCACTATTTGCTTTTATCTCTTAATGAACTATTAGACTATAGAAGTACTTTGCCTCCTTCTGTGGTTTCCTAATAGCTAGCATTGAAGAAACTGACCTAGTTCATTCAGCTGGGGTTTATTTTTTAATTATTTTATTACCTTTTTTTTAAAAGAACTTTTCAAAGTTTGCTTAATGTTTCCTATGTTAAAATATATAACCGGCCAGGCATGGTGGCTCACACCTGTAATCCCAGCACTTTGGAAGCCGAGACAGATGGATCACTTAAGGTCAGGAGTTTGAGACCGGTCTGGCCAAAACGGCAAAACCCTGTCTCTATTGAAAATACAAAAATTAGCTGGGCATGGTGGCACACGCGTGTAATCCCAGCTACTCCAGAGGCTGAGACAGGAGAATTGCTTGAACCCGAGAGGCGGAGGTTGCAGTGAGCCGAGATCGCGCCACTGAACTCCAACATGGGTAAAAGAGCGAGACCCTGTTTCAAATAAAATAAAACATATAACCACTTGAAATCTCTCCCTGATACATGACATTTAACCACCTTTATCCTGTAACATATTCATTCTCAATGACTCCTTTGAAAATTTGGATAACTTCATTGACATCTTTAAAATAAGTTAGGGAATTTAAAGATTTTCAGTAGCTTCTCTCTCAAATATGTTTATCCCTAAGGAAAAAAAAATGGAGATATTTAAAGAAAAATTACCTTTACATGGACATTTACAACACACTTTATTTATTCATTCATTCATTCATTCATTCATTCATTCTAGAGATGGGGTCTCGCTCTGTCACTCTGGCTGGAGTCAAATATGCTTTATTAAATAAAGTCTAACATTCATAATAGAAATCACCATATCTGATTGTGTTAAATTAAAAGAGACTTGTAGATATAACATACAGATACAGTTTATGTTTTTGGATAGGAGTCTGATTTGGACAAAGAAATGTAAAGCACCTTTTGGGATAGTTAAGGAAACTTGAATATGGACTATATTTTAGATAGGAAAAAAATGTTATTGACATGAAAAGGTAGACACTATTTTTTTTAAAGTAGATTACAAGACAGCCTGTACAGTATGATCTCGTGGTTAAAAATATACATATGGATATCCGTGTGTATAGATAAAATATAGATATTAATAATGGTATTCTTAGCGGTAGAAATATGGTTTTATTATTTTTATTTATATTCTTTAACTTTATTATTTACTGCTTTTGTAAAATTAAACTTAAAGTCACTAGGAAACTCTAAAAATAACTAGATGTTATTTAAAAATGAATTTATTCAGTTTCATTTACAATATCATGGAAAAATTACTTAGGAACAATTTAGCAAAAAGATGCAAGACCTCTTCACTATAAAACATTACTGAGATAAAGGAGATCTAAATAAATGGTTCATGAAGAGGACTTAACATTAAGATTTCTATCCTCAAATGGATCTATAGATTTAATGCAGACCCAATAAAATCCTAGAAGGTATTTTTGTAGAAATTGATGAGCTGATTCTAAAATTTAAATGGAAATGCTAAGGGCTTAGAATAGCCAAAACAATTTTGAAAAAGAACAAAGTTGGAGGGCTTACAGTACTTGATTTAAAGACTTACTCTAAATCTCAGACAGAGTGGTACTCTAGTATAAAGATAGACAGACCAATGGGACAGAAGAGAGTTCAAAAATAGGTTCATAAATCACATCAATTCAATGGGAAAAATTTTAAAAAGTATGTATCTATTTACTTCTTAGAGACAGGGTCTTAAATTGTGTTACAGCCCAGGCTGGAGTGAAGTGGTGCCATCATAGTTCACTGCAGCCTCGAATTCCTAGGCTCAAGTGATCCTCCTGCCTCAGCCTCCCGAGGTAGCTAGGACTACAGGCACATGCCACCATGCCCAACTATTTAATATTTTGTTGAGATGAAGTCTCACTATGTTGCCCAGGATGGTCTCAAACTCCTGGTCTCAAGTGTTCCTCCAACCTTAGCCTCTCAAAGTTCTGGGATTACAGGCATGAGCCACCTGCCCTGAAAAAAAAAAAGTTTCTTTTTTTTTAACAATTGGTGCTGCTGAAATCTCAGAATTCACTATTAAAGAGCTCATCCCTGTAACCAAAAACCATCTGTACCTCAAAAACTATTGAAATTTTTTAAAAGTTGGTGCTGGGACAACTGGATGAATCTGGAATTACTGGGTAAACATATGGGGGAAAAATGAACTCTAACTTGTATCTCAGTCCATACATAGAGTACTTATGTCTGGATCATAGACCAATACATAAAATCCAGAATTATAAAGCTTCTAAAAGAAACATAAGAGACTGTAAGTTTGAAGAAAGCAAAGATTTCTTAGACAAGAAACAAAAAAATCATTGACCATAAACTTTAAAATTGATAAATTAGACTTTAGCAAAATTAAAAATCTCTGCTCACCAAAAGATACCATTATGAAAATGAGAAAACAGGCTAGTTTGGGAGAAAAAGTTTCTCAATAGTTTATCTGACAAAAGACTCATATCTAGAATATAAAAAGACCTTTTACAAATAAACAATACAATGACAAACTAAAAATGGGCAAAAGATTTGAACAGATACTTCAGCCTGGTGCAGTGGCTCACTCACACCTGTAATCCCAGCACTTTGAGAAGCTGAGATGAGCGGATCACTTGAGGTCAAGAGTTTGACACCAGCCTGGCCAACATGGTGAAACTCCATCTCTACTAAAAACACAAAAATTTGCTGGGCATGGCGACGCATGCCTGTAGTCCCAACTACTTCAGAGGCTGAGGCACGAGAATTGCTTGAACCTGGGAGGCAGAGATTGCAGTGAGCCGAGATCATGCCACTGCGCTCCAGCCTGGGCGACAGAGCAAGACTCCATCTTAAAAAAAAAAAAAAAAAAAAAAAAAGATTTGAACAGATACTTCACAAATGGAGATAAACAATTGATCATTAAACATAGAAAGGTATTCAACATCATTATCATTAGAGATATGCAAATTAAAACCGTGCGCTACTACTTCATGCTCACAAGAATGGCTAAAACAAAAAAGACTGACAATCATGTTCCAAGAATGTAGAACAACTGGAATTCTCATACATTGCTAGTAGATAAGAAAATTGGTCTAAACTTTTACAAATGCATCTTCCTTATGAATCCACAATTTTACTCCTAGGTGTTTACCCAAGAGACATTAAAACATATGCCCCAAAAAAGGCTTGTGCAAGGAAGTTTATAACAGCCCTATTCATAATCACTCAAAACTGGAAACAACCCAAATATCCATCTTGAGGAGAATGGGCAAATTATGATATATTCGCACAATGGAATACTACTTAGCAGTAAAACAGAATGAATTACTGATACACAAAACAACATAGATGAACGTCAGAAACATTTATCTTTAGTGAAAGAAGCCAGACACACACACACAATAATAATAATTAATTTTTAATGATAAAAGTCAGAAAGTGGTTACTTCTGGGAAAGGGACAGAGAATAGACTGGAAAGGGACATGAAGGAGCTCTGAAATGATGGACATACTCCAGACCTTGCTTTGCGTATTGGCTATAAAGCATATATAATTGGCAAAACTCATTGAACTAAATATTTAAAATGTATATATTTTATTGTTTATAAATTATACCTCAACAAAAATATTAAAACCAAACAAAAAAACATTTAAAAAAACATGAGAGGCCAGGCACAGTGGCTCACGCCTGTAATCCCAGCACTTTGGGAGACCAAGGCGGGCGGATCACCTGAGATTGGGAGTTTGAGACCAGCCTGACCAACATGGTGAAACCGTGTCTCTACTAAAAAAAAATACAAAAAATTAGCTGGGCAAGGTGGCACACGCCTGAGTCTGTAATATATGTGTCTGATAAAGTTCTTATATATGTAAAATAAGGAACTCTTACAGCTCATTAATGAGTTAGACACTTGTACCAAAGATGAATTTGTTCTAGTTGATAGTCTGAATGCAGCTACAAAAACACACCTAAAAGTTAGTATCCACAATTTTTTCTTTAATAGTTTTTATTTGTACTGATTTTACGTAGGGTATTAACATATAATGGTTTAAAAATCGTGATCATACAGATGTAATGTATAGGGTGTACTTCTTATTACCAAAGCCTAACGTAACCTAATCCAAGTCTTCATGTTGTTACAAAGTAAATCTTATTTTGGGACAAAGGATTTTATTGTACTGTAAATTGAATTGAAGCAAATAACCCCCCAAACTTTACAAAGTGTTAAAACAAAATTGCTGGTGGTAATTTCTTAAGTAAACATCATGAAATATAGCTTAAAGTAGAAATAAATTAAGTCAACCATACATAACAGAACTGGACCCACAGTAAATGAAGTGTGCTGACTGGGCTATGTATCTTTTGTCTGTCTTGATAAAAGAAATGAGGTGACCAGATTTTGAGAGAGTTATTTTTCCCCAGTGCTCTTCCTGTTGCACACACTAAATAAACAGTGAATTCTCTAATTTTGCCTATCTATAACTTTTAAAACACAAATGGAAAAATTTAGACTTGAGAATCAAAATAAAACACTGAATATACTCAAAGAACCTTGTTCTTCATGTGATACTAAAACTCAAATTCTAAAATGGGTCAATAGGCTGGTGCAGTGGTGCACACCTGTAATCTCAGCACTTTGGCAGGCTGAGGTGGGAGGATCACTTGAGCCTAGGAATTCGAGACCAGCCCAGGCAACATAGTGAGACCCCATCTCTACAAAACATCAAAAAATTAGCTGGGCATGGTGGCATGCACCTGTATTCCTAGCTACTCAGGAGGCTGAGGTGGGAGGATTGCTTGATTCTAAGAGGTCGAGGGTGCAGTGAGCCGTGTTTGTACCACTGCACTCCAGCTTGGGCGACAGAGTGAGACCCTGTTTCAAAAAATAAAATAGGCCAGGCATGATGGCTCATACTTGTAATTCCAGCATTTTGGGAGGCGGAGGCGGATGGATTGCCTGAGTCCAGGAATTTGAGACCAGGCTGGGTAACATGGCAAAACCCCATCTCTACTAAAAAAAAAAATATACAAAAAATTAGATGTGCAAGGTGGCACACGCCTGAGCCTCAGCTACTTGGGAGGCTGAGGTGGGAGAATCACCTGAGCCAGAAGAGGTCAAGGCTGCAGTGAGCCAAGATTGTACCACTGCACTCCAGCCTGGGCAATCAGAGTGAGACCCTGTCTTAATAAATAAATAAAAATAAAAATAAAATAAAGTAGGTCAATAACATTTGGTATTATCTGGTTACCTAGTAAGTGCAATGTAAGCTCCTTTTAATTGGAGTATCTACTAGGCTGCATTTACTCCAAACTTCTATACAATTATGGAGGCAATTTTAAAAATAAATGCAGAATAAACATTTCATTTGAAACATTTGTTAATAAATACATGAATTAATTAAGCACAACCATTAAGATCCTAATTACCATGTGATGGGAAGGAAAAAGGGTCAAATAGATCTGTAACTGCTAACTCTTTTTTTTTTTTTTTTTTTTTTTGAGACGGAGTCTCGCTGTCGCCCAGGCTGGAGTGCAGTGGCGCAATCTCGGCTCACTGCAGGCTCCGCCCCCTGGGGTTCACGCCATTCTCCTGCCTCAGCCTCCCGAGTAGCTGGGACTACAGGCGCCCGCCACCTCGCCCGGCTAATTTTTTGTATTTTTAGTAGAGACGGGGTTTCACCGTGTTAGCCAGGATGGTCTCGATCTCCTGACCTCGTGATCCGCCCGCCTCGGCCTCCCAAAGTGCTGGGATTACAGGCGTGAGCCACCGCGCCCGGCCTGCTAACTCTTAAATAGCTGTGACATACTTTCTACTTTGTGATTTATTAATCTCTTATTATGTTAGTTCCCTACCTCCAAAAGAAATCTCCCCTCATTTGTTTAAAAAAAAAAATCTTTATTGAGTGCTTACTCTGTGCCAAGTACTATGCCTGGAACTAGTTATAGAGAGGTGAAGCAGATAGACATCATCCATGGAAGGTCTGAGACACCCCTGAGGTGAACAGTTCTAATCTGTGTAGAAATTCACCAGCAGATACTGAAGGCCTGAACTTGGGTGGGAGTTTGGAGGGCTTTGAGAAGTGACAGAATTCAGATTTAGAGATGCCACAGGTAAGACTTGGCTATGTAGATGTGGAGGTTGAGGGGGAAGGAGTCAAGGATCCATGTGTTATTTTGATAAATTCATACACTATGTGATGATCAAATCGGTATTTAGGATACCCATCACCTTGAACATTTGTCATTTCTTTGTGGTTGGGAACATTTAAAATCTGCTCTTCTAGCTATTTTGAAATACACAATATATTGTTATTAATACAGTCGCCCTACTATGCTGTTGAACACTTAGTTATCCTTGACTTACCTGTTTCACAGATAATGTATTGACTTTCTATTTTTGTAGGTCGGTTATTTTCCTCCTACCCCCCCACTACTCTGCCAGTGTATTTGCATCAGATTATTAAATCAGTATTCAATGTTTCATCATGATGTTTATGTGAATATGCATGCTGCGGCAAGTATTCAATTTTTGTGGAACTTTTTATTTTTCTGAAATTAATAATTACCTATTTCACTCTTAGTTTTCTTTGAGCTAATAGCTAAGGCTTCTCACACTCTTCAACAGCTCTGTAAAATTTCTGTCAATGCAGTTTTTCAAATAGTTGAACTTGCCATATTATCTATCAGTTCCACATTTTCCTGCATATTTTCTTCATGGAGACCTCCATAACCCCATAACCTGATGTAGTGTGGACTAGTTGCTGCCCCGCAGTGGTCGTGGGACTTTCTTGTACTGCCATCTAGGGAATTATTCTTACTTGTCTTAGATTCACTGTTTACTGGACACTACTTCGTCCTTTTTCTTGGTTTATTCTCTTGTATTTATGGAGCTTAGAGTCTAATAATTTGGGGGGGGAAGATGCATGTAAAGTATTTTTTTTCTTTAGTTCACATTGTCTGAAAATATCTTTATTCAATCATCATCATCCATCATCATTATGCTTAAATGATCATTTGGTTAGATAGAACATTCTAGATTGAAAATTATTTTCACTCACAATTTTGAAGGCATTCTTTCATTGTCTTCTAGTTTCCAATATTGCTGTTCAGAAGCCATTTTAAGATCTTTTTATTCTTAATAGTCTGAAGTTTTCAAAAGTTTATGCCTTGAGTAGATCTTTTCTTCATTCATTATACCAAATTTTTTACTCTGAAACTCAGTTCTGAGAATTTTCTATTATTATTACATGATTAACAATTTCCTTCCCACTCTTTTCTCTGATATCTCTTTTTTTTTTTTTTTTTGGCACTCCTATTAATCTGTTAGGGTGTCGCTAGATTGAATCTCTATTTTTCTTTTCTCTCGTTGTCTATCTCCTTATCTTTTTGTTCTTCCTAAAAAAGATTCTCAACTTTATCTTTTAACTTTTTTACTGAATTTTTTATTTTGGCCATCAGATTTTTAATACCTAAGGTCTGTCTTATTCTGTTTCTTTTCATAATATCTTTTTTCATGTATCTCTGAAGATACTAACAACTTTGCATCTTCATCTTTCATTGTCTGTGTTTCCTCAGAGTTGTTTATTCTGTTCATTTGGTACAGTTTTTCTCTTTATTGTGAGAAACTTTCCGCATGTTTGTCAATCTTCAACTCTCAATCCAAAATAAGAGTAAGCTGTTAAGCTGACTGAAAGCTCTGTGATTGTGGGTGACACTGACTGACTTGTGGCCTTCACTGTGGAGCAGTTAGTATCTTTATGTCTTTGCTGGAACTGTTAATTTTTTCCAGAGAAAACTCTAGTCTCCTGACTGAAGGGTATGGGTGTAAAACCATCTTCATCTAAAATGAAGTAAGCATTTTAGAGCTAAATTAGAGAAGGGATAATTCCCCATTTTTCATTCCATGCCTCACTCTGTCCTTCTTTATGCCCAATGTCCCTGAATCCAGAATTTCTCTGGCTTAAGTGGTTTAGTCTCTTGTTGAGGGGGAGAAGGAATAGTTGCCTGATTGCATTGAAGGGATATCATTCAGTAATGATTTTCCATCTGCCCCTCATCCCTTCCTCTGTTACCTCCTGTCACTGAGTCTTTAGAGTTCCACAGAGAAAATCTGCTTGTATCTAGTCTCTGAAAACTTTCAGGTTTGGCCTTCTTTCTCTCTGTTAAACCTTGCTGCCATCTGCTTTCTGTTTTTGCATATTATGATGTCTCCCCATTCCAGTGAACATGGAGTTTTTGTATCTGTTTCTTGTTGGATTGGAGTGGTTTTAAGATATAGAGGGAGAAGACATGTCTTTATGCTGCTGTCTTCAAATCTAGTAGTAGCTCTTAATGAGCACATATTCTGGGTGACTCCGAAAGAACAACTCAGTTCGAACAATTTTTGTCATGTGGGGTTTCTCAGCCACTGAAACACCACTAGAAAGATATTAATATATATACTTGAGCAGACATTGGCCTAAGGTTTGCCTTCTTGGGTTAATAGTTATATTAGAGTTCAATTCTGGGTATGGGATGACCTCAAGGATACAGAAATTCCCTGATTTGGGAGTTTGAGGAGGCTAATGATACTCTTTTTCCCTGCCTAAGTTTGAAACCAATTAAAAGGAGTCAGATAAAGATAATCAAATATCAGTTTTATTACTAATTAATGCTAGGTGGATATGATTTGGGTGTATAGCAGTGTTCAATACCACACTCTTCCATCATGAGACCACTATCCCAATTCCAACCACAGCTCCTTTGGGAATTCTCCTGGGACTGCTAGTGGGCAGTTTCAAATCTGCCCCCCTCCTAAAAGCTCTGAAATAACTTAGAATAACACATTGATTCAATCAACTTCTAGACGACACTGACCCATAGCTGAAAAATCATTCCCTATTCCGTTTCCCATCCCAAAGTATTTCTCACCATTTCAGCCAGTATAGGTCACCAGGCATTTTGCAGTGAGTTTACATAACAATATTAACATGCTTCAATAATGTCAGCTATAAAGATTTGCTCCAAAAATTGAATATATGTCCTCTCCCCATTATAAAATTCCTGAAGGAAAACTAAAGTCCTAATAGTAAATCCTTTTGTAAGTTTAAGTCAAAAGAAAGTTTATTATTTATTCATAGGTAATATGTTCTTATCCATTTTCTTTCTCTGATTAGTCTCAGCCAGTCTTCGATGCCTGGCTGGAGTTAGGAATCCCTCGGCAGCTTCAGCCCAGGCTGGCCATCCTTGTAATGTATGTGGTTCTTTCAGTGCCTCAGAAGTTATATTTATCCTATGCCAAGTCCCTCATGAGCCTCACTATGTTAAAAAAAAAAAAAAAAGGCTGGGCATGGTGGCTCACACCTGTAATCCCAGCACTTTGGGAGGCCGAGGCGGGCAGATCACTAGGTCAGGAGATCGAGACCATCCTGGCTGGACACTGTGAAATCCTGTCTCTACCAAAAATACAAAAAATTAGCCAGGTGTGATGGTGGGCACATGTAGTCCCAGCTACTCGGGAGGCTGAGGCAGGAGAATGGCGTGAACCTGGGAGGCAGAGCTTGCAGTGAGCCGAGATCACGCCACTGCACTCCAGCCTGGGCGACAGAGCAAGACTCCATCTCAAAAAAAAAAAAAACTACAGAATTAATTTGAATGCAAGATTAGCACAGGACTGACTCAATACCCATTTAAAAACAAACTTTGGGAAGCTGAGGCAGGAGGATCACTTGAGGCCAGGTGTTTGAGATCAGCCTGGGCAACATAGCAAGATTAACATGGAAATTTTCCTAGGACTATAAACAGCTATTTTGTTAAACTTGAAGATTTTCTTCATTCACCCTCCTTCATTCTGATGCACATATTATGCATCAGAGAGGGCAGTTTCAAATAAGCCCTCCTAAAGGCTCTGAAATGAGTTAGAATAGCACATTTATTAAATCAACTTATAGACAACACTAACAACTGCCTCTACAAAAAAATATAATAATAAAAATTAGCCAGGCCGGGTGCAGTGGCTCACACCTGTAATCCCAGCACTTTGGGAGGCTGAACTGGGCAGATCACTTGAGGTCAGGAGTTCGAGACCAGCCCAGCCAACATGGTGAAACCCCGTCTCTACTAAAAATACAAAAAAATTAGCTAGGCATGGTGATGGGTGCCTATAATCCCAG
This sequence comes from Homo sapiens, assembly GCF_000001405.40. Lineage (NCBI taxonomy): Eukaryota > Metazoa > Chordata > Mammalia > Primates > Hominidae > Homo > Homo sapiens. The sequence goes on along the minus strand of NC_000010.11, from coordinate 95,665,409 downwards.
CTACTTGGGAGGCTGAGGCATGAGAATCACTTGAACCCGGGAGGCAGAGGTTGCAGTGAGCCAAGATTGTGTCACTGCACTTCAGCCTGGGTGACAGAGTGAGACTCCATCTCACACACACACAAAAAAAAAATTTAGCCAGGTGTGGTTGTGCACTCGTATAGTCTTAGTTACTCAGGAGGCTGAGGCAGGAGGATCACTTGAGCCCAGGAGGTCAAGGCTGCAGTGAGTGATGATTGCACCACTCCACTCCAGTCTGGGTGTCAGAGCAAGACCCTGTCTCTAAAAACAAACAATCAAGTGACAGTCCCTAGGAGAGTTATTCCAGGCAAAACTATGTTCCCAGAGCTTGGTACTTACTGTTGCCAAAGACCACAGCAAATGCATAATATGTTCATCAGAGTGAAGGAGGGTGATTGAAGAAAATCTTCAAGTTTAACAAAATAATTATTTACTGTCCAAAAATTATAATCAAAAGTTTGCTTGTTGAGCTGAGTCAAAACAAAGGGAATTCATTTTAGATAAACATGATTCCAGACATCATCAGGCTGCAGCCATATCTACCAAAGCTACATCTGTTAGGTCAGATACTTGAGTCAGTCTGACAAGATCCCTTCTTCTAGGAACATCTGTTTTATTTGGCATGAATTGGTGGGTGGTGGAAGGATCCTTCCAACCCTGAGAGTCTGTGAGTGACCTTTCTTTCTGCCATTGGAGAAGGAATAGAATTGCTACTACTACTTTCACTTGTACATATGTACTGTTTCAGAGCCTGGAGCCTTCTGATAGAGTAGAGCTGCTAAGCACCTAAGAGCAGCAGTTTTGCCATGTGGCCTCTCTGATATCAGGCAGCTCCCCAGCTAGGGGAAGCTAGAGTCAGGGTTTAGGTAGGTGTAACTGTTCAGTTCTGCTATCATTGACTATTGCTAAGATATTCATTTCCTTGTGTCTCACTGAAAGAGAACTACATAGGACCAATATGAGATAAAGGTATATCTTGCTTAGAATAATTCATTTCTCTCTTCAGGGAAAGTAATAATAACAGCCAAGTTAGAGTGCTATATGAATGGGTACCAAGCGCTGACCTGTCATTGACTTTCTTCCCGTAGGATTCTCAGCAAGTTACAGAAGTATCTTTGACAACTCTTGTGAACTTTGTGGACATTACCCAGAAGCCACAGCCTCCAAGGGGCCAACCCAAAATGGACTGGAAATGGCCATTCGACTTCTTTCCCTTCAAAGTGGCATTCAGCAGAGGAGTATTCTCTCAAAAATGCTCAGTCTCTCCCATCCTTATCCTGTGCCTCTTACTACTTGGAGTTCTCAACCTAGAGACTATGTGAAGAAAAGAAAATAATCAGATTTCAGTTTTCCCTATGAGAAACTCTGAGGCAGCCACTTATCTTGGCTAAATAGAACCTCACCTGCTCATGACCAGAGAGCATTTAGGATAATAGAGGACCTAACTGAAGGAATCCTTGTATATGAAAGGAGTTATTTTAGAAAAGCAATAAAAATATTTTATTCATCATAGCTCTCTGCTTTGGGCTCTGCAGGCCACCAGATACACATGAGGCCCCTACTTCTCAAGCTGGGAAGGCCAAGAGCCTTCCTTCAGCCTTTCTGGTTATGTTACACCTAGCTGAATGTTTACAAGGTCTGGATCCATCAGCCCTCAGGCACAGTTGGGCCAAGCAGAAAGAGAGAAACACTTCTGCTGTCACCTTGAATGAACTCAGGAATAGCTTCCCTCTGGACTGTAGAGGAGCTAACTGTTTGGAACAGAAAACTGCTGGCTGTTGATTTTGTCTGGTTCCTTTGCCAACATCTGGGCACACCCTTTGCCCAGACACGAGTGGGGAAAGCAGTTCTTTCTCCTCAGTTTCCAAAGTAAATGGGGAATCCCAGCTTTCTTTTCTACTAGCAAATGACCCTACCATTTATTTCTGCCTTTTTCTTCCGTTCATTGTGAGGAAAAATAAAACTGGTTGAGAGCTTTGTTGTACTAATTCCAGCAGCATGGTAGAAGGCAGCTGACCTGTGGTCTGCCTCCTGATTATGCTTCTATGTTTGTGAGGTTTGGGGAAAAAAAGTCCGGGTAGAGTGGCTCATTCCTGTAATCCCAGCACTTTGGGAGGCTGAGGCAAGAGGATTGCTTGAGGTCAGGAGTTTGAGACCAGCCTGAGCAATGTAGCAAGACTCCACCTCTACAAAAAATGAAAAGCTGGCGGGCCACAGTGGCTCATGCCTGTAATCCCAGCACTTTGGGAGGCTGAGGCAAGAGGATTGCTTGAAGTCAGGAGTTCGAGACCAGCCTGAGCAATGTAGCAAGACTCCATCTCTACAAAAAATGAAAAGCTGGCCGGGCACAGTGGCTCACGCCTGTAATCCCAGCACTTTGGGAGGTCAAGGTGGATGGATCATGAGGTCAGGAGTTCAACACCAGCCTGGCCAACATGGTGAAACCCCATCTCTAATAAAAATACAAAAATTAGCCAGGCATGGTGGTGGGTGCCTGTAATCCCAGCTACTCAGGAAGCTGAGGCAGGAGAATCGCTTGAACCAGGGAGGCGGAGGTTGCAGTGAGCCGAGATTGCGCCATTGCACTCCAGCTTGGGCAACAAGAGCGAAACTCCATCTAAAAAAAAGAAAAGCTTAGCCAGGCATGGTGGCACACACTTGTGGTCCCAGCTACTCAGGAAGCTGAGGTGGGAGGATCACTTGAGCCCAGGGAGTCAAGGCTGCAGGAAGCCATGATCATGCCACTGTACTCCAGCCTGGGCAACAGAGCAAGACTGTCTCAAAAAAAGGGTGGGGGGTATGCAGGGAGGGATGAAACTTCCATAAATACACCATAGCATTTAAATCAGGGGACTTGGATTCTTTTCCTTGGAGATATACTCTGAAGACCCCAGTTTTGTGACTGACATTAGTGAGTTCAGCATAAAATTATTTTTTTTAGCAGCAGGCAGTGGCAGCTTACAAAGGGCCTTGCCTGCCCTGCCAATTCAGAGATTCTGGCTTGCAGAGAAAACAAGGTAATTTCCTATTATTCTTGGGCGGGTAGGAATTGGTTGGGAACTATGATAGAAAACATTAAAAGGTTTAGCCCTGGAGCAGAATTATGCTAGCCTTGTAATTAAGGCAAATTTTTGGTGGACGATATCAAATCTACTTGTTTTAAACTTTAAATCCATTTTACAAAGAATTGAATCTAAAGAATAGAATGTACTAGAACAACTTCAGTGAAACTCTGAAATGTGGAATTGTAAAGTGCAGCTCCTCAGTGACCCAACAACTCAGTGGGGGAAGATTGACGTAACACAGGAGACTACATTTGTTCAGAAAAGCAAACAATCAGTGTGGCCTACATTTGTTCAGAAAAGCAAACAATCAGTGTGGCCTAGACTAGTGAGGGGCAAGTTTGGAACTAACATGGCAGGATGTAGAGGATTGGGAGAGTGAGTGGGAGGGAGGTGATCCCAGGAGCCTAGAACAACCCTCATGAAGGCCCAGGGTTTTTCATGGGCAGGAGGGTTCAGGGCCTGAAGTGACTGTAGTAGAAACACTGAATGGGCCAAACAGCCAAGATGAGCAGGATGGCAGCTCCTTTTGTGGGGACTTGAAAGTCAGACAGAATTGGGAGATAGTTTGGTTTTCTTCACAGCATATTAATGCTCTGAAATTAAAATTGCCTTTTAATACAGCATATACTTAGTTATAATCCTGCTTCATGAGAAGAAAATGCTCATTTGTAAAGTCATCTCTGACTGGTTTATCATTTTGCCCTTTTCCAAAACACTTGGAAAGTAACCAGTTTCCCTGAAAGAAAAGGCAAAGTTTTGAGCAGTTGTTATTAAATTAGAGGAGGTGCTTCTGTACAAGGGGAAGTCGGTAGCTGGGAAGCTGATAGCACAGATCCCACCATAGTCCATTTCATAGACATTTAATTCAGTAACCCTGCCTCCGAGGAGACCTGTAGTGAAACTGACCACAAAGCTAATGGAATATTTAAGTTTGGGCTTCTTAAAGGAAAAAATATGTGACAACTCATTCTCATCTATGGGGCAGCAGACATCCAGTCCACTGCTGACAGACTACCTGCCCCTTTCAGAATCCGGTCTCTCTTACTCCCTGATTCAGATCCTTAGCCTCATTCCGAAGTGCTTTGAGACCACTCTGTGCCTTTAGACAAATTACATGTCAACTATAATTCACATACCATAAAATTCATCCTCTTAAAGTGTACAATTCAGTGGTTTTAAATGTATTCACAGAGTTACACAACCATCACCAGAACATTTGCAGTCCCAGCTATTTGTGAGATGGAAGTAGGAAGATCGCTTGAGCCCAGGAGGTTGAGGCTGCAGTGAACCATGATCATGCCACTGCACTCCAGCCTGGGTAACAGAGTGAGACCCTGTTTCAAAAACAAACAAACAAACAAATAAAAAACTCAACTTCTTGTGTATTGTATGTAATACTCTATGAGTAACTTCCCTTTTTTATCATTGTATTTGTTTGTTCAGTATTCTGGGTCTTTTAAAGCAGTGGTTCCCAAAGGTTAGTCACAAAGTAATCTTTTAGGGTGCTTTATAAAAATACTGATTCCTGGGCCCTACCCCTAGAGATTCTGATCACTGGTGGAAGAGGCAGGTCTAGGAAGTGGGGACTCCAAGATCTGTATTTTGTAAAGTTTTCTAGGTGCTTCTGATGTGCAGCTTGGTTTGTGAAAGTATGTGATGTTGCATAGTGTGGCTGAAACTGGTTTCATTTAAGGGTCCCATCATTGCCAACTCCTGAATATGTCCACTATTTCTCTGAGAATTCCAACTGCTCAGAACTTTGCTTAAGGAGGGGAGGGGACAGCCTCCATCTTTCCATTACATGCATGACTGGACCAAGAATGGAGTCCTGAACCAGTCTAGGCCAGTACAATTTTCTCTCCCAGGAACTTGGAATTTAGACCAAGACTTGAAATGAGTCATGAGTGGGCACTAACTGGAAAGATTTTTTAGAGCTAGGGAAGCCATTTTCCACCAAATGTTCACTAATGGAGACTCTATCTTAAAGGAAAAGTGGAGAGAAGGAAACAGATGGGCAAAGAAAAGTGTCAGCAAGAGACTTAGAGATGGAGAACCATCTTGATTACTTACTTTCCGGTTTTCTTGTCCCTGCCCCTTGTGAGACCCAATTTTACCTCCTGCCTTTGGAGACTATAAGTTACTGCTTCTAGTAAATTGTCTTGTTTGAATGAGTTTCTGTTTTTACAATTAAATAACTTGAGATTAAGGTAATTTAAGCCTAAAACAATTTAGATGGCATCTAAAGAAGCACTTCTAAATCCTGCATTCTTATAGACCAATACTAAATGTCCCACTTCCTATGTGACTGTCTGGTCATGTCCAGCCTTATTTCTAATTGCTGAGACAGAAGTTAAACCCCTCCAGTCAAAAAAAGAATCAGTCTTTTTATCATACACAGGAAAAATATCATAGCTGAATTACTTCCTTGACTTCTATGGAGGGAAAAACTAGCTCATATGTCTGGAATTTAATTTTTCCTAATCCATAGTTACATATCCCACTACTTTCTCCTTATTGATGGAATAGAATATTAGTAATAAAATAGTAATAAAAATGAGTGATAAATAAAATAGAAAATGTCTGTACAATGTTAAAGGATTTTCATTTTTTATACTCTTCACAACCCTATGGGATAGACAAGGATGGTGTCATTAGCCCAATTTCTTAATTTGAGAAAACTAAACCAAAAGTAGTTCATTTTATTTATCAAATATCTATTGAATATTTCTTATGTTCCATGAATATACTTCCCTGTTCTCAGGAGCTTATCTTTTAGCAGGGAAGGCAGATAAGCTATTACCATAAGGTAATCTGTGAGTTAAGAGAAGAACCAGAACAGGCCTTCTAAAGTGAAGGCCCCTATCCCTTGGCTCTAGCTATACCCACAGTCATCTAATTCATTCTAAGTACATGATGAGAATCTTAAAAGATGAGGTACCAGATATAACTTACTTGAGGGAAATTTAATTTCTTTTGTTTTTTTCTACCCTACTGCAAATTCAAAATGCTCCACATTTAACACATTTCGTATTCTCATTCCCCACCCAAAAGAACTGTTGTTCCCCGTTCACAGTTCCACATGGCTGGGGAGGTCTCAGGAAACTTACAATCATGGTGGAAGGGGAAGAGGCATGTCTTACATGGTGGCAGGCATGAGAGAGCAAACAAGTGAAGGGGGAAGAGTTCCTTAGAAAACCATCAGATCTCATGAGAACTCACCTCATAGATTTCCTGATTCATGGTATTGCAGCACCATCAGATTCCCAAGCACTGCTCTTCTTCTCTCACTCTCCCACTTTGAATAAGTGCTGTCAGCTCTCCCTCCTTTTTGTTCCCCATTCCTCTGCTGGAGCCTTTTTTGGGCCACCATTTCTTACCTGGGCCTTTGCAATAGGCTAACCAACATTCCAGCTCTAGGCGTCTTTACTGATTTCTGGCACAAAAATCGGATCATACCATTCCAGCACTTAAAAAGTCATGTTTCTCTGTTTTTAAGGATTATAAAATTCAAAATCTTTAGCATACCACAAAAAACCCTTTGTAAGTTTAGGATACCAGCCAGACCCCTCTCCTGTCATGTCCTACTGCAAGTAGCCTCTTTTCACGGGGTGTCTCACACCTCTGCATATATCATTCCCTTATTCCCTCTTCCTCATATGATCCTGTACTCCTCTCCTCTTTTAGGTAAACTCCTTACTTCTAGTGCTTCAAAGCACAATTTGAATATCAACTCTTTTTAAAGCCATTGTATTAGTCTGTTTTCACACTGTTACAAAGACATACCCAAGACTGGGTAATTTATAAAGAAAAGAGATTTAGATGATTCACAGTTTCACATGGCTGGGGAGGTTTCAGGAAACTTACAATCATGGTGGAAGGGGAAGAGGCAAGTCTTACATGGTGGCAGGCAGGAGAAAGCAAACCAGTGAAGGGGGAAGAGTCCCTTATAAAACCACCAGATCTCATAAGAACTCACTATCACAAGAACAGCATGGGGGAAACAGTCCCATGATCCAATCACCTCCCATCAGGTCCCACCCTCCATAGGTGGGGATTATGGGAATTACAATTCAAGGTGAGATTTGGGTGGGGACACAAAGTCAAACCATTTCAGCCATCCCTGAATGTCTGGCCATCCCATTCTTTAGTATTCATCACATGGTATTGTAATTATTTGCTCATATATCTCTCTCTTCCATAAGGCTGTGAACTCAGCTATGTCTTCTTCCACACCCAGGGAATGCTTGGCTGTCTCAGTCCATTTTGTGCTGCTAAAACACAATAACACAGACTGGATAATTTTTAAATAATAGAAATTTATTTCTCACAGTTCTAGAGGCTAGGAAGTCCAAGATCAAGGTGCCAGCATCTGGTGAGGGCTTTCTTGCTGTATCCTCACGTGGTGGAAGGGCAGAAGAGCAGAAGAGAACACCCACCTCCACAAACCTTTTGATAGCAGCATTAATCTATTCATGAGGGTCACTCTATTCATAAAGGTGGAGCACTCTTGACCCAAATGCCTCCCATTAGGCCCCACCTCCCAATATTCTTGCATTGGGAATTAAGTTTCCAACATATGAATTTTGGGGGACATATTCAGACCATAGCAGTAGCCAGTGTTTAATAAACAAGAAAATGAATAAATAGGCTTAGTAGTGTTATCAGGGACGACAGAAGGGCATGATGCCTTTCTGTGCCCAACCTCCTATCAAGTGCTGCCCTCCCACCACCCAGCACTATGTGCCTATGCAGGAATGTGTCCTTTGAGCAAAATACAGCAAGGAAAGAGGGAGAAAAATCTGTGTTTTCACTTTTTTTCTTTTTCTTTTTAAGAGGTGGGGTCTTGCTGTGTTGTCCAGGCTGGATTTGAACTCCTGGGCTCAGGTGGTTCTCCTGCCTCCACCTACGAGTAGCTGGGACTACAGGCACACACCACAGTGCCAGGTTTTTGTGGTCTCTCTTTAAAGGTGAGTCTGCATTCACCTTTGGAATAGTTCTAGTTGTCATAGATTGAATATCCTATTTTAAAATGCAATATTCTTACAACTGCCTTTGATGAAAGGGAGTTGAGATGGGACCATTGGGGAAACCTCCAGATGACTAGGGGGCAAGTAATTTGATTGCAGTGCCAAAATGCTTCCATTTAAGGAGCCAAAGTTTGCAAATGTGTGTAAACTGATCCAATCTATTCCCAGGATGTGCCTGAAGTAACAAACATATGTAAGTTGATCCAACCTATTTCCGAGGTGTGCCCGGGATATAAATGGTTAACATTGACAAACACACCTTATGAAATCTACCAGCAGCTGAGGGTGCCAGGCACCTCTTCTACCTCCCTGGAAGGCCCAGTGGGGCGGCGTTTCGAAGGTGTCTTCGCCCCTGTCTCCGGCCCCTGTCCCCTCCCGGGACGTGGGCGTTCCCCCTGAACTCGAGTCCCGCCTCTTCCAGGCTGCCGGGGCCTGGTGGGCTGGCCCGCCACGTGGAGCGCTGGCTTGATTCTCGAAAGGGGCCTACGCCATTGCCGCGCCGCAGCTCCAGGACAGGCCCTCGCCCCACGTCAACAGCGTAGGGCCGGCTGCCCAGGTTTACTCTTACGCCACTGACGTAACGTCATCGTGCGGGACGTGGACGGAAGAAAAAAGAGAGTGAGCGAGCGCCGGAATCAGCCCGGCGTGGAGTGCGGACCCGCGGTAGTGCCAGGGGGCGAAGGCGGCGGTGGTGAGGAAGGTACGCGGCGAGCGGCGGGGATGGCTAGGCGCCCGCGTCTCTGCGGAAGCTGTTGCGCGCCCAGGCTCAAGCGCGAGGGGCGTGAGCGCCGGGCCGCTGGAGCGGGGACGCTGCCGGAGCAGGTGCCGGGGCCCGGGGATCTGGCCCATGGGTAGGTGTGGGCCTCGGCCGAGGGATGGCGGCTGCATCGGGCCGCCCAGGGCGCGCTGCAAGACCGTGGCGCGCTCCCATATGCCGGTGCGCGGCCGCCCCGGGATCTACGGATGGCTACGGGCCCTGACCTCCCCGGCCTCCCCTGGGTACACCATGTAAGGAACTGGGCCAAGTGGAGACTTCAGGCATCCGCGGGCCCCTTCTTTCCAAGAGTATGGAGCCTGCACTGGTGGGTGGCGTGGGTGGCGGTGGTGGCAGCGCCGGGATGCCGCGGGTTTTAGCTGGCCGCACGCTGACTCTCAGGGGCCTGGGTCCCTAGTTCCCCGCGGCCCTCCAGGCGTTCATCATCCCCTCCTCAAAGCCAGACTCCCTTTGCAGTATGGCATTCTGTGTATGCTGGGGTCTTCCTGTTACAGCAGGACGCACCCACATACCCCACCTCGTCCTTCCCCCATCATTATCCCCTGCCCTCTGAGGTGGTGAGGCCCATCGGATCTTTGTATTTAAGTGGTGAGCCATATACCGAGCATGTGTTTGTGGGTGAACTGTGCTGGGACTGAGGTTCACTTCTCTGTTCAAATCAGTTAGATAAGGGCATTCTGTTTAGTCTGTAAAGAGATATTGAGAAATGTCTTGAGTCAAAACGTGAAAACTTTCTTCAACTGATGATATGGAGTCTAAACACACACACAGAGTCGAGACACAGTCACACAAATCTAGACACGAGTCTAGATACACACACACACACACACACACACACACTCTCTTTGCTCCTTGGGATCAACTGTGTGCTTCTCGAGGGCGTAATACACTCTGCCTGGTCAGTCAGAGATGGTGGTACAGGGGAGAGGTCAGGAGGCTTGGTTTCTACGTCAGTCTTCAATCTCTTATTTCAGTGACCGTAGGTGTTCAGAGCTTTCAATGACTCTTGGTTAATAGAGAGGTAAACAGTCAGTCAATATATGTGTGTGATTGTATCTAATAGTGAATATTCGTTGAATTCTTTGTTCCCGTGATGGGTCTTGAAGGAAATTAAGGAAAAAATAATTGTAAGGCATCATTAGTGCCTAAAAGACAAAAGGAGGAAAACTGACATTTACTGACCATTTGTTGTACCCAAGCACTTTCCACGCATTCTCTCTTTTAATTCTCACTATAATTTCATGAGGTCCATAGTGTTAGTATCCCTGATTTATAAGTGAGGAAACAGAGGCTTAGAAAAATTGGGTAACTCTTACATATGTAACTAACCTGCACATTGTGCACATGTACCCTAAAACTTAAAGTATAATAATAATAATAATAATAATAATAAAGAAAAATTGGGTAACTCTCCACAAGACACACAGCAAGTGCAGAGCTCGAACCCAAATCTGACCAACTTCAAAGGCCTTGTTCCTCATCGTTTTTGCCATATTGTCAATGGAAAGTTTGTAATCCAGATGGGAAAAGCAGTAGTCATGAGCTATTTAAAAGCTAACCTATAGAATTATATCCAGCTGTGAAGACTAGCCTTGCTGGGGAAGGTTTCTTAGGGAGGTGGAACTGGAATTTGATTGTTTTACCCTTTGGCTCTTCTGTAGTTATTTTGGAGAATTCACATGTAAATAATTGTTTAGCAGCCATTATTGAAGGAATTTATATAAGCAGCAAACTTAGATCACGTGCTAAAATCATACTTCAGTGTTATGAAAAAATTGAAATAACAAAGATCAATTAATACTTTCTGTTGCCTACTAGATGCCATATGTTTTAGAACAGCTGCATCCTGCCAGTCTCTTCTCTGTCCCATTTCAGTGCCTTTGTGCAGTATAAATTGTAAAGCAATGACACCATTCCTAATTTTTCTTCACTATGGGGCTAAATGCTAGTCTTCTGAGGCACATTTAAGAGGGCTGGGATATATCCACCAATCCATGGAACAAAAGTTAAAAGGAGGCCCACAAACAAAGAAAGTGAAGTATTTTTCTTACCTTGTGAAAATAGCAGTGTCTCTGTAGCATAAAAAGAGCTACAATATTGGGAGGCCGAGGTGGGTGGATCACAAGGTCAGGAGATCGAGACCATCCTGGCCAACATGGTGAAACCCCGTCTCTGCTAAAATACAAAAAATTAGCCAGGCATGGTAGCGCGTGCCTGTAGTCCCAGCTACTCGGGAGGCTGAGGCAGGGGAATCACTTGAACCCGGGAGACAGAGGTTGCAGTGAGCCGAGATCGCTCCATTGTACTCCAGCCTGGCAACAGAACAAGACTCCATCTTAAAAAAAAAAAAAAAAAGCTACAATAATGAATGGCTTGTTCTCCCTGTACATATAGGAAGGAGTTCCCTACTTTTTTGTGAAATAAACTATTCTTTGTCTAAAGTCTCAAATTTGACCCAGGGTGAGGAAATGCCCATAACTGCCTTATGTTCTCAACCGAGATTTGTAGCCATATTCTCTTCCTCCACAGGATTAAGATGTTAGCCAGTTGTAGGCATTGCCACTGCCTTCCAGGGGTACAAGAGTTATTTTGTAATCCTGTGGGCATCAGGAAGAAAGACATGGCAGCAGCCTCTGGCCTTTCCTCTTGCTTTTCATGGCTGGCTGGCAAGGATCAAGCTGACATTTCAAATAGGTGCATTTCCTGGTTCTGTTGGGAGATGTTAGCAGAAAGGTGGACATGATTGCTTTAGGATGTTGGATCTGTTACAGGAATTATATGAAGATTTAGTATTAACACATAAGCATTGCACCTGAAAGATTTTTTTTAAATTTGGAAGATACCAAAAAGAGCAGGTGTTTTTTGTGTCTCAAAATATTCCTAACTCTGCATTATTATTTGCTTACATAAAAACTAAGATGGTTGAGGCCTAGAAAGGAGCCACTTACTTTTTCTCTCTTTTCTATAATATAGAGGAGGTGGGAGTTTCCCTAATACAGAGGAGTTTGGAGCAGGAGAGTCAGATTTTTACTCCGAGGGTAAGGGGAAGTAGAGGGAAATAAAATGAATTGTCCAGTATTTTTCATTACTCACTTTTTAAAAAATGTATTCTGCAGATACTTTGGTTAGTGACCACATCGCAGCATGTTGAGTCAAGTTTACCGCTGTGGGTTCCAGCCCTTCAACCAACATCTTCTGCCCTGGGTCAAGTGTACAACCGTCTTCAGATCTCGTATGTACCATAGAAAACTTATGAGTATGTGGGACGTTTGATAGTCAAAGTATGTTTCAACAAGGTTTTCAAAGAGAAAAAAGATGTTTGTTTGTTTGTTTGGAGACAGGGTCTCATTTTGTCACACAGGCTGGAGTGCAGTGGCACAAACATAGCTCCATGCAGTCCAGACCTCTTGGACTCAAGCAATCCTCCTGCCTCAGCCCACCAAGTACTTGGGACTACAGGCACACACCACCGCGCTGACTCTAACTTTTTTATTTTTTGTCGAGATGCGATTTTGCCATGTTGCCCAGGCTGGTCTTGAACTCTTGAGATCAAGCAATCTGCCTGCCTTGGCCTCCCAAAGTGCTGGGATTACAGGCGTGAGCCATCGTGCCCAGCCAAGAAAAAAGGTTTAAAAGAGAGAGAGAGAAAAAAAAGATGTAATTTGGCAGAATTGGACAAAATTCTGCCAAATAGCAAGGAGGCAAAGAGGTAGTCTCCTGGTGAAATGTTCTCAGTGTTTGTGTCAATAAAGTTGACCCCCAAATAAATTTTTACATGCTTTTTTTTTTTCTTGAGTCTCACTCTGTCTCCCAGGTTGGAGTGCAGTGGTGTAATCTCAGCTCACTGCAACCTCTGCTTCCCAGGTTCAAGCGATTCTCCTGCCTCAGCCTCCCAGTTAGCTGGGATTACAGGTGTGCATCACCATACCCAGCTAATTTTGTATTTTTAGTAGAAATAGGGTTTCGCCATGTTGGCCAGGCTGGTCTCGAACTCCTGACCTCAGGTGATCTGCCCGCCTCGGCCTCCCTCCCAAAGTGTTGGGATTACAGGCGTTAGCCACTGTGCCCGGCCCCATGCTATTTTTGTTCATTACTCTTTTTTTGTAATTAAGTTTTAGATTTTGAGCTAATTATAAATTCACTTGCAATTTTAAGAAATAGTACAAAAAGGTCCCTTATACCCTTTACCCAATTTCACCCAGTATCTGAACCAAGGTATTGACGTTGATACGATCAAGATACAGAACATTTCAATCACCACAGGATTTTTTATTTCTCTTTAACAGCCACTGTCCTCTTCCCTATTACTAACCCCTGGCCAACATTAATCTGGTCTACATTTTTATAATTTTGTCCTTATAAAAATGTTATATAAATGGAATTATCCAGTATGTAACCTTTTGGAATTCTGTTTTCTTCAGCATAATTCTCTGGAGATTCATTCAAGTTGCTGTGTGTATCAGTTAGTTCCTTTTTATTACTGAGAAGTATGTAATGCTATGAGTGTATCACAGTTAGTGTAACCATTCACCCATTAAAGGACATCTGGGTTGTTCTCATTTTTTGGCTGTTATGAATAAGGCTGGTATGAACATTGATGTACAGGATTTTGTGTGAACATAGTTTTCATTTCTGTGGGATAAATGCCTAAGAGTGTAGTTGCTGGGTCAGATTGTAGCTACATGTTTAGTTTTTTACATAGTTTGAATGTATGTCCCTACCAAATCTCATATTGAATTGTAATCCCCAGTGTTGGAGGTGGGGCCTGTGGGAGGTGTTTGAGTCATGGGGGTGAATCCCTCATGCCTTGGTGCTGTCCTTGAGATAGTGAGTGACTTCTCACAAGATCTGGTTAAGTGTGTGGCACCACCCCCTCACTCTCTCTTCTTGTTCCCTCTCTCGCCATTGGAGATGCCTGCTTCCCCTTTGCCTTCTGCCATGATTATAAGCTTCCTGAGGCCTCACCAGAAGCTGAGCAGATGCCAGCACCATGCTTCCTGTACAGCCCACAGAACTATGAGCCAGTTAAACCTCTTTTCTTTATAAATTACCTAGCCTCAGGTATTTCTTTACAGCAATGCAAGAATGGCCTAACACAGTTTTATAAGAAACTGTCAAACTGTCTTTGCAGAGTGACAGTACCATTTTACATTCCTACTAGCACTGTATGAGTGATGCACTTTCTCTGCATCTTTACCGTCATTTGATGTGGTCACTCTTTTTTATTTTAGCCATTTTGATAGGTATGTAGTGATAATCACATTGTGGCTTTAATGTGCCTTTCCCTAATAGCTAATGATATTGAACATCTTTTCATGTGTTTATATCCTCTTCAGTGAAATGTTAGTTCATGTCTTTAGCTCATTCTTTTTGTTTTTTTTTGTTTTTTGAGATGGAGTCTTGCCCTGTCACCCAGGCTGGAGTGTAGTGGCGCAATCTCAGCTCACTGCAACCTCTGCCTCCCGGGTTCAAGCGATTCTCCTGCCTCAGTTCCTGAGTAGCTGGGATTACAGGTGCCCACCACCATGCCCAGCCAGTTTTTGTATTTTTAGTAGAAACAGGGTTTTACCATGTTGGCCAGGCTGGTGTCAAACTCCTGACCTCAAGTGATCCCCCCACCTCAGCCTCCCAAAGTCCTGGGATTATAGGCATGAGCCTCCACACCTGGCCTTCAGCTCAGTTTGAATTGGAAAGTTGTTTTTTTTTTAAACTATTGAATTTTGAGAATTCTCTATATCTTCCTGTCTTAGTCCATTTTTATTGCTATAAAGGAATATCTGAGGCTGGGTAATGTATAAAGAAAAGAGGTTTATTTGTCATGGTTCTGCAGGCTGCACAAAAAGCATGGCACCAAAAACTGCATTGGGTGAATGCCTCAGGCTGCTTCTGCTCTTGGAAGAGGATGAAGGGGAGCTGTTGTGTGCAAAATCAGATGGCCAGAGAGGAAGCAAGAGAGAGAAAAGAAAGGGCCAGGCTCTTTTTAACAACCATGTCTCATGGGAACTAAGAGTGAGGACTCATGCATTCCCTCTGAGACTGGCACCAGGCTGTTCATCAGGGATCTGCCCCCGTAATTCAAACACTTCCTACCAGGCCCCACCTCCAACACTGGGGATCAGATTTCAACCTGAGACTTGGAAGGGCCAAACCATATCCAAACCATAGCACTTCCAGGTATTAGTCCTTTGTTGGATAGGTGGTTTGCAAATGTTTTCTCCCAGTCTCATAGCTTGTCATTTTATTCTCTTAAGAGGGTCTTTCATATAGGAAAAGTTTTTCTTTTGATGACGTCAAATTTATCAGCTTTTGTTTTTATGGATTGTACTTTTGGGGTCAAGTCTAAGAACTCTTTGTATAACCCCGTATTCTGAAGATTTTCTCGTATGTTTTTTTCCCGAAAGTTCGATAGTTTTATATTTTATACTTAAATCCATGATCCATTTTTTTTTTGTTTTCTTGAGACAAGATCTTGCTCTGTTGTTACCCAGGGCTAGAGCATAGTGGCACGATCAAGGCTCACTGCAGCCTCAACCTCCAGGGCTCAAGTGATCCTCCTATGTCAGCCTCCCAGGTAGCTAGGACTATGGGTTGCACCACCACAGCTGGCTAATTTTTTTCTTTGTTTTTTTTTTTTATTTTTTGAGACAGGGTGTCACTCTGTCACCCAGGCTAGAGAGCAGTGGTGCAATCATTACTCACTGCAGCCTCAACGTCCCAGGCTCAAGCGATTCTCCTGCCTCAGCCTCCCAAGTAGCTGGGACTATAGGCGTGCACCACCATATCCAGCTAATTTTTATATTTTTTGTTGAGACAGGGTTTTGCCATGTTGCCCAGTCTTGGCACATTTAATTTTTTAAAAAGTTTTTTGGTTGGGCCTGATGGCTCACGCCTGTAATCCCAGCACTTTGGGAGGCCGAGGTGGGCAGATCACGAGGTCAGGATATCGAGACCATCCTGACTAACACAGTGAAACCCCGTCTGTACTAAAAAACACAAAAAATTAGCCGGGTGTGGTGGCAGGTGCCTGTAGTCCCAGCTGCTTGGGAGGCTGAGGCAGGAGAATGGCATTAACCCGGGAGGAGGAGCTTGCAGTGAGCCAAGATAGCGCCACTGCACTCTAGCCTGGGTGACAGAGTGAGACTCCGTTTCAAAAAAAAAAAAAAAAAAAAATCTGTAAAAATGGAGTCTATGTTGCTCTGGCTGGTCTCGAACTTCTGGGCTCAAAAGATCCTCCCACCTTGACCTCCCAACCTGCAGGAATTACAGGTGTGAGCCACTGCACCCAACTTCGTGATCTATTTTGAGTTAATTTTTGTATAAGGTGTGAGGTTTAGGTCAATGTTCATCTTTCAACTTTTAATACTAGTTGTTCCAGCATCATTTGTTGAAAGGCTGTTTGTGATGTTTTGAGTTGGCTAGCTCCTTGATATCACCTAAATCTTATCAGTAGTCCATTTCCAAGCTTCATTGCAAGATGACTTGCCAATCAACTAATCAAGCTTGTCATTAGACAGAAAAATCTCTTTCCTATTAATGTAGAGTATAAGGGCTGAAAGTTCAGGTTTTGGAACCAGTTCCTGGGTTTTTAAAACTAGCCCTTCTGCTTATGAAGTAACTTCGTAGCTTAAAACAACTGTCTGTTTAGGTCACAATTCTGTGGGATGGTATTTTGGACTGGGCTCAGCTGCACAGTGGTTCTGTGTCTGTGTCAGGTCTCAGATTGACTTAGGGCTGATTGTTGGGGATGAAGGGGCCTCTGCTGGGATGATACATCATGTACATTCCCTGTGGCTTCTCATTCTCCAGCAGGCTGTTCATTGCTGCTTTGCATGATGCTTGCAGGGTCCCCAGAACAGGAAGCATGGTAGCTACAAGTCCTCTTGAGATGTAAACTCAGAATTTATGCACTGTTCCTTCTGCCACATTTGTCAAAGCAAGTTACGGGGCCAGCTCAAATTTAAGAAGTTTGGAAGATTGACTCACCTGTTAATGGAGAAGCTGCAAAAGGATTGTGGCCATTTTTGTAATCTGGCAATGCTGGTAAATTACTCAGTTACTCTGAGCATCAGTTTCCTTATTTATAAAATGGGGATAATAATAATAATGAACTCATAATAATACCTAACTTATGAGGCTTAATTCATGAGAATTCAGTAAGATGATGATGATGATGATGATGATGATGATGATGATGATGATGAAGGTAGAATATGGAAAAGCTCAAACTATTTTTCCTCTGCTCTCACTCCATAACAACAATCAACACAGAAGACTTCTGTGACCAAATGTACGGGGTTGCAGTGGACATCAGTTGGGTATCCTCCAATTCAATTCTGACACTGTCTCCCTGAGGACAGCCCACAGGTTGAGGGCTCAGTCCCTCAAGATCATCCCCATCTTCCTAGTAGTCCTGAGTCCAGGCTTCTGGAACTTCTGACTGACTGGCTTCAAGTTGGGGTTCCCACAGTACCCTCTTTGGGCTTGATTGATTTGCTAGAGTGATGCAGAGAACTCAGGGAAACACTTAGATTTACCAATTTATTACAAAGGAAACAGATGAAGAGATATGTAGGGTGAGGTGTGTGGTAAGAGGCACAGATCTTCCATGCCCTTCCGGGGCACGCCACCCTCCAGGAACCTCCACATGTTCAGCCATCTGGAAGCTCTCCGAACCTTGTCCCCTTGGACCTCTTATGGAGACTTATTGGATAGGCATGATTGAAGCATGGGCAACTGTGTCGAAATGTGATTGAACAAAAAGAATGTGACCTGATACTAATAGACTGAGTGGGGTAACCCAGCAAGGCCTGTCTGTTCAGATTTTGTCTTGGTCTTCCTGTGCAATATTTCTTCCTCCAAGGTATGGGGCAGGACCCTCTCTGGACTGAGGGTCTTACAACCCACAATCAAATTAGAGTCCTGCCTTGAGTAGGTGAAAGGAGTTCAGGAGAATACCAGAGAGATTCTGTTTCCTTACACCAACATTATAACAAAAGACTGTAAAAAGGATTATTAGAGTTATAAGCCAGGGACCATGGATATATATGTCATGTCACAGTAAGTAACACTTTTTTTACAGTACCAGTTAATATTCATTGAGTATTTTGTGCCAATCTCTGTTCATGCATGAACTTGTTTTATCCACCCTACCAACCTTATGAGATAGTTAAGGAGACAGCAAGTAAGTGAAGGGGTTGAAATTTCACTCAGGCAGTCTGGCTCCAGAGCCAACACTTGTCCTTTTTACTCCTGTAGAAGGTGTATGAATACTTAGCACAACTCCTGGTATATAGTAAGTGTTCACTTCAGTATTTTTATTGATACTTATCCTCATTAGACTCATTCACAGAAGGAGGCACTTTCTAATTGTTTCCCTAGGTTTTTGAATTTGGGGATTTGGATTTTTCTGGAACGTGGAGCTCTTTCACTGACCATGATAAGCAGAATAGCAGAGGGAAAAAAAAAGAAAAGAAAGGCAAAATGAGAACGCTTGTGGAGATAAACAGAGAAGGCAATGGAAGGCCAGAGAGAAAAAGAGTAGTCATGTCTGGGTCCCTTCTTGTTGAGGCCTGGAACACAGCCTCATTGGTTACTGGGCATAAGGATTCTGATGCTGAAGAAGTAAAGGGTTCTCCTCTGTCAGAGTGGTAAGAGTATAATCCGTGGCCCTTAAGAAGAACATGGACAACCCCTCCCATCCCCCACCATGCCACATCTGTACACACATACACTTCAGTATGCCCTCATACCTACTAAGAGGGGACAGATTTTCTTTGGAACTTAGAGCCTAAAAGTTCCTTAGAAGATGGGAAACAATTATTTCTCTAGAAGCCTTGAATTTTCCTAACTAATCAAGGCCTTCTCAGTTTTCAATATGGACCCTAACAAGTATAATACATTGTAGAACATTAAAAAAATACCCCCAAGAAAGGTAGGGTCAGCCTTGGAAGGTAAAAGGCGTTGTTCAATAGGAAACCCAACAAGCCCTGAGTCCCCTGAAGCTCTCCTTTGTGCTAGAACCTACTGGATTTGACTGAGTCAACTGCATGAAACCTTGTTGTTAGTGGTGACCTCCTCTTGAACCCTAACAGGCCTTATCTACTGCTGTTACCCTATTGTCTCCAGCCAGAATGACCCTTGACTACCTGGCACTGAACCATGCGACCCACCCTCTTCTCCTGATACAGACTGTGGGTTAGCCTCCTTCATGCTAGCCTGGCTGCTGGATTCTGATTGGCTTCTACCATTTGATCACCTGGACAGACATGCATGCCACTGCCTGTGTTCCTGAGGTACCCTCTCAGGCTGCTCCACCCATGCTCACCACCCTTCCAGGTCAGGATAGGCCCTCCAGCAGACAGGAGAGAAAGCCAGAAAGCCTAGATCTGACAGCTACCAAAAGGATAATACATGATACTTGGCATAGCTCTAAGCTCTGCAAACAGCCACTGATGATCCCTGGTCCAAACCCTAGGGGAGTAAGCCTGTCCCTCCACCACCCTTCTCTCTGGCAGATCAGTAAGACCAAACCATTAGGCATACAACTTTTAAACTTAAGACTTAGTTGTACATATTGCTTAGGATAATATTCCTGAAAGCAGAGTAGGGTACCTATATTATTAATAATTAACCCAATGAAGGAAAGTAGCACTCCATAAAACTTAGCCTCAACAACAAACCAGTCTTTTAGTCCCAGGGACTCCCACAGCAGGAAGAGACCGTGCACCTGTGGATCCAGCAATGCCATCGGAATCCCAGTTCCATCCCAGATGATGGCTTACCAAGCAGCTCTGTGCCAGGATCTAGATGCCAAGCCTGTTGTGAAAAAAAATCATATTATCTTTCTTATATCTCCACAAACCTGAAACATAGTCACTTGAAAAACGGTTATTTAAGGAAAGGCAGAAATGACTATTACTTCATTAGAAATGTTCTTTCTAAGATATGTGTGTGAAGGAGGCAGGAAGGGAGGAGAACCCATAGTCGCCTTCCCATTCATGAGAATAAGGTCCTGCCTGCTTTACCCACCATCAGTAGATTGTGGTTAGGGAGTGAGTTAGCGGCCAGGAGATAGTCAGAAGGTCTAAAGAAATTTTGAGAAAATTGTCTGTAATTTATAGACAGACAATATAAAGGGAAGTGATAGTGGTTCAAGTGAAGGTAGTTAACTCTCTAATAAAGTTATAGAACAGTGGTTCAAAAGGTGGCTTGGAATGATAATTTTAGTAATTCATTCAAATATTTATGAGTTGCTTGTAATGAGATATAGAAAAGTCTTTCCAGGGAATTGCTTAAAGCTTAGTCCTGCTGAGAACCTATGTTACCCACCTTGTCTTGCTTCTTGCTATCAGGGAGGAACGTCTATTTGCTTAAGTGCTCCTCTACCCCCCACTGATTGACAGCATCTTATCTCCCATGTAGGCCTCACACAGTCCATCTGCCTATGCACTCATTGTCCTTCTGTGTCAGTTACAATTATGTGCATGTAGCAGGAAACTCAGAATATTCATGGCTCAAACAGGATAGAAATGTTTTTCTCTCTTTCTCCTGAAGGAAGCCTAGCAGCCCTGCAAGAAGGTAGGCAGTCCAGGGCTTCCAGAATAGCACTGTGAAATCCATCAGGGATCCCTGCTCGTTCTTTCTTGTTGCTTCACAGTTCCTTCTAGTCCAAAATGAATGAATGAGCTCCAGCCTTCATACCCATGTTCCAAGAAGCAGTGGGGATGAAGGGAAGAAAGCATGTCTCTTTTAAGTTCCTAGAAATCCCACATAACATTTTCACATGTATCTTGTTAGCCAGACTTGGTCACATTGTCCTGTCTACCTGAGCAAGAAAGGCTGGGAAATGTAGTCTTTCGACTGGTGGCAGTGTGCCTGGCTAATACTTGGGGATCTGGTAATTGTGTGAGAAAGGGCGAATGGGTAAGTAGTAAGCAGCTAAGCAGGAGGTGTTGGGCCCATAAGAAGTATTGAAGGGGTTCTGTGCCTGACATTCAGCTTTTACTCTTTTACTTTTGGCTTTATGCAGGTATCTATTTGGCTTTTAATGAAGATTTTTTTCCTCCTTAGAAATCTTGTAGAATTTTTGTTTGTTTGTTCATCTGTACAAATTATCTGTAATCTTGTACAGTGTTACAAGAAAAAGAATCAGGAAAGAATTGGTTAGAGGCAGATGTCCAAGGGGATAGAAAGTATCTGACTCTAACATTGCTTTTCCTTCAGAAAGCTGTCTGGTTTCTTTGATCATTGTTACAGGCATCTGGATTCATCAAAGAGAGAAATTGTAGGTAGAATAGTTGAGATTTTGTATTATTCATACACTTACTTTGTTCTTTACTGTCTTTGCTAATCAGGCTCTTCCCTCTTTTTTTGTTTTTTTGAGAAGGAGTCTTGCTCTGTTGCCTGGGCTGGAGTGCAGTGGCACGATCTTGGCTCACTGCAACCTCTGCCTCCCGGGTTCAAGCGATTCTCCTGCCTCAGCCACCTGAGTAGCTGGGATTATAGGTGCCCACCACCATGCTCGGCTAAGTTTTGCATTTTAGTAGAGACGGGGTTTCACCATGTTGTCCAGGCTGGTCTCGAACTCCTGACCTCAGGTGATCCTTCTGCCTCGGCCTCCCAGAGTGCTGGGATTATAGGCATGAGCTGCCATGCCTGGCCGGCTTTTTCCTCTTTTTATAGTAATATGGTTTCTTTAGAAACACCCATATTTTTCTGATTATGAAAAAAAAATGCATCTTTACTGCATAAACTTGGAAAATCTAAGAAAGAACAAAGAAGAAAATTTAAAATTGCTTATAATCCTATCAAGAGATAAAATATTAATTTTTCATTAATTTTATCCATCTATGTGTTTATACATGTATATGAAATTAACATGTATTTTTCTACATTATTAAAAATTCTAAAAATGTTAATCTTTTTCCCTTTATCCAACATTTACTCTGCTTCTGATTTTTCTGATAATAAATAACAGTGATGAATAGCTTTCTGATAAATCTCTTTTTTAGAGAACTTTTTTAAGGCTTTCGATAAATTTGCCAACCTGTCTTCAAGAGAGATTAATTTGTTTGTACTCTTCACCAACAGCATTTGAGTGTGCCTATGACCTGCATACTGGGTGTAAACTCCATACAATACTAAAATAAGAATACGCTAGATAGAGCTTTTGATACACTGTGCTAGTTTTACACAGTTAATAATGATAATGCTATTTTTTGGTATCTAAACTGGTTAATACTGAGCATGTATATTTTTATTGAAAAACTATATTGAGTATTTCTTTTTTTCTTGCATTTGACTTTGATGGCTACAGATTGTATCCAGCCTTCAGTCATCAGACATGTTCGTTCTTGGAGCAACATCCCGTTTATCACTGTACCCCTCAGTCGTACACATGGCAAGTCCTTCGCCCACCGCAGTGAGCTGAAGCATGCCAAGAGAATCGTGGTGAAGCTCGGCAGTGCCGTGGTGACCCGAGGGGATGAATGTGGCCTGGCCCTGGGGCGCTTGGCATCTATTGTTGAGCAGGTGATTGCCAAGATAGAAATTATGCTGTACTAAAATTGGGTTTTTAAGTCGCTAGTTCAGATTAGGTTTAAGTTGCTCATCAACTTAAAAAAATAATTGTGATTTCAGTGCAGTAGATTTAACCCAATGTGAAAACTGTTTCCCACTGTAGACGCCAGTGAGAGACGACATCTTAGGGCAAGAAAATGGGATGTTAAGGAGTAGGGGTGATTTCATGCAGTTCATGTCTCAGACTTCTTAGTGATAAAGAGCTGTTTCTGTCAGAGATTCTTAGTTCTGACTACGCAGTAGAATCATCTTGGGCCTGGAGATGCTTGGGCTTCACACCTAGCCATTTAAGAAGTATCTCTGGGATGAAGCAGCTGTGTTTGTTTGTTTTGAGAGGATCTCACTCTGTCACCCAGGCTGGACTGTTGTGGCATGATCATGGCTCACTGCAGCCTGGACCTATCGAGCTCAAGTGATACTCCCACCTCAGCCTCCCGAGTAGCTGCAGCTACAGGCACAAACCATTATGCCCAGCAAATTTTTGTATTTTTCGTAGAGACAGGGGTCTTGCTATGTTGCTCAGGCTGGTTTCCAACTGCTGGGCTCAAGTGATCCTCCCACCTTGGCCTCCCAAAGTGCTGGGCCTGCAAACTTTTTCTGCAAGAGGCCAGATAGTAAATATTTTAGTTTCGTAGGTTATATGGTCTTTGTCTCAACTACACAGCTCTGCAGAAGCAACCATAGATAATATATAAATGAATGAGCGTGGCCGTGAGCTGATAAAATTTCATTTACAAAAACCAGCAGCATGCCAGATTTGGCCAAAAGTAAAAATCCAGACATCCAGGCATCCCACAGATAAAGCAAGAGCTATTCCATGGCAGCTGAAATCTTACACTACCTTGTAATTAAATTTTCAGTTTTTAAAAAACAAGTTCCTGAGGTGTTAATATTGGGAAATTGCTAACCTGAAACTTGATACAATTTTTTTCTTATATTTTCTATTCTAAATTATCAAGCCTGAGCAACAAAGTGAGACCCTGTCTCTACAAAAATAAAATCGGTTGGGTGTGGTGACTTGCGCCTGTAATCCCAGCGCTTTGGAAGGCTGAGGCAGAAGGATTGCTTGAGCCCAGGAGTTCGAGACCAGCCTAAGCCACATAGTGAGACCCCCATCTCTACAAAAATTTTTTTAAAAATTAGCCAGGCATGTGGCACGTTCCTGTGGCCCCGGCTACTCGGGAGGCTGAGGTAGGAGGATTGCTTGAGCCTGGGAGATTGAGGCTGCAATGAGCTATGATCATGCGACTGCACTCCAGCCTTGGTGACAGAGCAAGACCCTGTCTCAAAAAGTTCTAACTTCTTGGTAGGCTGAGACAAGGGGATTGCTGGAGCCCAGGAGCTCAAGGTTGCAGTGAACTGTGATAAAGTCGCTGCACTACAACCTGGGCAACAGAGCAAAACCCTGACCACCCCCCCACCCGCCCCTGCAGAAAAAAAAAAACAAAAAACACCCAGAACAACAGCAATGATCAAACCCACCTCCCAGATTGAGTCCATCAGATAAATTTTAAAAATATTTATCAAGAGACTACACTGTGAGGGGCACTAGCCTCTCTACCCTCTCTACCTTAGAAACATAACAGTCTTTACCCTTTGCGAGCCAGAACTGGGACTCCCCACACATTAAGGTGACTGTTCAGGGCAGTAAATATCCAAATAAGTGGGCCCAAATGACAGTGAGCGATGGGTCCAGAGGTGGGAAACTCAGATGAGAGTATGGTTGTTCCTGGGGCTTCCTAGGAGAGCTGGAACTCAGCCTGGGCCTTGACAACTGATGGGATTTGCACAAACAGAGGGGAAAAGTTCCATGCTACTAAGTACACAGTGTGAGGTGCCCCTGCAGTTGTGCAATCCAGTGGTTCTGGGGAAGGGACAGGCTCTAGGAGTGTATTCCAGGTAGAGGACAGGCAGGAATGAGTATGGCATGCTGTGGGCCAGGGAGGAGACAAGCTGGAAAGCAGAGGTGGTGGTCTCATTAGGAAGAATGAAAAATAAAGTGGATCATTCCATTAGGCAGAGCTCTGAAGCCAACTAGGTGAGTTGGAGTTCAGTCTCAAAAGCAGGCTGAAGATTTTGAACGGAGGAGAAACTTGATGAAAACGGTAGGAAAAACCTGGTAAAGGTTTGCGTAGGTTACCAGCTTTCTTTCTAGGGCTGCGTGTGGACCTAATGGAAGAGCTGTCTCCATCAGGGCCTGACTAATAGACATCTTATCATGTCAGATGGACTCAGGAGCCAACTTAAACTGGCTTCCACTGGCCATAAATGGGATGATGTAAACATCAAGAAAGGGAATCACAGCTGGGCACAGTGGCTTACACCTGTAATCCCAACACCTTGGGAGGCCAAGGTGGGCAGATCACCTGAGGTCAGGAGTTCAAGACTAGCCTGGCCAACATGGTGAAACCTCATCTCTACTAAAGATACAAAAATTAGCCAGGAATGGTGGCACCTGCCTGTAATCCTAGCTACTTGGTAGGCTGAAGCAGTAGAATTGCTTGAACCTGGGAGGTGGAGGTTGCAGTGAGACAAGATCGCACCACTGCACTTCAGCCTGGGCGAGAGTGAGACTCAGTCTCAAAAAAAAAAAGAAAAAAGGGAATCACTGCACAATACAACAAAATATGTTTAAATCCATGAGTTCATAATTATACTTAAAAAAAAAACTTCATTGGCCATTTTTGGAGGCCACTAGAGAAGCTACTCATATTGAAAATGGATGAGTAAAGGGGAAGAGACACACATTTGTCCTGCTTTTCATAGACAAACTGTACCTCAGGGTAACCAAATAGTTGGTAAAGGAGAGTTTCCCTTTTGGAATTATTCCAGATTATAAATGACGAAGGAATCATTGAGTTAGAGTGTCAGCATTTTGCATCTCCTAATGGAATAATGGATCTTGGCAATGATCATCAACAGATGCTAACATCACAAAAAGAAAGATAACCAGGCATTATGTATCCCCTTGATGAACATGTACACCACAACTTATAAAGACTTGTTGGGGAAAAAAAAAAAAGCCTTCATACCAAACAGCAGTTTATAGGGTATACAAAGAGCAGTATTAATACCATAAGGACACAATTGGGAAAATGTAGGCTGGGAAATCCTAAAGAATAAACAACTCAGTTTAACAAAAAATTACAAGGGGGAAAACTGATGGAGAAGGGAACCCATGAATGAAAGAGACTTGAGAGACACTTCAATTAATTTGTAATGCAGGGTTTAATTTGCATCTCAATTTGAGCAAGGTAAAAAAAAATTGGAAAAATATGAACACTGGCTATTTGATATGAAGGAAATCATTGAAATATTCCAGATAATGGATTTGTGGAGAGAGAAAGACATATAATTATATATTATATATAATATATATGATTATCTTTTAGCAGTTATTACTGAGCTATTTACAGATGAAATAACATGTCTGTTGCCTGGAATTTGTATTAAAACAATGGTGAGGGTATAGAGGGGTTATTGGAGAGTGGGAAGTTGGCCATGAGAGATAGTTGGTGAAACTGGGTGGTATGTACATGGGGATTTATAATACTATTCTCAGCACTTTGGTTAAGTATTAAATTTTCTTTTTCTTTTTCTTTTTATTTATTTTAGAGAGAGGGTCTTGCTCTGTCACCTAGACTGGAATGCAGTGGTGTAATCATAGTTCACTGCAGCCCTGAACTCCAGGGCTCAGTTGGGATCCTTCTTCAGCCTCCTGAGTAGCTGGGACTACAGGCACATGCTACTTGGCTATTATTTTTTTTAATTTTTCATAGATATGGGGTCTTACTATTTTGCTCAGGCTGGTTTCGAATTCCTGGCCTCAAGCAGTCGTCCCACCTCAGCCAGCTGAAACTTTCTGTGATAAAATATTATTGTCGGGGCCAGGCACAGTGGCTCACACCTGTAATCCCAGCACTTTGGGAAGCCAAGGTGGCTACTCAAGGGGCTGAGGTCAGGGGGTTGCTTGAGTCCTGGAGGTCAGGGCTACAGTGAGCCATGATTGTGCCACTGTCCTCCAGCATGGGTGACAAAGCAAGACTGTGTTTCAAAAAAAAAAAAGTTATTATTGTTTTAAATCATGGTTTATCATAGCTGTTTGTTAAACAGCTGGACCAGTTAAAAGGTTTCAGACATCAGAAGGAAAGGACAGTTTAGGAATATTGACTTTATTACATCTTGAGTCTTTAATTTTTTCATGTAGGTCTGCTTAAGGTAGGAAACAAAGTGACCGCATTTGGTCTTGGGCAGACAGAGCAGAACAAGGTCAGCATGTGCCCCTGGTGTAGGCAGAGGCAACCCATAGGATTAGACATGCCACCAGAACAGCCTCCTTTACCCGGGTTAAGCCTTAGAACCTGAGAAGCCATCTACTGAGTCTGCGTTGCATTTCCTACCTGCGGACTTTTATTCTGGGCTTCATTTCTTGGAGGAACTAGGCCTTCTGCATTACACACTCCCTGCAAATATTAGGTTGGCACAAAAGTAATTGTGGTTTTTGCCATTACTGTCAATGGTAAAACTGCAATTACTTTTGCACCAACCTAATACAGTCAAGTCCTATAGATGTCAAACTTGGCTACACACCAGAATTTCCTCATTAAAAATGTCTTACTTAGGCCAGGCATGGTGGCTCATGTCTGTAATCCCAATGCTTTGGGAGGCCGTGGCAGGAGGATGGATTAAGACCAGAAGTTTGAGGCCAGCCTGGGCAACATAGTGAGACTCTGTTTCTACAAAAATGTGTTAAAAAAGAAAAATTAGCTGGGCATGGTGGCATGAGCCTGTAGTTCCAGCTACTTGTGAGGCTGAGGCAGGAGGATCACTTGAGCCTAGGCAGCCAAGGCTGCAGTGAGCCACATTCATGCCACGGCACTCCAGCCTGGGCGACAGAGCAAGACTCTGCCTTAAAAAAATTTTTTTCTTAGGGTGTTGTTGTTGTTGTTGTTGTTGTTGTTGTTGTTGTTGTTGTTTTTGAGACAGCATCTCTCTCATTCTATTGCCCAGGTTGGAGTGTGGTGGTGCGATCATGGGTTACTGCAGTCTTAACCTCCCTGAGCTCAGGTGATCCTCCTACCTCAGCCTCCCAAGTAGCTGGCATGCACTACCATGCCTGGCTAAATTTTGTACTTTTTGTAGAGATTGGGTCTTGCCATGTTGCCTGGGTGGTCTTGAACCTCCTGGGCTCAGGCATTGTGCCTGCCTTGGCCTCCCAAAGTGCTGGGATTACAGGCATGAGCCACCATGCCCAGCCAATTGTTTTAATTAAAAAATAAATTAAAATGTCTGATTTTTGTCTGCCACCTGCTAAATAGAAATTTGAGACAGGATGTAGGAATCTGTGTTTTTACCAATCTGGCTGATTCTTCCAGAGCCAGCCACATGCTGGTTCATAAACCAGCATTTGGGATCTACTCGATAGCCCACCCTACCTCCATCCCTTGTGAAGAGATGAAAGAGACAGTACGGTAACTTACAGTCCCCTTTCCTTTCTCAATGCCCAGGTATCAGTGCTGCAGAATCAGGGCAGAGAGATGATGCTGGTGACCAGTGGAGCCGTAGCCTTTGGCAAACAACGCTTGCGCCATGAGATCCTTCTGTCTCAGAGCGTGCGGCAGGCCCTCCACTCGGGGCAGAACCAGCTGAAAGAAATGGTGAGTGCTGCTTCCCCACACATTGAAATGGATCTTCAGGTCTTCTTCCCTCATTCCCTACCACACCTTGTCTCATTGGTATATTACAGGCAATTCCAGTCTTAGAGGCACGAGCCTGTGCAGCTGCCGGACAGAGTGGGCTGATGGCCTTGTATGAGGCTATGTTTACCCAGTACAGCATCTGTGCTGCCCAGGTGAGAGGCTGGGCTTTGAAATGGGTGTGGGACCTGTGAGGGTGGTTGTTGTGGAACAAAGGGGTCTGGAGCCAGACTATTGGAATATGGTGTCAGCTTCATCACTTGCTACTTGAGATCTGAAGAAAGTTTCTTTTCCTTTTTGTGCCTCAGTTTCCTCATCTGAAAATGGGGATAATATCAGTGCCTATTTCAGATAATTTTTGGAAGGGCTCAGTGAGAAAATATATGAAAAGCATTTAGTATAGTGTTTGGTACATAATACATTGTCAGTAAATATCAGTTCTTGTTACACTAATAACTTAGGATTCCAAGTGCTAACACTTCTGAAGACAGAGAAGTTAAATGTCTTTATTTCACTGGCTTCTTTGATTTCAGGTGGCTTGCTTCTCTTTGCACCTGGTTGGTTGCCTTTTATAGCAGATATTTATTAAGCTTTGAAGGGAAAGAGGAATGCTGGTGATTGGTTGGTTTTTCACTCATTCAGCAAATATTTATTGAGCACCTATGGTGTACCTAGCAGTCTTGGGCATTGGGGATACTGTGGTGAACAAATCAGACATGATTCCAGTCCTCATGGGACTTACGAATTTTTGGTGGCTACCCCTAAATGTTCTAGAACCTTCTTTCTACATTGTTTCATTTTTACCTAAATCTCCTGAATTTTTTTGAATTATATTCTTAATCAACTGTACAACTACACACTAGAGACATCTCAATAACAGTCACTTCAGGAAACAACTGAAAAAAAAATCTAACTCCCAAATTATTTTATTTTGAAATTCCTTTACCTGTAAAGATGTAAAATAGCTGTTATTTTATATTATGGATATTATTTTACATGTACACTACATGCACAGATGTTATTTTACACAGGTGATATTGTTATATATACATATATTGTTTCAGGTTTTGCTTCTTCATTTCCTGTTACTTTTTTTTGTTTCTCCATCATTTGCCTGTTTGTACCCACAGTGATGTTCTGGTATTACACCAGAGTGTCCTCAAGTCAGTGAGGTAAAACAGAAAGGCACGGACTTGTCCCATTGCCTATGGCTGGGGACCCC
This sequence comes from Homo sapiens, assembly GCF_000001405.40. Taxonomy (NCBI): domain Eukaryota; kingdom Metazoa; phylum Chordata; class Mammalia; order Primates; family Hominidae; genus Homo; species Homo sapiens. Next base: position 95,636,025 of record NC_000010.11, on the reverse strand, counting down.
ACTTTCTGTAGTCTTAGCTTTTTTTCTGTTAGTATAAATACAGTATAAATCTCTATTTATATCACTCTTCTTTATTATTTGGTTTCTCTTCACAGTCCAATGACAACTTTGGTCTTTAATTTTTTTAAAGTGCCTGGAGCCAGGTGAGGAAGCTCAAGTCAGGGAGCTATGGTTTTGCTTTGGTTTGGTTTTTCCCAGGGATGAAACCTTTTGAGAGTTTGTTTTTGTTTTATTTTGTTTTGAATGATGGTAGCATTAAGAGTCCATGCAGCATCAGCCATTGTTTCCATTTACATTGAGTGAAAGAAGAGCCCTGCCCCCTCCAGTTCCCAACAAGCTTCAACCCCTGGGCTCTTTCCTCTCACACCTGTGTCTTCCCCCAAGGCCATCATATCTACAGAAAATATTTGCCCTTTGTACCTTTTCCTGTGGTTCCTTATTTTCTTCAGTAATCCTATATAGAAGACCATTGTCAGTGGCTTTTGAAAATTTCCAGTAGGTGGTTTGCCAGGTTAAAGACTTAAACACTTAAAACAGCTTGTTTTTTCTTCATAGAAGGGAAACTGATTTTCCCTCAACAGATTGCGCTTGTCTAAACACGTACTTTTCCCTCTTGGGACTCTTTATCTCCTACCTTCATGCTGAGATCCCCAGGCCATGTTTGTGAAGCTATTTTGGTGACAGGTATTTTTCCTGGACCTTTAGATCTCCTGCTTGTCTCTCCTACACACGGGTTTATATTAATTGTTTGATCTTTCACCATCGTGACTAGAATCTATATGTTCAGTTTGGACCTAGTCCTGTGTCCAACAGCACTAAGCTTTTCTGAAAAGGAGTTCATGATCTTCCCTTTCAAAAATATGCTCCATTTTATTTTTCCCCAAGACATCAACATTCTTATTCTCCATTCCAGCAGCTAGACTCTGGCATTTCAGAGGTACTCAACAAATTTTTTATCGAGTGAGTGAATTATTTTTCTATATGTATGTTTCCTGTGTTTTATATACCATTAAGGCTACTGTTTTATTGCTATATTCTTCTCAGTTACCATAGCCAGACCCTTAACCATCCTCACTTTGACTGTTTCAGTGCCTGCTTTCTTTACTATTTGCTTCCAGCTTTCCCTACCTCATCCTGCCCTACACAGCAAGAACGCTCTTCCGTAAACATTAGAGAGATTGCATTATTTATTGTTGAGCCTCAAGGTTTGTTGCCATTTAGTTTCTTGCTATCTCCATTCACCCATTTATCTTTTTCTCCTAAACATTGCATAAAATTCTGATTTAAGCTAGAAAGCAGAGCTGTTTACCAGCCCACACACCAGCTCTCCATTCTACCTTTGAGCACCTTATGCTCATCTCCTCCCTTGAACCAAGTTGTGTTCTGCCCCCCTTTCAGCTTGTGACCAAAGACTAACTTCCATAAATTTCTCAGACTAACCCCACATGCTCACACACAATCTTAGTTAACTCCAGTAATAGTCTGCTTTAGAGCAAGAGCAGTGACAACACAGCCCTATTCCATTTTGTCTAATACACTTTCACTCACTCACCAAATATTTAAGGGCCTACTATGGCCAGGCCCTGAATCAGATCCTAGAATACAGAGATATTTTAGAAATTGCTGGGGCACAGCGGTGTGCATCTTTAGTCCCAGTTACTCAGGAGGCTGAGGTGGGAGGATCACTTGAGAGTAGGAGTTCAAGTCCAGCGTGGACAACAGAGTAAGACCCTCTCTATAAAAAAAGAAAAGAAATTAATGGATAATCACTGATTCCCCCAGTATCCCTCTAAAATAGATACATTAATTTTCTTAATTTTGTAAATGGATGAGATTTTGGAATTTGGTAGCTCTTTGAGGATTAAAGTACTTTTGCAAGAAGTCTTGAACATTCTTAAATAAATCTTTCAGATTATTGTAATTTTTTTTATCTCTACAAAAATTGGGGCCAGGTGCAGTGGATCACACCTGTAATCCCATCACTTGAGGCCAGGAGTTTGAGACCAGCCTGGCCAACATGGCGAAACCCTGTCTCTACTAAAAATACAAAAATTAGCTGCGTGTGCCTGTAATCCTAGCTACTTGGAAAGCTGAGGCATGAGAACTGCTTGAACCCAGGAGGTGGAGGTTGCAGTGAGCAGACATTATGCCACTGCATTACGGCCTGAGCGACAGAATGAGACCCTGTCTCAAAAAAAAAAAAAAAAAAAAAAGAATTGGATAGCACCCAGATATGTGTATTTCATTCTAATCTTCTAATCTGTGTGGGGCCCCAGAAACCTAAAGTTTAACTCCCCTGCTCTTAGCGTCTTTTGTATACTGGGAAGTTTAGCGTTTTTCTCCCTCATGCATTTTCCATCTATTTAATCCTTTTAGATTTTGGTGACCAATTTGGATTTCCATGATGAGCAGAAGCGCCGGAACCTCAATGGAACACTTCATGAACTCCTTAGAATGAACATTGTCCCCATTGTCAACACAAATGATGCTGTTGTCCCCCCAGCTGAGCCCAACAGTGACCTGCAGGGGGTAAATGTGGGTAAAGTATTTCTAAGGGTTTAGCATGCTGGAGACACTAACACCATGCTATGCTGCATGCACTAACACCAGAAGTTTGGCATAAACAAGATGGAAAAGTTGTGAGAGAAACTTGTCATGGAGCAGTGACTGCATAAGCTCTTCTGAACTCGTGGTTGCATTCAACAGGGTGAGGTGCTATAGTCACTGAAGATGGTGCGATGAGCATGGCTTGTATATTTCAGTGGCTAGAAGACTGCATGTTTGGAAAAAGGATTGCCAGTAGACAGTGTGTTCTGCAGACAGAAGGGGCCTGCAAGAGCCGTCATCTACATATTTGGGTTCATTGGTTTTGCCTGATCCTAGCTTGGTTTTGCCTGAGCTTGGCTGTGTTCTTCCATGAATTTCTTTTTGGACTGCTTAGCTCACTCACTTATGACTTTTTAATCTGCATTCTAGGTTATTAGTGTTAAAGATAATGATAGCCTGGCTGCCCGACTGGCTGTGGAAATGAAAACTGATCTCTTGATTGTTCTTTCAGATGTAGAAGGTACAAAGTAATGCTTTTTTCCTTTATCTGCCCTTTGTTTTAAATGCTACATATGTGAGCACATGAGTTTCCCTCTTTCTTTGAGTCCCTCTGATGTTTTTTTGCTATAGATCATTAGCCATATGTTCTGACAAAGGGCTTTTATGACTCAAAACAGGGTGGGTGAGTCTAAGAGATGTCATTTGAATCCTGAAATGTTACTTCCAGGTGCTTTCAGTTGTTTTCCTTAAATAACAGCTTTATGGAGATGTAATTCACATACCATACAATTCACTTATTTGAAGTTTACAATTCTGTCCTGGCGTGGTGGCTCACACCTATAATCCCAACACTTTGGGAGGCCAAAGCGGGAGGATCACTTGAGCCCAGGAATTCAAGATCAACCTGGGTAATATAGTGAGTCCCTGTTTCTACAAAAAATAGAAAAGTCAGCTGGACATGGTGGTATGCGCCTGCGGTTCCAGCTACTCGGGGCTGAAGCAGAAGGTTCACTTGGAGCTGGGAGTTCCAGGCTGCAGTGAGCTGTTATCGTGCCACTGCACTCCAGCCTGGGTGACAGAGCGAGACCCTATCTCAAAAATAAATAAATAAATAAAAGTTTACAATTCAGTGATTTTTAGTATATTCACATAATTGTGCAACCAAAACCACAGTCATTTGTAGAACACTTTCCCTTTCATCACCCAAATAAGAAATTCCATAACCATTAGCAGTCACTCCCCACTTCTACCCAAACTCCCCATCCCTAGGCAGTCTCCAGTATATTTTCTGTTTCTATGGATTAACCTGTTCTGGAAATTTTATTTAAATGGCATCATATACTATGGTGGCCCTTTGTGACCGGCTTTTTTCACTTAGCATGTTTTCAAGGTTCATCCATTTTACAGCATGTATCAATACTTCATTTGTTTTTATTGCTGAATAATATTCCACTCTGTGGATGTACCATGTTTTATTTATCAGTTCATCTATTGATGGACATTAGCTGTGAACATTCATGACACGTTTTTGTGTGAACATGTTTTTATTTCATCTAAGAGTGGAATTGCAGGGTCATATGGTAACTCTGTTTAAAAGACTTTTGAGGAGCTACTAGACTGTTTTCCAAAGTAAGGCCCCTTGTACCATTTCACATTCTCACCAGCATTGTATGAAGGTTCTAATGTGTTTACATCATTGCTGTTATTCAGTTGTTTTTTTTTTTTTTTTTTTTTTTGAGGCAGAGCCTTATCCTGTCACCCAGGCAGGAGTGTAGTGGCACAATATCGGCTCACCGCAACCTCCACTTCCCAGGTTCAAGCGATTCTCCTGCCTCAGCCTCCCGAGTAACTGGGATTATAGGCACCTGCCACCACACCTGGCTAATTTTTGTATATTTAGTAGAGATGGGGTTTCACCATTTGGGCCAGGCTGGTTTTGAACTCCTGACCTTGTGATCCACCTGCCTCAGCCTCCCAAAGTGCTGGGATTACAGGTGTGAGCCACCGCGCCCGGCCTATTCAGTTGTTTTTATCTGCCTTTTTTATTATAGCCATCCTAATGGGTGTGAAGTAATATCTTACTGTGGTTTTGATTACTTTCAGTTTTTAATGTAAACCATGGGACAGATTGTGGATTTTTTTTGTTTTTGTTTTTCCTTTGTTGGGACAGATTGTTTTAAGTTGGAGCCACTGTAGAAGTCTAGGCTATCTGGGTACCATATTCTTATATGTTACTCTGTTCTTCTCTGCTGTTCCCTTCTTCCTGGAGGGGCCACTCTTGGCTCTAATATGTCTTTCCATTCACTCCTCTCAAGCTTTCTTAAGCTATTTCCATTTCACAGTCTGACCCATAAGAAATATAGTAGCTGTGTCCAAAATCTAGGATTCCAAAAGTCCCCTGTTAACACTCCCAGAAGGTTAGAAAACCTCTACTTAATTCCCAGCCCACATCAAGGCAGGTTAACATGGCAGGACCTGTTCTCTGTTTTACGCTCAAGCAGTTGTGAGGTAAGGGCAGGGACTACCTAGTGGAGGCAGGGGCAGACATAGATGAATTGATCTGTCTCTGCCCATGTGGAAAGTCAGAGATACGACACCTACATGTCAATATCTTTACCTGTAAGAAGTCTTAGTCCTGTGTTATCCACTGTAATTTGAAGTCCCAGGATAGGAACAGGTAAGTTGGGGTAAGTGTGAGCCACCCTGGAGAAAAAAGGCATTTTGGTTCATCAACAGGTTTTCTATTTATTCATTCTCCCCACCCCCCTGAGATGGAGTCTTGCTCTGTCACCCAGGCTGGAGTGCAGTGGCATGATCTCAGCTCACTGCAACCTCCGCCTCCTGGGTTCAAGCGATTCTCCTGTCTCACCCTCCCTAGTAGCTGGGATTACAGGTGTGCGCTATCACGCCTGGCTAATTTTTGTATTTTTAGTAGAGAAGGGGTTTCACCATGTTGGCCAGGCTGGTCTTGAACTCCTCACCTCGTGATCCTCCTGCCTTGGCCTCCCAAAGCACTGGGATTACAGGCATGAGCCACGGCGCCTGGCCAATCAGCAGGTTTTTATTGAATTTCTAGCATGAGCACATAGTGTGCTAGGTGCTTGATAAATGTAATTTATTCAATCTTTATAGCAACCCTACAAAGTAGGTAGTGGGTAGGCTAACCCAGTTTTACAGATGAAGAAATTAAAAATTAGGTTCAAGCTGGGCACGGTGGCACATGCCTGTAATCCCAGCTACTTGGGAGGGCTGAGGCAGTAAGATCACTTGAGCCCAGGAAGTTGACGCTGCAGTCAACTGTGATCATGCCACCGCACTGCAGCCTGAGTGACAGAAACAGAGACCCTGTTGGGAGAGGGGGGGGAAAGAAGAAGAAATATTTTTTTTAGTTTAATTTAAAATTAAATTCAGATCTATTAAATGGTGTATCTGAAGTCACATAGCAAGTGCTTGACAGAGGCCAGTTTCAAATCTGAGTCTGTTCAATTAAAAAAGCTACACTCTTCCTTCTCTCTTATACTGCTTGACAAGGTAAAAAAAAAAATGTAAGGTTTTGAGATTAATTTATAAAACCCAGTTTGAACAAGACTCTAGCAAATCGTTTTGATGCAGCTTCAAGCACCAAAATCGGGTCATTGGTAGACTGGCATTCTTATTGTGATTATCCTAATTCATTTTCTACTGAGTGTTGATTTTTTAGAACAGTATCTGAATTTTAACTATGCTCTTGGTGGGGTAAGGGGAAAAGAGGAGTAGGCACATTATCAGAATGCTAGGAACCCCTCACTGTCTTTGGAGAAGGTTTGGCTAGAATTGTCCAATCTTTCCTGTACTAATATATGAAACTGAAACAGCTTCCAAATCTAAATCTGTGATCTCATAGCACTGTATCTTCTGGGAAGATCCTAACCCTAAATCCTGGAGAGTTGTGGAGTAGTAGGTTGAGACTGACAGATTGTGAAAGGTTATTTTTTCTTTTCCTGTAATAATTTGCACTGCTTATAGTTGCCACTGCTTTGCTCTACAATGGGCATTGATTTCCTCACTTCCCTGATTCACTTACTCCTGCAGAGAGGTAGTATGTAGCAAGATTGTCTTAAAGATTTGGAATAATAGAGGGGAGAGGTATATTATAGCACAGGAAAAGCAGTAACTTGAGACCAGAAAAATCACTGCCCAAAATGTCCTTCAGCCAGTCCCCAGCCTCCCCATCTGTGTCCACTTTAGGTCTTGATTTAACTCTAGTTTCTCAGCCCTTTCTTACCCCCACTTTTTCTTGTCCAAGCTCCTACTTACTCTTTTTCAAAGTGAAATTGTGAGGGTTTTTCATCTTGGATTGTATGCATGTAACATTTCAGGTAACTATTTTATGTCACTCCACTTAGTTATAAAAGGGACATACACTTTATGGTAATAAATCCAGACTGAATGCCAAGAGTCACGCACTCTCCTGCTGACTGAGCCTAACCTCTACAGTGACTCACTCATAAAACTGGGAGTGTAAATTAGTGACTGTTTCAAAGGGTACTGTGAGAGTTAATGAGTACCTCTGTTGCATTTCATCCTGCTTGGAAACAGTCACATTAAACAGTATATGGCTGCTATGCTGTTTCTGCAATAGCCACCCTTCTTTTTCAGTTCTGTCCTTAAAGCACAGCATCATAAGTAGCAATGGCAGAATTAAGGACACCTTGCCAGGAATATGGGCAGGGCTAATAAATGTTGTGCTGAGGATATGGCCATGATCTGATGTTGGGAAACATTTATTTATTAAGCCAGGTTATAGAAATAATGTAAGGTGAGTCTTCCTGGAGATGTTTGTCAGTGTCGAATCCCTTGTTCTCTTTTTCTGGTTAAAGCAGGTGGTAGTGCAGTGGAATTCATTTGGATGAGTAAAGTACAGAGTGATTGGCAGGTGCCCTGGGGAGGCCTGTCTTGGAGACACTTCCATCAAAGCAGTATTACTGACTCTTGTCTATTTTTTAGGCCTTTTTGACAGCCCCCCAGGTTCAGATGATGCAAAGCTTATTGATATATTTTATCCCGGAGATCAGCAGTCTGTGACATTTGGAACCAAGTCTAGAGTGGGAATGGGTGGCATGGAAGCCAAGGTAAGAATCTGGTGCCTTAACTGCCTATAACAATTTTAAAGCCCAAACTATATTGTATCCTTTTTACTTTTGTAATTATTTGGGGGTTAATGGTTCAGATAGTAGGCACATACACACTTAAATATGTACATACCTAAATACAGATTTAATGAGTGTTGCATTCCAACATTTGGTTATGTCTGTGTATGTGGGTTTTCTCATTAATATTGTATGAACAGTGTGTTCATGTTGTAAACTCTGCAAGGGCAGGGCCTATATATTTTTCATAATTCATAAATCTCTCATTTATCAGTTCAAATATTTCTTGATGAAATCTTTCAAAAATTGTGTCCCATTAATTGTTCTTAGAAGTTATACCCGTAAGGTACAGCATCACATGTATCAACAGCACAGATGAGGACAAGACCCCCACTTAGAAAAGCCAGAAGTACTCAAGATCAGACTCTGGTCAAACTCCAGCCTGTTGGTCTACTTAATTGTTTCTAAGTTGAGGCACAGTAAATCAAATGTAGAAGTTATGAGTCCCATACTAGAGAGACTGAAGAGAGAACAGACTGGAAACAAAGGATAGGTTGGTTTACCTTTAAGTAACACAGGCCAAGGTTGAGCTGGAAAGTGTGTGAACTGTTATGTGTTTTCAGAGCTTCTAAGCTTTTAAAAACATTCTCTCATATACTTAAGTTGTTCAATATCAACTTGTATTTTATATCTTTTTGCAAGTTTAAAATGTGGGTGAATAGGTCTGAATCTCATCTTTACTGGATCTAACCTGTCTCATTAGGTGAAAGCAGCCCTCTGGGCTTTGCAAGGTGGCACTTCTGTTGTTATTGCCAATGGAACCCACCCAAAGGTGTCTGGGCACGTCATCACAGACATTGTGGAGGGGAAGAAAGTTGGTACCTTCTTTTCAGAAGTAAAGCCTGCAGGTAAATAGTTCTTCATAAGGTCCCAAGGCCTGTGATGGGAACTAGTGACACCTGGCTTAGTTAGAGATCACAAAATTGATATGCTAATATTATGAAATATGGCATTGTTTTGAACGCTATTTGCAAAATCGGATTTTGCTTTGCTTTTGTGAAATTCTATCTAACCTGCCTATCTAGACCTATTCTCTGCAAAATCACTCGGTTAAAATATATAAGCATTGATTTTCTCAAGAAACATTTGCTAGGCCTATGTTAGATGCCAAGTGCTAAATAAGCACTAGAGATGCAAAGATGCATATGATACAGTATGTGCTCTCGAGTGTTCACAAAGGACAGAATTGCCTCATAATCTGCATTCAGAAGTGTAAACACATTAAAAAATATCGCCAAAGTGGAATTCAGAAGAATTCTAGAAAACAAAGTATATTGTCTGCCCCAGAAATACAGGCAAGTTCTTATGTTTATACCTGAGTGAATCTGGCACATTCTTTTGCTATTTTATTGGTCATGGTGATCCCCTGTGTGAAACAAGCATACCAAGACATCATGTGTTCCTTCTGTGGGCGTGATGAGCTTGTGCATGTGCTGGTAGTTCTCTCTCTAGTAGTAGAACTAGAGAGAGAACTAAGGTGACCATGACCTGATATTTGCACATATTCTTGCAGGCCCTACTGTTGAGCAGCAGGGAGAAATGGCGCGATCTGGAGGAAGGATGTTGGCCACCTTGGAACCTGAGCAGGTAATAACCTTAGGTGATAATATTGTTATAGTTTTCAGAGTGAGTCATGCTGTGTAGTTACAGGAGTCAAACCTGCTGACTCCATCTTTATTCCTAGTGAGCCACAGAGTTATCTGAGTTACAAGTCTGATTCAAATTTGCTCTGCCTTTTTTCTTTTTCTTAATTTTATTTTCCGTTTTATCTTTTATAGACAGAGGTCCAAGATAACTTTTCATCACTATGATGTTTTGATCAAGAGCATCATAAAAATGATGAGATTAGAAAGGTTACCTAATTCTGCCACATACTGGGCATGGAAATGTGGGAAAATTACTTATCCCACCCCATTCCAAATCCCCTGACTTGCCTAGAAGATGGGAAGCTCGAGAGCCTGCTCCATAGTTGGTAGCCCTGACCTGTCTGGCTTGAATTAGTCTAAGTAGCAGACATGATGAGGCTGGAAGTGGTGAGGAGGTCAAGTAGAAGCTGGGAGCTAGTCCCCCAGGGGTTATGTTGTCAAGGACGGATTTGAGAGTGAAGATGTGTGTGGGTTTATACTAGTGAATCCTTTGGCCTGAGAAAAGAAAAAGTAACTCCAATGGCAGAGAAAGGAAAGCAAAGGAGGAGCCTAGCTTCCCTTTCAAACCACTTCCCTCTGCTCCTCCAATAATCAGCATACTGATTTGCCACATTTCCTCATCTAGCAGGGTCAGGTTTGGGGTGTCTTCAAGTACCTAGGACTGAATTTTTTCACTTTGATTAAATGCATTAAATAAATAATTTACAAGGAAGAACCAGATGTAAAAACTTACCTGGACATAAACTAACTAATGATATTAAATATGTAAGACTCTATGTAACATGTTAATTCAAAGTACTGGCCCCTGTACAGTTACATAATCTCCTACAGATTATACAGTCTCCTACAGATTGTATCCATCATGCCCCTTCCCCCCCTTTTTTTTTTCTTATGACTCCTGATTATTACTATTAGCCATGGTTTGCTAATTATAATAATCAGGAGTCATAAGAAAAAAAAAGGAGGAAAAGTAAGAAGTGACCTAGAGGTTGGCAGTGAGAGAGGAAGGAAGAAATAAGGGGAGCAGTGGTGGGAATAAGTGATGGGAAGTCAGGAGATTTCAACTGGTGATGACCGTGGATGTGGGAGCAAGGCCTGGCACTCTCAGAAGAGTAGGTTTAAAAACTGTGGTGTGCATTCTTCTTGGATTAACATCTCTGTTTTTTTAATGGTGTACCTTTCTTCTAGAGAGCAGAAATTATCCATCATCTGGCTGATCTGTTGACGGACCAGCGTGATGAGATCCTGTTAGCCAACAAAAAAGACTTGGAGGAGGCAGAGGGTAAAGACCAGGCAATTTAAAGTCAATGTTGTGGAGGGGTGTGCATTATTTTGGTTTTTAGTTTTACTAATAATTCTTATGTCTGCCTAAAGATAAGGATTTTTATAAAAGAAATTGTACATTATGTATCATTTCTATTGAGGGTAGGTGGGTGGCTGGTATTCTCCTTCCCCAAATACTTTAGTACAACCCCCAGAGGAGCTTTTTTCATTCCCCACAGGTCACAAGCTGTGGCTACTATGGCGGTCAGGACAAAAAAGAACAAGATTGAGAACCCCACTGCTTAAGACATTCAGCTAATAGCTAACATTTATTGAGGCCTTTCTCTATTGACAGGCACTGTGCTAATGGCTATGCAGTCAGGATGTCATTTAATCTTCATAACATAGTGCCTCTGAGATAGCTACTACTTATTATCCCCATTTGACAGAGAAGGAAACTGAAGCTCAGAGAAGTTGTCACTTGCCCAAATCCACATGGTCAGTGATGGACCAGGATTTAAACACAGATGGACTGTACATGTGAAAGAGTTGTAGAAATAGTTTGTGCAGCCTGTGAAGAAAGATAGCTTGTTTCTTAGTTAATTAACCAGTCTTTTGTCTTCCCTGAGTTAGCACCAGGTGCCATCCAGAAATACCCTAGAGGTGCTAATGGTAAAGTAAGATGTTGAATTCACATTGTGAACACCTAGACATGTAGAGAGTCAGGGCCCTGACTCTTTCTCCTCTTTTTCTTAATTCTGTCTTTTCCCCCTTAAAATAATAGGGATTGATTTTATGGGGTTTTGAATTTCCTTTGCATTATCTTGAACATCCATATTAATGGTGTTTCTTTCAAAGAAATTTTGCACGGTTCAACGTTACTTTCATTCCTTAAAACATTTTTGAACCATTGTTTTAGAACTTCCTCTAGAATTTACATCTCATTTTTATAGTATTACAAAACGTAAAATAGATTTTCAGAACTGGAAGAAATCTTTGATACTATCCACTCATTAATTTAAAGTAAAAGAATTAAGACCCACAGAGGGTAAACCTGTTGTTGCCCAAGGTTCCACAGCTTGTTGTTGGCAGAAGACTCCTGATCCCAGCTATACCTCTCTGAACATGCATAAGGACACATAGTGGGTTAAGAACAAAGCCGTGGGTATACATGAGCGTGGCTTAGCAATCCCAGTTCGGGGAATTTATCCTCAAAAACTATTTCTAAAGAAAATAGGTCTTTAGGCCAGGCACAGTGGCTCACGCCCGTAATCCCAGCACTTTGAGAGGCCAAGCTGGGCAGATCACCTGAGGTCTGAGTTCAAGACCAGCCTGACCAACATGGTGAAACCTTGTCTCTAATAAAAATACAAAAATTACTGCTGGGCGCAGTGGCTCATGCCTGTAATCCCAGCACTTTGAGAGGCCAAGGTGGGCGGATCAGCTGAGGTCATGAGTTCGAGACCAGCCTGGCCAACATGGTGAAACCTTGTCTCTATAAAAATACAAAAATTACAGCTAGGCGCAGTGGCTCACGCCTGTAATCCCAGCACTTTCGGAGGCCTAGGTGGGCGGATCACCTGAGGTTGGGAGCTCAAGACCAGCCTGACCAACATGGAGAAACCTCATCTCTACTAAAAATACAAAATTAGCCGGGCTTGGTGGCGCATGCCTGTAATCCTAGCTACTCAGGAGGCTGAGGCAGGAGAATCGCTTGAACTCGGGAGGCAGAGGTTGCCATGAGCCGAGGTGGCACCACTGCACTCCAGTCTGGACAACAAGAGCAAAACTCCATCTCAAAAAAAAAAAGCCGGCCGTGGTAGCTCACATTTGTAATCCCAGTTACTCAGGCAGCTGAGGCAGGAGAATCGCTTGAACCTAGGAGGCAGAGGTTGCAGTGAGCCGAGATTGCGCTACTGCACTCCAGCCTGAGCGGCAGAGCAAGACTTCATCTCAAAAAAAAAAGAAAAAGAAAGAAAAGAAAATAGCTCTTTATCTAAGGATTCTTAGAGCAAGATTTATCACACTGAAAAACTGGAAACAAGCTGAGCATTTAATAACATAGGTGTGGTTAAGTGCGTTCAGCTGTATCAAATTAATGGAATATTTAGTAGTAATTAAGATAATTTTTGCAACATGGAAAATATACTCGCATTGTGAGGTGAAAAGCTAGGATGTAACATTTAACATATACTATAATTAAAACTTTTTTTTTAGCATATGGGGAAAAGTAAAGAAAATTAATTAATTTGTATAATTGGTTGGTAGAAAGATGGTTTAATTTTTTTTTCTTAATATAAGGTCAGTTGCTTCCCCCCAAGGCAGAAATCTTTTTATTATTTTATCTTGGTGGCTATGACTGTAAAAAAAGGAAAGGGAAAATTTTTGTAATCTCAACATTGACCACAGTAATGATTTGTGATATATGATTTCAAATGGTCTTCCTGAGTATATACATGTATATATATGAAGATGTACGTACATGTTTGTGTGTGGAGAGAGGGAATCACATCATGCATACTACTGTTTTTTAAAAAAATTCTGGGCCGGGTGCGGTGTCTCATGCCTGTAATCCCAGCACTTTGGGAGGCCGAGGTGGGCAGATCACAAGGTCAGGAGATGGAGACCATCCTGGCTAACACAGTGAAACCCCGTCTCTACTAAAAATACAAAAAATTAGCCGGGTGTGGTGGCGGGCGCCTGTAGTCCCAGCTACTCAGAAGGCTGAGGCAGGAGAATGGCTTGAACCCTGGAGGTGGAGCTTGCAGTGAGCCGAGATTGCGCCACTGCACTCCAGCCTGGGCGACAGAGCGAGACTCCGTCTCAAAAAAATATAGAAAATTCTGCGTATGAGCTTGCCATAATCCTATTTTTTTTTCAGCCAAGCATGGTCGCTCATACCAGTAATCCCAGCACTTTGGGAAGTGGAGACAGAGGAATCACTTTAGCCCAGGAGTTCGAGACCAGCCTGGGCAACATAGTGAGACCCCCTATCTCTACAAAATATGTTTTAAAATTAGCCAGCCATGGTGATACGTGCCTGTAGTCCTAGCTACTCTGGAGACTGAAGCAGGAGGATCACTTGAGCCCCGGAGTTCAAGGCTTCAGTGAGCTATGATTGCACCACTGCAGTCTAGCCTGGGCGGCACACTGAGACCCTGTCTCTAAAAGAAAAAAAGGAAAAAAGTTTTCTTTTTTAAAATTCTGTTCTCCTTCCCAAAATATTTAACATTTTATTTTAGAAGAAAACATCTTTGTTGGTTCTGATTATAAAAATAATTCACTCATTATAAAAAAAATAGAAAGATAGATTATTACTATTCTGGATGCGTTCCAGATTTCTTCCCGTGCACACATATATGTGCAGTGTTTGATAAATAAGATCATATCATACATGCTGTTTTATAGTTTGCCTTTTTCGTAGACTATATCCTAGACAGCTCTCCATGTCAGTGAACCTAGATATATTATTTATAATAACTGAATTATAAACCATTGTCTGAATATTTAGGTAGAATTCAATTTCTCAGCATTACAAAAATGCCATGCTAAGTATCCTTATTACATGCCTTTCTGTTCATACAAATGATAAATTTCTGGAACTGAAATTGCTGGGACAAAGGGTATCAGGGTACACAGCTTTACATGATGCTATGTACTACCAAATGGACCCCCAAGAAAGACAGTTTAAGTGGCATGTCATTGTCTTCCCAAGTCTGTTCCTAATGCAGTCCCACATGTTCAGTAAAACATCAAGACACATCAGTTGGGCCAGGCACGGTGGCTCGCACTTGTAATCCCAGCACTTTGGGAGGTCGAGGCAGGTGGATCACTTGAGTTGAGGAGTTCGAGATCAACCTGGCCAACCTGGTGAAACCCCCATCTCTACAAAAATAAGCCAGGCCTGGTGGTGCATGCCTGTAGTCCCAGCTACTAAGGAGGCTGAGGTGGGAGAATCGCTTGAACCCAGGAGGCAGAGGTTGCATTGGGCCTAGATCATGCCACTGCACTCCAGCCTGGGCGTCAGAGTGAGACCCTGTCTCAAAAAAAAAAAAAAAAAGACACATCGGTTGGTAGCTGTAGCCTGCCAGGTCTGCTACTTTATCATATCCTCTTAATGGCTTTTCAGGGAGACTTGCAGCTCCTCTGCTGAAACGTTTAAGCCTCTCCACATCCAAATTGAACAGCCTGGCCATCGGTCTGCGACAGATCGCAGCCTCCTCCCAGGACAGCGTGGGACGTGTTTTGCGCCGCACCCGAATCGCCAAAAACTTGGAACTGGAACAAGTGACTGTCCCAATTGGAGTTCTGCTGGTGATCTTTGAATCTCGTCCTGACTGTCTACCCCAGGTGTGTATATACCCCGGGAGAATAAATACCCTGCCATTGGGGGCTGGTGTGGATATTGGAGGAAGAATATATTTTCTTTTCTTTTTTTTTTTTTTTAATTTAAGTTCTAGGGTACATGTGCACAACGTGCAGGTTTGTTACATAGGTATACATGTGCCATATTGGTTTGCTGCACCCATCAACTCGTCATTTACATTAGTTATTTCTCCTAATGCTATCCCTCCCCCAGTCCCCCACCCCCCGACAGGCCCCAGTGTGTGATGTTCCCCACCCTGTGTCCAAGTGTTCTCATTGTTCAGTTCCCACCTACGAGTGAGAACATGCATTGTTTGGTTTTCTGTGCTTGTGAGAGTTTGCTGAGATTCTCTCAAGAGAATCATGCAGCTTCATCCATGTCCCTGCAAAGGACATGAACTTACCCTTTTTTATGGCTGCATAGTATTCCATGGTGTATATGTGCCACGTTTTCTTAATCCAGTCTATCATTGATGGACGTTTGGGTTGGTTCCAAGTCTTTGCTATTGTGAATAGTGCCACAATAAACATACGTGTGCATGTGTCTTTACAGTAGCATGATTTATAATCCTTTGGGTATATACCCAGTAATGGGATGGCTGGGTCAAATCGTATTTCTAGTTCTAGATCCTTGAGGAATTGCCACACTGTCTTCCACAATGGTTGAACTAGTTTACACTCCCACCAACAGTGTAAAAGTGTTCCTGTTTCTCCACATCCTCTCCAGCATCTTGTTTCCTGACTTTTTAATGAATGCCATTCTAACAGGCATGAGATGGTATCTCATTGTGGTTTTGATTTGCATTTCTCTGATGACCAGTGACGATGAACATTTTTTCATGTGTCTGTTGGCTGCATAAATGTCTTCTTTTGAGAAGTGTCTGTTCATATCCTTTGCACACTTTTTGATGGGGTTGTTTTTTTCTCGTAAATTTGTTTGAGTTATTTGAAGATTCTGGATATTAGCCCTTTGTCAAATAGGTAGATTGCAAAAATTTTCTCCATTCTGTAGGTTGCCTGTTCACTCTCATGGTAGTTTCTTTTGCCATGCAGAAGCTCTTTAGTTTAATTAGATCCCATTTGTCTATTTTGGCTTTTGCTGTCATTGCTTTTGGTGTTTTAGTCATGAAGTCCTTGCCCATGCCTATGTCCTGAATGATATTGCCTAGGTTTTCTTCTAGGGTTTTTATGGTTTTAGGTCTAACATTTAAGTTTTTAATCCATCTTGAATTAATTTTTGTATAAGGTGTAAGGAAGGGATCCAGTTTCAGCTCTCTACATATGGCTAGCCAGTTTTCCCAGCACCATTTATTAAATAGGGAATCCTTTCCCCATTTCTTGTTTTTGTCAGGTTTGTCAAAAATCAGATGGTTGTAGATGTGTGGTGTTATTTCTTAGGCCTCTGTTCTGTTCCATTGGTCTATCTCTCTGTTTTGGTACCAGTACCATGCTGTTTTGGTTACTGTAGCCTTGTAGTGTAGTTTGAAGTCAGGTAGCATGATGCCTCCAGCTTTGTTCTTTTTGCTTAGGATTGTCTTGGCAATGCGGGCTCTTTTTTGGTTCTGTATGAACTTTAAAGTAGTTTTTCCAATTCTGTGAAGAAAGTCATTGGTAGCTTGATGGGGATGGCATCGAATCTATAAATTACCTTGGGCAGTATGGCCATTTTCATGATATTGATTCTTCCTATCCATGAGCATGGAATGTTCTTCCATTTGTTTGTGTCCTCTTTTATTTCGTGGAGCAGTGGTTTGTAGTTCTCCTTGAAGAGGTCCTTCACATTCCTTGTAAGTTGGATTCCTAGGTATTTTATTCTCTTTGTAGCAATTGTGAATGGGAGTTCACTCATGATTTGGCTGTTTGTCTGTTACTGATGTATAGGAATGCTTGTGATTTTTGCACATTGATTTTGTATCCTGAAGAATATATTTTCAATACTGGAGATAGGTTTCCCAAAGACAATTGTGTGTGTGTGAAGGTCTTTTAACCAAAAAAAAGATAATTTTTGAGACTTTATTCTCAGGTTGTTCTTGAGGTAATATACGTTCTTGATTCCTCCAGTATCCTAAAGTAGTTGTTCATATGTCCATTTTAGACCTGGAGAAACTGAACCTCATAGAAGGTAATATTCCTGTCACACCTGTAAGGTGCAACTGGGACTGGAACCCAAATCAACCTACCATACCACAGTGCAGGAGCAAATTTCCAAATATCTTAGCCTGTGGTTCACTTTGTTCTCTGACCACAAGTCTCTGTTAGCCTGCTGCTGTCATTCATGAATAACTGGCTTGGCCCATGTGAAAAGGACCCCTTTATTGTCAGTATCACTGATGGCTTCCTATAAGTACATCTGTTAGGAAAAAGAACTTTCAGTAGTTAATGGAAATTAGAATGCAACTGTCGGCCAGGCACAGTGGCTGACACCTGTAATCCCAGCACTTTGGGAGGCCCAGGCAGGTGAATCACGAGGTCAAGAGATTGAGACCATCCTGGCCAACATGGTGAAACCTTGTCTCTACTAAAAAATACAAAATTAGTTGGCATGGTGGGACCTGTAGTCCCAGCTACTCAGGAGGCTGAGACAGGGGAATCACTTGAACCCAGGAGGCAGAGGTTGCAGTGAGTCGAGATCGTGCCACTGCATTCCAGCCTTGCAACAGGGCGAGATACCATCTCAAAAAAGAGAAAAGAATGCAACCCTCTTTAAGCAAGTTGACATATCACAGCCTCTGGTTGAGAAAGCATGCGTTAAAGTTCTTGCCAAGCAGCCATGCTGGGAAATACAAGGTGTCATTAGAGAGTGGCCCCACTTTATTACCCTAAACTGCCTCCCAGAATTCTGGGAGCATTTCCCCCACTGGACTGTCCTATAGGATACCAGCTCTTCCTTTGCACTAGCCCCAAAGTCTCAAAGGGAAATTCTACTGTAAAAACAAAAAACTAGCACCTCTTTACTATAAGACATAGTTGACTGTGGAATCTGGAATGCTCTGTGAAGGGTACTCTCTGACATCCCCTAAAACCAGTGTGTTCACCAAGGGACTCCCATACCACTGAGGCCTATCCTCAGTCCCTGGCTGATGCTGGCACACTACCTCTCTGGCCACATACCTGTCTTGCAGAAATGCCCCAGTGATGACTGCCAGACTCACCTCTGCTAGTAGAAATGGGCCTAAGTCTCTCTGTGGACTGTATCCGTGAAATTTCTTTGCTACCACTCATCCATACCAGCTGATACCTCACAAGGAGCTGATACCTCATTAGCTAACTACAGCTAAGGCTCCTCATCTGGACTCAGCCCTGGATGGTTTCACAGAATCCATGAATCCTAAAAATTGTGTGCAATATTCTGTGTGTTTATGTCTGGAGAAAGTTTACTTAACTTTTGTAAGAGGTAGGATGATCAGGTCAGTGTCACTCACTCTTTGCTCTAACAAGGCAACTAGCCCTCCTCCTGGATGGTTTACGTTTTCCTCCCCAGACAGGCATGTGGGAAAAAGACTCTGTTCTCAGCAGTCTCTACCACAGCTGCCCAGGGGCTGGCAGGAGCTCTGGTCTTCTCCAGGTTCTTAGCACCAAGCACTTAGAGCTCTCAGAACAATTCCAAGGCCAGAGTAGGATGTGGCCAGAGGAGCTGCCCAGCCTCAGCCTGATCAGATGAAGCAAGTGCTTCCTTACAGAGGTGGCTGAAGACCCTGTTCTCCACGGTGGGGGGTGCCATGTGGCCCTGGCCACTTAACTCAGTTCTCTTTGCTTTATTTGTTTGTTTGCGACGGAGTCTCACTCTGTTGCCCAGGCTGGAGTGAAGTGGTGCAATCTCGGCTGACTGCAGCCTCCGCCTCCCAGGCTCAAGAAAGTCTCTTGCCTCAGCCTCCTGGGTAGCTGGGACTACAGGCACCTGCCACCATGCCCGGCTAATTTTTGTATTTATAGTAGAGATGGGGTTTCACCATGTTGGTCAGGCTGGTATCGAACTCCTGACCTCAGGTGATCCACCCACCTCAGCCTCCCAAATTGCTGAGATTACAGGCGTGAGCCACCATACCTGGCCAACTCAGTTCTCTTTGCTAATGGTGCTAAGGAAGCCATATAGTTTAGTTGCTAAAATCCAGTGGTTTGTTCTGGAGTCAAACCACCTCAGTCTGGCTCCCATCCCTGTTATTTATAAGCTGTGTGACTTCGGGGAGTCATCAGCCTCTCTGGGCTTCAGTGCCCTTATCTGTAAAGTAGGGGATAAAACAGGCACTTAATTCACTGCAGTGTTGTGAAGATGAAACAGCATAGGCCTTCTAAAATGATGAACACAGTGCTTAGCACAGAAGGAGTGCTTGTGAATGCTAACATCACTGTTGCTATTACTGTTTGTCTCCTTTGATCCACTGCTCTCCCTTTGATCTGCAGGTGGCAGCTTTGGCTATCGCAAGTGGCAATGGCTTGTTACTCAAAGGAGGGAAGGAGGCTGCACACAGCAACCGGATTCTCCACCTCCTGACCCAGGAGGCTCTCTCAATCCATGGAGTCAAGGAGGCCGTGCAACTGGTAGGTCCCTGGGAATGCACCAAGTCAGGCCCAGAGGGGCCAGATCAGGTGTTTGGGAATTTAAAGCAAAACTTAGGCCACACAGAGCCAAGACACTACTACAAGCAGACTTGACACTCCAGCAGGCCTGTGAGCCTTCAGACTTTAGGCCATTCTGCAGAGCCAGATGGGTCCTCAGTGGCTTAGGAAGGCCCCTCCCTTACAGCTGCGTCTTGGCACTATTTATTTACAAGAATGTCAATTAGACCTTCATTCTTTGGGTCACAAGGCAGCAGGAGTACCAGAACTAGAGTGTGAGGCCTAGGTTCCTGTCATTGGCAGAGTGATCTAGGGTAAGTCAGATGAGAAACTTTACAAAAGTTTGTCATAAACTGTCATGCGGTGTGTTGAGTATGAGATCATGCTGTTATCACTATTATTATTAAGGTCATCACTTTAACTGACCATTTCTCATTCTCCTCAACTGTCAAATGAAGTTTGATAATAATAGCTACTACTTGTTGAGTACCTACTATGTGCAAGGCTCATTTTATCCGTTAACTCATTTGATCGTCACAGCAGTCCCATAAGGAAAATATCATTAATTATTAGACTCATTTTCTACATTGGGAAAAAACAGATTCAGAGGTAAAGTAATTCCCCAAGAGTCACATGGTGTGTGATAGAGTTTAGATTTGGACCTAGGCTGACTCCAGATCCTTTTTTTTCTTTGGCTCATTTGCTCCAACATTCCAGGATTCTGTTGGCTACTGGGAGGATGTCTACAAACCTGCTCATTACACACTCAGTGACCAGAATCTGGTTTTTTTCTTATGCCCACATAGTGGTTGGAAAGAGCGCAGATTTTAGGGATTCAAATCCCAGCCCCACCACTTCCTAGCTTACACAGGTGCCCTCCCTCCTTTTCTTCCTATTGATGTGTAACATACGTACAGTAAAGTATACAGATCCTGTGAACCACTCTGCGACTGTTCACACACACACATGTATAACCACCAGCCGTATCAAGATACAGAACAGTCCAACATCCTGGAGGGCCCCCTTGTGCCCTTCCCAGTCAATATGTAGCCCCCTTCCCCACAAACTACTTTTTTGACTTCTGTCACATTAAATTACTTTTGCCTTTTTTTTTTTTTTTGAGACATGGTCTTGCTCTGTTGCCCAGACTGGAATTCAGTGGCACAATCTTGGCTCTCGGCTCACTGCAGCCTCAGCCTCCTAGGCTCAAGCAGTCCACCCACCTCAGCTTTCCTAGTAGTTGGGACTACAGGTGTGTGCCTCCAGACCTGACTAACTTTTGTGGATTTTTTGTTTTTTGTAGAGACAGGGTTTCACCATGTTGCCCAGGCTGCTCTCAAACTCCTGAGCTCAGGCAATCTGCCTGCCTCAGCCTCCCAAAGTGCTGGGAATGTGCCACCACGCCCTGCCTTTTGCCTATTCTTGAAATTTATATAAATGAGATCAAACAAAACACACGTTTATGTTGCCTGTCATTTGTTCGTTATGTCTGTGGCATTCATTCCCATTGTTGCATCTAGCAGTAGTTTTCTCATTTAATTGCTGGGTAGTGTTCCATTTACCTGCATATACTACAGTTCATCTTTTCTTCTCTTGATGAATATTTAGATTGTTTCCAGTTTTGGGCTATGTGGAATAAAGTTGCTGTGAACATTCTGGCACACATATATATTTGTTATAAAAGTAATATGACCATGTGGAGAAAAATTAAAAATCAAGAGAAAACAAAATGCCCATAATCTCAGTATCCTCTCACAGGCTCTTTAAGTCATTCTAATCCACATCCCAGGGTAGAAGTTGCCATCAGAAGTCATGAGAACCATGACTCCCTAGCAAGACCAACCCAACATTTCCTCAATGCTGTGAATAGAAAACCAACAGAGAAGCCACTCCCTTTTGTGATCTTCATGGCCTGGAGTAGTGTACTGCATTTAACCTCCATAGATACCCCTTTGTGCTGCTTCTGGCATTTTAAAAATTGTCTGCCCTGTATTATGGCTAGCAGTACCCTAGTGCTGCCTTCCCTACTTGATGCTGAGCTCTTTGACGGCATGCAGTGTCCTGCGTGATATGTGATGTGGAGCACAGCACCGAGTATATAGTGTTTGATAAGCATTTGCTGGACAACTTTTTGATTCCCATGATCGGGAACTTAATTTTGTTTTTAGAATAAGTTTTCACAGTGTCTCACTTAGTTCTCAGAGTGTACAGATGTTTATCTGTAAAAGGGAAGCTGCTGTTTTTATATTTTGTGTGGTCAGATGTCATCTTTATCTTTTTCTTCTTTCCTTCTAAAGGTGAATACCAGAGAAGAAGTTGAAGATCTTTGCCGCCTAGACAAAATGATAGATCTGATCATTCCACGTGGCTCTTCCCAGCTGGTCAGAGACATCCAGAAAGCTGCTAAGGGGATTCCAGTGATGGGGCACAGCGAAGGGATCTGTCACATGTATGTGGATTCCGAGGCCAGTGTTGATAAGGTCACCAGGCTAGGTGAGCTGGATGGGGTCTTCTCTTTCACAACGGAGAAATATTACATCCTCTGCAGCTCTGGATCATGTCAATGGAAACAATTCTTTGCTCATCTTCTTTCAGTCAGAGACTCTAAATGTGAATATCCAGCTGCCTGTAATGCTTTGGAGACTTTGTTAATCCACCGGGATCTGCTCAGGACACCATTATTTGACCAGATCATTGATATGCTGAGAGTGGAACAGGTAAGAGTTCCATAGGACTAGTACATTACTTCCTGTCTTAGAAGCCTGTGGAATTAGACCAGGCACAGCCATACCATATAAGGCAGTTTAAGAAACAATATTTTTTAATATCTTCTGTGTACAAAGTTCCATGCTAAGTAAAGTGTGAGTAAAACACAACCCCTGCCCTCTAGTAGTCGAACCAAACCAATACACAAATAGCTTTATTACAAAGTGGAATGTGTTGTGTGCTAAAGAGGGTTCAAAGGTAAGACAGACCACATGGCACTATGCTGACTGAACTGTTTCTGGCAACCTTATATATGCAAGGTGTTCCCAAGCATATATTATTTTTTGGATTTGATTTGAAAAGATGGTGCAGAAACGTTTCAAACCAAAAACTTATGTACATTCACTGCCTCCCCCCAGTGTCTTTGGTTACCAATATTAGTGTACTTAATGCAGTGATATTTGGGATTCAGTAATTTGTAGAATGTCTCCCTGGATTATGTTTTTACTATATTGTTAAGGTTGTAAACAAACCAAAAGCCAGTAAGTTTCAAATATAAAGTTGTGCTGTGTCCTAAATTCATGCCTGCAAGAAAATATAATAGATGCCCTCAAGGCAAAAATGGACAATCTGTTAAACTCTCTGCATGGATGCATTTTAAGCTTTAATTTCTGATGTCATAGTACACTTTCAGAGTTATATAAACCAGCATGGCAGTAGAGAAGGTGCTTGTTGGCCTTGGTTGCTTTGACTCTGAACATATGTCTCTTCCCTTCCATCCTTTGACTGGAAAGGAAGGCTCCAGTTAGCTTATAAATGTGGCATGGTCCCAGTGAGAACTGGAAAGAATTGTTTTAAAAATGAAACTGTACTCCATGGATTACAAGGAAGTTAGATCACATGGTCATTCATGTTCGGGGACCTTACTTTACTTTGGTAAGGAAGCCTGTTGATTGGGCACCTGTGTTTGCCAAGCACCACAGTGAACTGGATTAGACAGGAGGAAAGCTCTCCTTTAGCCAGGACTAAATCCCTCCCCAGACCTAATTTGAACACACAAGTGGTATCCTCAGTCATTAAAATGAGGATGGCCTTGAAATTCCAAATCAAAATGAGTCACTGTGTGTACTTCATACAGCACTTTTGGATGGCAGAAAGTAAAGCTAGAAGGATGACTTGCACAGGGATGGGGTTCCAGTCCCCAAGGAACACAGAAGAAGTGAGATCCCAGATAAGAAACAATGGCAGGGCCTCGGGAATCATGAGGATAAGGCAGACACCACTTATAACTTGAGCCAAGGCAAAAGCTTGATCCCAAAGAATCAAGGCATGAACCCTGTCCTGGGGATGTCTCAGAAAACAAGGTTTAAGTGGGATCCAGCTTGTGATTGGGATCCTCGGTGACCAGCCTCAGAATCCTTAAATTCCTCTAACCAGCAGCAGGATTAGAGCCAGAGCCTGGGGCTGAGCTGAACCTAGAGGTGGGGCCAGACTGACGCAGTTGGAAATCAAATGAGTAGCCACAGTTTCAGGTGCTGAAAGCACCTGACCAAGTACTGCTTACCTCTAAAGCAAACCTGGGACTTCGCTAGGGTACAGGGAGTAGCAATGTATATGTGGCACCTCCCTTTTTCCACACGAGTCTAGTGCCTAGGTACCATATGCAGGAACTGGGATCTTTATTGTCAAGTATTCATTTTAGGAAAATGCCAGAAGTCAAGCCCTTGTGTTGATAACCCACTAAACGCCTTGCACATTCTTTTTTATTCTTTTTTTTTTCTTTGAGACGGAGTCTTGCTCTGTGCCCCAGGCTGGAGTGCAGTGGCACAATCTTGGCTCACTGCAACCTCTGCCTTCCAGGTTCAAGCAGTTCTCCTCCTGCTTGAACCTCCCAAGTAGCTGAGATTACAGGCACCTGCCACCATGCCCTGCTAATTTTTTTAGTAAAGACGGGGTTTCACCATGTTGGCCAGGTTGGTTTTTGAACTCCTGACCTCAAGTTATCCACCCGTCTCAGCCTCCCAAAGTACTGGGATTACAGGCGTGAGCCACCATGCCCGGCCCACCTTGCACATCCTTAACGTTCAAGGCTTCCTGCTTCAATCCCTGTTCCAACTGTCTTGAGGGCCCATTGCTGGCAAGTGGCCAGTCAGATCATGCTGGAGGGAGGAAAGTAGGACTAGTTCAGTTGTTGAGGCTACAGGAGCCACTTTGGGCTGTGGTTTTACAGGCTCACCTTTCTGTTCTATCCTAGAACTTGCTTATTTCAGTTGTTTTTATGTTGTTGCCCCTGGACTTCCTCTGTTCCAGGTAAAAATTCATGCAGGCCCCAAATTTGCCTCCTATCTGACCTTCAGCCCCTCCGAAGTGAAGTCACTCCGAACTGAGTATGGGGACCTGGAATTATGCATTGAAGTAGTGGACAACGTTCAGGATGCCATTGACCACATCCACAAGTATGGCAGCTCCCACACGGATGTCATCGTCACAGAGGACGGTCAGTGTCCAGATGCTTCCCGCATACAGTGTCTGCCTTTGCTGCTTTCTGATCCTGCTCCTCTTAGCCCCCCTTGGGCTGCAGAAAAACATCATTTGAGTAGGCTTATGGTAATGTTTAGTAGTGGTTGCATTTGGTACTTTGATGAGTGCTTTCACATCACTTTATTATATTGTCACAGCTGGAGGAGGAGGGGCAGGGATGATTAGCTCTGCTTCGAAGATGACTAACCCTGTCAGAGGCACTATCATTTAATGCGTGCAGCAAATCTTACAAGGTAGTTAAAATAAACCCATTTTACAGCTGAGGAAACCAAGGCAGAACCAACTCTGCACATTCATTCATTCATTCATTTATTCCACAAATATGTATGCAGGGACACTCCTGGGTGTCAGATACTGGAGCCTCAATGGTGGAGGATGCCAGTAGGGCCCCAATGAGGAATTTACAGTCAGCTAATTAGGGCACCAGAGCAGTACCACCCGTATTAACAGCCAACATTTACCAAGCACTCACTGTGTGCTAGGCACTAGCATGAGTACTCCCCAGGTGTTTCATCCTCTCTACAACCCTATCAGCTAGGTCATGTTGTAAGTCCCTTTTGACCCAGACACAGAGAGTTTTGTACACCTGCAGAAGGTCACAAAGCTAGCAGGTGTACAGCTGGAGTTCAGGCCTAGGAAGTCTGGCTCTGGAGCCCATAAGTAGGAAGTTTAGGCAGGTCACCTGCATGGGAGATCTGGATTCCAACTCAGTCTTTCCACAACACCGTGATTGATGAAGCTAACTTGTCTTCTTCCTGTTGAGATTTTTCATAAGCCTGAGTATTTAATACGTGAGAACACATGGAGAGGCCCCAGTGGGGACCCAGACCCTGCCCTGATCTGTCACCAGTCAATGGCTGGAAACAGGGATGTTCTCTGGGTATCATCCTAACTTGGTTTCTCCTTCTTCACCCTGCAGAAAACACAGCGGAGTTCTTCCTGCAGCACGTAGACAGTGCCTGTGTGTTCTGGAATGCCAGCACTCGCTTTTCTGATGGTTACCGCTTTGGACTGGGTAAGAAAGACTCTGGTTGGGAAGAAAGAAGTTCCTTGTGAAGCACTGTGTGGTCTAGGGGTATGTTGAGGTGGGAAAGACACCTCCCCTTGACTGTCACATGCTTGGTCAAGATAAGAGAGAAACAGGCTGGGTGCCGTGGCTCACGCCTGTAATCCCAGCACTTTGGGAGGCCGAGGTGGGTGGATCACCTGAGGTCAGGAGTTCGAGACCAGCGTGGCCAACATGGTGAAACCCTGTCTCTACTAAAAATGCAAAAAATTAGCCAGGTGTGGTGGTGCATGCCTGTAATCCCAGCTACTCAGGAGGCTGAGGCAGGAGAATTGCTTGAACCCGGGAGGCAGAGGTTGCGGTGAGCCCGAGATTACGCTACAGCACTCCAGCCTGGAGGACAGAGTGAGACACCATCTCAAAAAAAAAAAAAAAATAGAGACAGACTTCTGGCAAGGTAGGATTATCAGGGAGAATAATTAATGAAACCTCCCATGAGTTGGTGGAAGGCCTATCTTCTAAGCATTTCACATGCTAAGAAGGCAGGTACTTGTATTCATTTTTCAAAGAGGGAGAATGAGATTCAGAGAAGTATAGTAACTTGCCCAAAGTCCCACAGCTGGCATTCAGACCCAAACTTGAGCAAGTCCAAAGCCTGGGTTCTCCCGCTACAGCGTGGGCAACCACAGCCTGCCTTTTTACACAGGCTGCGCCAGAGGTACATGCTGTGTCCCTTGAGAGCACTCCTTTTACAGACTTATTTCGTCAAAATGGCACAGCCAGGTTGCCTCGGAGATAGGAAACCCCACAATGGTAGGACAAAAGAAGGTGCCGTGGGCCTAAGTACCAGCATCAAAACAAACAGGCCAGCCAGAAGTACAAGGTTACCTTCTACAGCAGACCTTGAAATAAAAAGCTTCAGAAGGGCACTTCTGTCCCTTTCCATTAGGTATAAAATTTCCAGCCCTCTGTCGTGTTGGGGTTATTTGGACAGTCTCTCGTTTTCAGGGGTACCAGTATATAAAACTCCAGAACGGGCGCAGTGGCTCACGCCTATAATTCCAGCACTTTGGGAGGCCAAGGCGGGCAGATCACCTGAGGCCGGGAGTTGGAGATCAGCGTGACCAACATAGAGAAACCCCATCTCTACTAAAAATACAAAATTAGCTGAGCATGGTGGCACTTGCCTGTAATCCCAGCTACTCGGGAGGCTGAGGCAGGAGAATCGCTTGAACCTGGGAGGCAGAGGTTGCAGTGAGCCGAGACCGCACCATTGCGCTCTAGCCTGGGCAACAAGAGCTAAACTCCATCTCAAAAAACAAAACAGACAAAAAACCTCCAATAATACATTTATGACACGTTTTCTGAATATTTGAGAATTATTTCAACCACTCAAAACATTTTAGGCCACGGGCAGTGGCTCACACCTGTAATCCCGGCACTTTGAGAGGCTGAAGCAGGAGGATCTCATGAGTCGGGGAGTTCGAGACCAGCCTGGGCAACGCAGCGAGACCTCCTCTCTACAGAGATGAAAAAATTATCCAGGTGTGGTGGCGTGAGCCTGTAGTCCCAGTTACTCAGGAGGCTGAGGCAAGAGGATCCCTTGAGCCCAGGAGTTCGAGGCTGCAGTGAGCTAAGATGATGCCATTGTACTCCAGCCTGGGAGAGAGTGAGGCCCTATCTGTATAACAAAACAAAACAGAAAGACACACATTTTAATCCTTCTGAACTTTTTGAGTAGATGATCTGCCTGGAGAAATAATTCTCACCAAATTGTTAAAAGGTTATGAAAGGGAATTTAACTCAGTTATTCTTAATCATGATACTCTTTATTTTTAGTTCCCCATTTGTATTATGTTGGGATTTTGATGTAATTATCACATCACTTGCATTGATCTTTATACTCTCCATGTACTTGAAAAAGAAATAGCAACATATTTTTAAGGGCTGGGGCACCCAGCATTCAAATGAAAATCCAGGATGAAGGAAGAACAAAAGATCATTTCATTGTCCTTCCAACACCAGCTCAGAGTGAAAGCTGGTTGAGTTAAATTCCTTGTGAAATGCATTAATGACAGTAACAGATTTTACTGAGCATTTACTACATTCCCAGCACTGTGCTAAATGTGTCGCAAGCATGCTCTCACTTCATTCTACAAGATGAATTCTCATTTTCCAGATGAAGAAACTGAGGCATGAGACATAAAGTTAGGTAGTATGTCCAAAGTCATGTGGTCTGTATGCTATTGAACCAGAATTTGAATCCTGCTGGTTTCACTCTCCTTGCCAACCACTACCCCAAGCACATCCCGCCCCTACTGTGTCTCGTACTTGCTCTTCTCTCTGCCTGCAGCACCTCTGTCTGGTTTTCTCCAGCCAGCTCCTTCTCACTGTTCAGGTCCCAACCAAAAGGCACTTCCTTAGGGAGGCTTTCCCTGACCATCCTACCCAGCGTGTCCCCAGCTCCACCACACAGCCTCTGTCATAGCACCCATCACTGCACTTGAGCACCACAGGAGACTATTTACTCACCTGTCCTTTGGCTGCCTCGCCTGCTATAATATCAGCGCCACAAAAACAGGGCCTTGTATCTATTATTCACCACTTTATCCCCAGGGCTCAACACAGTGCCTAGTACATAGTACATGCTCAGTAAAGTTGTGATGATTGAGGGAACCCTGCCTCCACTGTATACAGTGCAGAACACCAAGCCAGGGCCAGGAAAACCCCTGACGTTCCCTAGGTCTGAGCTGGGAGCAAGAGAAAAGGGAATGAACAGTAACCCTTTGATGTATTCAGTAACTGTCTAATGAGTCCCTTGTGCTAAGACTTCTAGGGGATACCACAAACATGTCCCTTTCTTTCTAAGATTTAAAGAGTATTTGAGGAGGTGAAACCATCATGGTAAACATTGTCGTACCCCTCAAAACATGCCCAAATGTCAAAATATGGTATGCAATTCAGATGCTAAACTGATAAAAGAGACAGCACTTGTATTAATAGCATTGTCAAAATGCACTGGGGATAAAATACAGAAGAAGAGTCCACACACTGTTTCACGAGAAGGAGTGTATCATGATTTGTAGTAATCGAAGAACATGTTTATGGGAACAGGGTGACTCAGCTCTTCTGGGGAGGATGGATGAGGAGTTAGCAGGAAGAGAGGGTACCAAGTGAGGGGAAAGCAGCAGGGTGGGTCTGGGGCATGGACAGGAAGCAGAGGCTGGGAAAAGCTACATCTTTTATTCATGCTTTTTCACAGGAGCTGAAGTGGGAATCAGTACATCGAGAATCCACGCCCGGGGACCAGTAGGACTTGAGGGACTGCTTACTACTAAGTGGCTGCTGCGAGGGAAGGACCACGTGGTCTCAGATTTCTCAGAGCATGGAAGTTTAAAATATCTTCATGAGAACCTCCCTATTCCTCAGAGAAACACCAACTGAAAAGAGCCAGGAAAACCCGGGAATTTTCCAAAAGGTCTTCACGTTAAACTTGTCTTATCTCAGGAGAGAGCCCGCTCTTGTCTCCCAGTTCCTGGTAGGGTCTGCCTGTTGGAAAGTGTACCTGGATGCTTCTGGGCTCCGTTTGGCAATAGCAGTCTTGGCTGATGTGCACAGTCTGGCTCCCAGCTCACCCTTTTTTTTTAAAGTAAGAAAATAGTTGCTACCGATAGGGACTTTGCCAAGTCCAATTATCTTCTAGGATTGAAAGGTGCATTTTCCCCATAAAAAAGGCGAGGAAAACCCATGGCTGCTTTGTGTCACCTCAGTGACTTACAGTCCCCCTTGGCATTTAGTTGGTACTAGAGCCAGTCATCCTTAACAAATCTTTTCACATTTTATTTCTTTCACATGTAGTCATCTTCAAAAAGGAAAGATTTGGAATTTTAGAAAAGGGGCAACTCTTCTTTTTAGCATTCTCATCAGAAAGTCACAAAAATCGATGGAATCATTTCCACTGGGAAGATTGACCTTTTGTATTTATTTGTGGGGTAAATTAATAAGCATTCCAGATGCTTGCAGCTTCCTGCATCCAGGAGATGCTGTGTTCCCCGTGATGCAGCTGGAACCCAAGCTGCAGCAGGAGATGCAAGTTTCAGGATGTTCCCCACTGAGCTGGAGGAATATCTACAGCAGTGATGCTTGAAATTTTTGTATGAATTATTTTGTCGTCCTACCCTTTTCCTCCAAAACAAAAATTAGAGGATTATTTTAATACTTTGGATTCTTCCCCCTTTTTTGAGAAATAAAGTTTTTTATGAAAAGCCTGTGCGTGATTGAAGTTTTCTCCCTTAATTGTTGTTACCCCCTTCCTTTTCCTCTCTTGTGACCCTCGTGCCCTGCTTGTGGGCATGGTCTCTTCTCTGGAAGCTGTCTGGGGAGACAAGACATCTGCCTCAACAGTGTTTGTTGGTGGAAGCAACATAGGCAGTCCCCACAGAGGGACTCAGACGGAGAGACAGGAAAGGAAAACAGGAGATTAAGCCCCAAGAGCTTGAAGACTAAAAGTGCAGTGAAGGTCTGAAGTTGGTGGGGTCCAACCTGAGCGAGCTCCCGCGGTGGCACATAGCCCCAGCTGACATCCTTAGTTCACTGCATCCCCCCAGCTCCTCCCTGCCAGTCCTGTTGCCTCAGGATCACTTGACAGCTCGGACCCTCCCCACTCTCCCTCCATCTCTAGCTCCTGTCCTTAGGGCCCCTGGTGCCTGACAGTCTGCAGTTGAAAGATTTCATGGGGGCCTCCTAAAGAAATAAGCACTCGCTTACGATGCTGCTGCTTTTCCTCTGAGGATGTTTTACCAGCACAAGAATGATGGTGTCATGTGGAACATGTTCCCAGGCTGGCTGCACAGCCTGCCTCTCCTCCAGACCCTTACATGGTCTGGCAAGTCACCCTGACTGCCCTGCCCTCTGGATGAGGAGTTCTGGCATAGCTTGCCTGAAAAGGCTATAAACAGTCCTGCCTGAAACTGTCACAAATACCACAATGAGCTCCCAACCAGACAACAAATGCCCAGGAATCTTAAATAGAAGGCAGCCCAAGAGAGCTGGGGCCCTTGGGGAAGACCACTGAGAAGGCAGGCCTGCATCTGGGCCCTGAGAAAGACCACTATCATCATCAGACAGAAACCCCAAGCTTCACTCATTAAACTGGCCTGCATCAATCATTGCTATAAATGCACACATTGAGTTGAACTGCATGCCACAGAAACTTCAAAGAATTGGGGCTTGAACTTGATCATTCCTGTTTCTCTCATGTAAAAAGAGCTCTGGAGGTAGGCAGCTTCAAGGCTGACTTAATGCCTCCATGAAGGCCATCAGGCACTGGGGCTGCTTTTGATTTATTCTCTTCTGTCCTAGGGTAAGGCTCTTGTCCACATGGTAGTGGCATTCCAACCATCAGGACTGCATTCCAGCCAGCAGGAAGAAGGAAAAACCATAGGCAGAGGAGTGTCTGCCAGCTGCCCCTTCTAAGTGACATTCCAGGAAGACCCCCCTGCCCAGTGCTTGACCAAAACTAGCTCATGGCCTACCCTCTCTAAAAGGGATCTGGGAGGTGTAGCTTTTTTATTTGGGCACATTGCAGCTCCAAGAAAGTAAGGGTTCTATTGGTAAGGGAGGAGGAAAATCGGATAGGGGAAGAAGATTATCCTAATTGATTCATGGAGCTGAGAGCAGGATTCATTCACCTAAACAGTAGGGCTGCTGGGGAATAAAAGAGGGCTGGGATGGCGGCCAGAGAGGTAGCCACAATGTCCCACTGCACTGCCTGACAGAGGAAATGGGAGGGAGAGGTGAGCAGACACTAAAGTTTCATGGTGCTATTTGCAGCCCAGTGTAATGGAGGGAGCACTGAACTGGGACTCCAGAATTTTTTTTCCAGCTCTGTCACTGACTGGCATTGTGACCTTGGGTAACTACTTAAACATTTTTGCCTCAGTTTCCACACTCATGAAATGGGAGCTTGGATAAGCTTTCTAGTTAGATGGAGGTGTGGGAAGCTCTTTATCACTAAATTGCAAATTAGCTGAACAAGGTGTTTTTTATATCTGACATCCACAGCTGGCCAAGTCTTTGGTAGGCATTGAAAGCAAAACCCAACATCACTGACCCGCTCTTCACACACACACACACACACACCCCTCTGCTATTTGCTGTATATGTGGGCCTCAGACTACTTCAAACTGTGGTTCAAGGATCATTGTAACAGAATGACCACAGGGCCTAGCTAAAACTGTAGATTCCCGCACCCAGACCTGCTGAGCCAAAATTTCTGAGGGTGGGGCAAAGAATTGGAATTTTTAGCCCCTTATATGATTTATCTCAGCATTACCACTACTGTAAGTAACCTGAGAGTTTTGTTTTTCTTCCATAATGAGAAGTCCAGAAGTAGCTCAAGACCAACGGGGCAACTCTGTGATGCCATTAGGAACCCAGACTCTTTCCAACTTTCAGCCCTGACATTCTTAACTCCGCAGCTTCCCTTGCACCATGATGGCTGTTCCATCTCCACACCTGTGTTCCATCTATGTCCCAGTCAGGAAGAAGGGCAGGGGAAAGAGGCATGCACAGCTGAGTTCGCCCAACACACCCACATTTAAAGAGCTCTCCTGGAAGCCCCAGTAAGTGACTTCCCTTACATCTCATCAGGAGGAACTGTTTATTGTGGCCACATGAGCAACTGTAGCTGCAAGGACTGGGAAGTAGAGTTTTACAGCTGGGCACATTCCTGCTCAAACAAAAATCAAGATCCTCTTTGTGAGGAAGAGGAGAAGATAAAAATCGGGTAAGCTACTACATTAGGGGGTAGCGATGTTAGGTACAGTTACCCCTAGTGACTTTCCAAAGAGATTTTCTTGGAAGGCTCTTTTGTTCCCTTGAACTCATTGATGAGTTTTGTAATGCGGGTTTAATATAGGAAAGCTGAAGTGCTCCATAAGAGGTGGAGAAAAGACAAAATTCCCAGGCAGTTTTGGAGAGGAAAGAGTGAGTTGTAGGCCGGTGCAGTGGCTCATGCCTGTAATCCCAGCACTTTGGGAGGCCAAGGCGGATGGATCACCTGAGGTCAGCAGTTCAAGACCAGCCTGGCCAACATGGTGAAACCTTGTCTCTACTAAAAACACAAAAATTAGCCGAGCATGGTGGCAGGCGCCTGTAATCCCAGCTACTTGGGAGGCTGAGGCAAGAGAATCTCTTGAACTGGGAGATGGGGGTTGCAGTGAGATGAGATCGTGCCATTGCAGTCCAGCCTGGGTGAAAAGAGTGAAACTCTGTCTCAAAAAAAAAAAAAAAGTGAGTTGTAAACTTGCCCTAGGCAGAGGCTACAGACTAAGGGTCAGTAGGAAATGAGGCTAGAGAAAGCTAAATGTAAGAAACAAAGTATAGGAAAAGCCATCTATTTTTAAACTGATGGCTTGATGGGGGTTGTTATGGACTAAATGTTTGTGCCCTTCCCAAATTCCTTCGTTGAAGTCCTACCCCTCAATGTGATGGTGTTTGGAGACGGGGCCTTTGGGAGGTAATTAGGGTTAGATGAGGTCGTGAGGGTGGGGCCCTCATGGTGGGATTGGTGCTTTCGTAAGAGATGCCACGTCTCTCAACAAACTGTTGAGTAAAAAGTAAAATAAGAGACTCTAGAGACCTTGACCTCCTGCCCTTCATGTGAGGACACAGTGAGAAGACAAAACAGTCTCCTGCAAGCTAGGAAGCAGGGCCCTCACCAGACACCGAACTGGCCAGCACCTTGATCTTGGACTTCCCAATCTCCAGACTGAAAAATAAATTTCTGTTGTTTGATCCACCTAGTCTATGATATTTTGTTATGGCAGCCCAAGCAGACAAAAACAGGAATAATTGTCTTGGAGATACCTGCATTTTAGAAAAGGAGTCCTAATATTTCAAAGAATTGGCCAGAGTGGCATAGTGGAAAGAGTATGGATTTGGAAGTCATATGACTTGCACTCCCATCTATAAATTGTAGGAATTTGCAGGATTGTTTTTTGCTGCAATGAGCCTCAATTTCCTTATTTGGAAAAAAGTAGACAGTTAATACTTACCTTGAAGACTCCTGTCAGTAAATAATCAGATAATGGACCGGACACCTAGCTCATGGAAGAAGCACCATCCAGGTTGGCCACAATTAGCCACATCTGGCATATCTGTCTTTGTATCCCCCACTGAGCCCAGCAAGGTGCAATGCACACAGATGCTCACTGAGTAGCTTTGAAACAGGCTACTTGGGCAGAGCTATAGAGATGGAGGGGGCTTTCTCTGAGATCCATGGACCATTAGGGACACTGGTATGAGGCTGGCAGTCTAAGACGATCAAGTCGTCCCTGACCCCAACTTATTTCTAAACCACTGAAGAGTGTCATTGTTCTCTCTTCCTTATGAAAGTGTCCTGTGGAGTCTCCTGTAGTAGAATTGAGTTAAATGTTACAATGTCTTTTCCACTAGCACTTCTGGCAAAAATCGATGAATAACTTCATAACTACCTTAAGGGCACCTCATTTAAGTTTGCAGATCTCTGCTATTTTACAGAACTCTGCTATTAGGGAGAATGAGATTTTAAAGCCTCATTCAGTATCCAGTGAGCACCCACTACGTGCCAGATGCTGGGGATAAGAGACATTCCCTCCACCTGATGGTCCAAACGTTGATCTGTCTGAGAATTGCTGCTCTAAATTCAGGTAATTCTTATCCTTAAGTCCCACCCTTTACAGCCTATTTTACCCTAATCCCTAGGAGAAACCCTTTGGCCAATAGGAAAACACCAAACTAGGCAGCTATGATCCCATACTGAAGGCAGGAGGAGTCACCATAACCTAAGAAAACCAACTTGCTCTTTATTCCATCTGGCCCCAGGATTCCTCTAACGCTAGAGGGCAGTCGGGTCCCATGGACCTAAGGAAGTCGGCCTGCTCTTCCTCAATGCCCAGCAAATTATCCCCTCCCGATCCTCAGGCTGCTCTCCTGGAAATGAAGTGCTGGATCAGTAAAATAACTTCCAGAGATCCTCTTCCTTACAGGGTAAGAGCACAGGCCTTTTCAGTTTAGAGGCAGAATAGGGTTTGGACCTTGATTCTAACACCTACTAGTTGTTTGACCTGGGGAAAGTGTCTTAACTTCTCTGAATTTTGATGATACGTATCCATAAATGGTTTTGCGAGAGTAAATGTAAAGCACTCAGCACGGTATTCAGCATATGGTTAACCTTTAATAACTATTGGCTGTTACTGTTTATGATTCTAAGGAATGGCTTTCTCTTAGTTTTCAACATTGCTTTTTTTTTTCCCCTTTGAGACAGGGGTCTCACTCTGTCACCCAGACTGGTCTCAAACTCAACTCCTGGACTCAAGCAATCTTTCTATCTCAGCTCCTGAATAGTTAGGATTACAAGTGCATGCCACCGCACCAGGCCCTACGTTTCTCTTTTATTTAAAGTCCAAGCATCAATTCCTAGGACATAAAGTGAGGACATTCTTAGGACAGATCTACTATGTACTAAGCACCATGTACTAAGCATCATAGTAAGGGGGCTAGATGAATTATGCATGATGCCACAATAATCTGAGTAGGGGAATTGTTACCCCTATTTTACAGGTATAGAACCTAAAGATCAGTAAATTCCCCAAGATCACACTGTAGCGGAGGAACCTGGATTTGAACCCAAGACAACAGAGCTTCAAAACTCTTCACCACCACAGGGGGCATAGCAGTAGTGTTTTCCCAGAAGCTTCTTGTACCTTATCCCAAAGGCAAGTTGTAAGGCTGAAGAAGGAGGTTGCCATAGCTACTAACTGGACCCCTTTTCACGTAATCAGATCCTCAGTCTGCCCCAGTTTTGCAAGAGGAGCTGCTTGTCTGGAAACTCTCCTCAACACCTGCCCCTGGAGGGAGCCGACTGTGTCTGAATTATTTAGAGAGTCTCTAGACACTTGATATAATGAGCAGGTGTGGATGCTTCTCTGACTTCCCCCACATGCCTTTACTTACCTCCTTTCCCCTCCCCCAAGTTGCCTATGAGGAAAAAGGAGGCATCATCCGTTTCCTCACTGTAGATGTGTCTGCCTCATCTTCATTTTTCATCCCGAAGTCTGTTTGTAAGAAGTGGACCACTTTCTTTGCAAATATCAAAAATCATATTGATTTCCATTGAAATTGGTGGTGTAAATTGACCCTAACTAGTAAATGCATAACTTGGCCAGGAGTGGTGGCTCATGCCTGTAATTCCAGCATCTTGGGAGGCCAAGGCAGGAGGATCGCTTGAGCCCAGGAGTCTGAGACCAGTCTAAACAATATAGTGAGACCCTGTATCTAATTTTTTTATATTTTTTATTTTTTTTTGAGACTGAGTCTCGCTCTCTTGCCCAGGCTGGAGTGCAGTATCACGATCTCGACTCACTGCAACATCTGCCTCCCGGGTTCAAGCGACTCTTCTGGCTCAGCCTCCTAAGTAGCTGGGACTACAGGTGCGCGCCACCATGCTCAGCTAATTTTTGTGTTTTTAGTAGAGACGGGGTTTCGCTATGTTGGCCAGGTTGGTCTTGAGCTCCCAGCCTCATGATCGGCCTACCTCAGACTCCCAAAGTGCTGGGATTACAGGCATGAGCCACGGCACCCAGCCAAAATTCTTGTTTTTGAAGAATATTTACTGACGTGGAGACGAGACGCACTAGAAAATATTGAATAGGAAAAAACTAAGCTATAAAACAGTATAAATAAAATTTCTCAATTATATATATTTAGTTGGAAAAAGACTGGAAGACAATGTATCAAATAATATTATGGGCTGGGCACAGTGGCTCACAACTGTAATCACAGCACTTTGGGAAGCTGAGGCTGGAGTATCACTTGAGGACAGGGGTTCAAGACAAACCTAGGCAACATATCAAGACCCTATGTCTACAAAATTGTTTTTTTACTTAGCCAGACATGTTATGTGTATCTGTAGTCCTGGCTACTTAGGAGGCTGAGGCGGGAGGGTCTCCTGAGACCAGGAGGTCAAAGCTACAGTGAGCAATAATCAAGCCATTGCACTTCAGCCTGGGTGACAGAGTGAGACCCTGTCTCAAAAAAAAAAAAAAGATATGTGTATATATATATATATATATATATGTATGTGTATATATATATATATATATGTGTATATATATATATGTGTATATATATATATATGTGTATATATATATATATATATATATATATATATATATATAGAGAGAGAGAGAGAGAGAGAGAGAGAGAGAGAGAGAGAGACTCTCGCTCTGTTTTCCAGGCTGGAGTGTAGTGGCGCGATCTCGGCTCACCACAACCTCTGCCTCCCGGGTTCAAGTGACTCTCCTGCCTCAGCCTCCTGAGTAGCTGGAACTACAGGCACACACCACCATGCTCGGCTAATGAGTGATTTCTACTGAGCAGTGAGACAAGTGAGTT
The DNA here is from genome assembly GCF_000001405.40 of Homo sapiens. Taxonomy (NCBI): domain Eukaryota; kingdom Metazoa; phylum Chordata; class Mammalia; order Primates; family Hominidae; genus Homo; species Homo sapiens. The sequence goes on along the minus strand of NC_000010.11, from coordinate 95,598,769 downwards.
TTATTTGTCATTATACTTTTCTAAGTTTTCTACTTTATTTTAAAATTTTCATAGCTATTAATATTTCTTTCTATGGGAATTATTGGTGCAGACCAGGCATGGTGGTTCACACCTGTAATCCCAGCACTGGGAAGCCTAGGCAGAGGATTGCTTGAGCCCAGGAGTTTGAGACTAGCCTGGGCAATATGGTGAGACCCTGTCTCTACAAAAAGAAAAATAATACAAAAAGTAGCTGAGGATGGGCCGGGCGCGGTGGCTCATGCCTATAATCCCAGCACTTTGGGAGACTGAAGCGGGCAGATCACAAGGTCAGGAATCTGAGACTAGCCTGGCCAACATGGTGAAACCCCGTCTCTCCTAAAAAAATACAAAAATTAGCCGGGCATGGTGGCATACACCTGTAGTCCCAGCTACTCGAGAGGCTGAGGCAGGAGAATTGCTTGAACCCGTGAGGTGGAGGTTGCAGTGAGCTGAGATCGCGCCACTGCACCCCAGCCTAGGCGAAAGAGCAAGACTCTGTCTCAAAAAAAAAAAAAAAAGTAGCCAAGCATGGTGGTGCACATCCGTGATCCTAGCTACTAGCTACTAGGGAGGCTGAGGTGGAAGGATTGCTTGAGCTCAGGAATTTGAGACTGCAGTGGGCCAAGATCGTGCCACTGCACTCCAGCTTGGGCCACAGAGTGAGACCTTGTCTTGAAAAAAAAAAAAAAAAGAAAGAAAGAAAAAAAGAGAGAGAGGAAGGAAGGAAGGAAGGATGGACAGAAGGAAGGAAGGAGAGAGAGAGTCAGAAAAGAAAGAAAAAGAAGAAAGAAAAGGAAAAGAAAGAAAGAAGAAATTATTGGTACAATGGTGAAAATAAAATTTGTGATAACAATTTTTTAAATTTATAGACAGGTTTATTTTCCATTCCATCCTTCTTTGTATTCTATCCTTTGCAGATGAAGAAATCAAGGTTCAGGTGCTCTTGGTGACATAGCCAGTTGAGGGGAAAGTACAGACTAGATGCCAGACCTCTACACTGGAGGGAGAGAGTGACCTCAAATGGGAGACTGGACTAGTGACTTCTAAGGTCCCTTCCAGCCTGAGGCTGTGTTTCTCTTTGCTGCTGTGCTGGTTTCACCCCCTGCTTTCACAGCCCTCCCAAGGTAAGAGAACTTCAGAAACTCATGAAGTGCTTCTGCCTCAGGTACTTCACTGAACTCTAGTTTTCTTTCTGTAACTTGCAAATAGGGCTACAACTCTGACTCTGTGTTTCCAGATTCTGTTTCAATGCAGACAATTAGATGGTAAATAATTCAAGAGAACGGAAACTGGCAAAGTGGTGTGTGATGTCCAAACAGCTATCTTATTTATTCTCTGGTGTAAACTTCAGGCTCATCTGCAACTCGGGAGCCCCAGGAGTAAGTGAAATGTAGAAACACAGGAATCTCCCCTGTTTCCATTCCCCCCATTTTTTAATATTGTCTGGGGATGGGAATGCAGTTTACTTTAATCAAAGATTAAGGTAAGACAGGTTGGCTTTGGATGACAGATTCAGACAACTTCTTAGGCATGTCTGAATTTCTTCCCATGGTGGAGTAGAGTGATCAGAATCTAGAGGCATCAGTTTCTCCTTGGCCTGAGGATTCATGATCCAAAGTTGTGGTCTCAGAAATATCACCATTCATCCTCTTTCTCTTCCTTCTGTGCAATGAGGGAGACACATTTCACCGGACCCTTCTAAACCTGCCCCACCATTAAAGAAGTAGTCTTAGTTAAGACTCGTTGAATTACAGGTAACATAAACCACCTCTGCCCTGCCTAAGAAGAAAAGGATAATGTATTATATGGACATAGGGGTGTCTTATAAAGCCCAAGGGCAAAGAAAATAGAGATGGTCCAGACTCTCAAGAAACTGGAGCTAGAGGCGTCATGTTACAGGACTTCAAAGTATATTACAAGGCTATAGTAACCAAAACAGCATGGTATTGGTATAAAAATAGACACATAGATCAATGGAACAGACTAGAGAACACAGTCAACTGATCTTCAACAAAGGTGCCAAGAGCTTACACTGGGGAAAGGACACCCTCTTCCATAAAGGGTGCTGGGAAAATTGGATAGCCACATGTAGAAGAATGAAACTGGATCCTTCTCTCTCACCATATGTGAAAGTAAATTCAAAATGGATTAAAGACTGAAACATAAGATCTAAAACTATAAAAATACTAAGAAAAACTCTCTTGGACATTGGCCTGGGCAAAGAATTATGACTAAGACCTCAAAAGCATAGGCAACAAAAACAAAAATAGACAAACGGAACTATAATAAACTAAAAATCTTCTGAACAGCAGTTGATTGTTTCAATCAACAGAGTGAAGGGACAACTTGTTGAAAGGGAGAAAATATTTGCAAACTATTCATTCAACAAGGGACTAATATCCAGAATATAAAAGGAACTCAAAAATCTCAAAAAGGAAAAAACAAATAATCCCATTAAAAAGTGGGCAAAAGACATAAATAGACATTTCTTAAAAGAAGACATGTAAATGGCCAACAGGTATATGAAAAATGTTCACCATCACTAATCATTAGAGAAATAAAAATCAAAACCACAATGAGATCTTACTCCAATCAGAATGGCTTTTATTAAAAAGATAAAAAAATAGCATCTTGGTGAGGATATGGAAAAAGGGGAACTCTTTTACACTGTTGGTGGGAATGTAAACTAGTACAACCACTGTGGAAAACAGTATGGAGATTTCTTTTTTTTTTCTTTTTTTTTTGAGACAGAGTCTCACTCTGTTGCCCAGGCTGGAGTACAGTGGTGCAATCTCAACTCATTGCAACCTCTGCCTCCCGGGTTCAAGCGACTGTCCTGCCTCAGCCTCCTGAGTAGCTTGGATTACAGGCACCCACCATCATGCCTGGTTAATTTTTGTATTTTTATTAGAGACGGGTTTTCACCATGTTGGCGAGGTGAGTCCCGAACTCCTGATCTCATGAGATCCACCTGCCTTGGCCTCCCAAAATGCTGGAATTACAGGCATGAGCCACTGTGCCTGGCCAGAGGTTTCTTAAAAAAACTAAAAGTAGAATTACCATTTGATTCAGCGATCCTACTAATGGGTATCTACCCAAAGGAAAAGAAATCAATATATCAAAAGGATATCTGCAAACTTGCATGTTTATTGCAGCACTATGCACAATAGCTAAGATACGGAATCAGCCTAAGTGTCCATCAATGGTAGAATAAAGAACATGTGGTATATATACACAATGGAATACTGTTTAGCCATAAAAAGAATGAAATCATGTCATTTGCAGCAACATGGATGGAACTGGAGATTATCATTATTTTTTTTCATCACAAATAGGACTTTTTATTTGCCACTATTATAAGTCTGAACTTTAAACAGATTCTTGGACTGGTCATTCATATCCATCAGCTCATTCGACTTTAGCACCTGTCTTGTCCCCAGTGGCTTTTCCAGAACTACTGCCTTCACCATGAAGCTCCATGAGTTTTCCCAATTCAAACTTGAGCTTCTTCAGCATTTTTACTTTTCTAACAAAGACATCGTGGAGAAGGTAAATAGATTGGCAAGCCTTTTCTATGTCTTTTCCAATGCTGTCTAGAATCAATTTATTGACCACTTCTTTCAAGTCATTTGTCTGCACCTCTTGGGTCATGATTTCCATCATCTTCTGGATTTGGCGGATCTGTTGGTGCTGAGCATAAGAGGTCTTCCGTATCTGATTGTTGCTTTTTTTAGTAAAACCAATACAGAACAGACAAAGCAAGTAACCATGAGTAGTCTTAACATCAACGTGAGCTTCAATCATTGTCTGCCATTTTTTGACCATGGAACACATTTTGTCACGAATAAGATCCATGCCATGGAAGTTAGGCAGTTTTTGCCCTGAACATCTTCAGTAATCAGTTTGAATTTTCTAAATGCAACTTAATCATTCTGCAAATCAACAAGACTCACTTCAAACACACGACCCTCGAGGCCATCGGATGCAATTTTGGTTCCTTGGGTCCTGGCAACTAGCGTCTTTCCAATATTTCTTATATTGAACATAGCAGATGCTTTCACATTATACCAATCTTTCTTAGAAAATGGATCCATCACTTTCTTCTTGGCTCCCTTTTTGCTGCCTTTTGTAAGGTGCTTGTTCTTGCCAACCACCGTGGTGCTGCTCAGAGAGCCACAAGGCCTGGAGGTTATTCTCTTAAGTGGAAAAAGCCAGGCACAGAAAGACAAATATTGCATGTTGTCACTTATATGTAGGAGCTAAAAAAATTGACCACATGGAGCTAAAGAATGGAAAAACAGATAATAGAGATGGAAGGGACAGTGGTGGGGGGCAGGCGGATAAAGAGAAGTGTTAAAACATACAAATATACAGTAAAATAAAAGGAATAAATTCAATATTCCATAGCAGAGTAGGATGACTAAACTTAACAAAAATGTGTTGTACTCACATGACAGACACCCCGAATGCCGCTTCTTGATCACTATGTATTATATACATATAACAGATTTTCTCATGTACCCCATAAATATACACAAATAAATTTTTTAAAAAAGAAACTGGAACTAGCTTAGGAAGAAAAGGGAAGTATGTGGCTCAGGTAACCAAACCACAGCAGGAGCAAGTGACTGGAATCAGGGACTCCAACATCCCCTGGGTGCTCCCAATGCCTCTCCTTTCCGTGGAAGGGCTTCATTTCCTCCTGCTGGAGACTGGCCTCTTCCATGAGCATGGGGCATAGCCATTGGAAGCTTCCAGACTTATTCTCACAGCTTTGTCAGACTTTCCACCCACTGTAAAAATAAAAAGGCTCATGGTCCCCAGTTTCGCTGCAAAAAGACTCTAGTCTGTTTGGGCCACCTGTCCTCACTGTAGTAGAGGTGTGGAGCAGGGGCCATGGTATGCTCTGGGTTGATTCAGCCGTATATATCTGGATGACCTCACTATGGTTAAATGTTGAAAGGGTTTCAGAGGGCTTCCTCTTCTGGATAGGATGTATATGTAGGAACAATCCAACACTCCTGCTGAAGCAACTAGAAAAAACAGAGTAAGTTACAGAAATCACCTTTTTAAGACACCTCAGAGTTGTGCCATCAATGAGGACTAATGAACTGAAATTCTGGAGAGGAAAGAGCCCTTTCCGTTTTTTTTTTTTTTTTTTGAGACGGAGTTTCACTCTTGTTGCCCAGGCTGGAGTGTAATGGCACGATCTAGGCTCACCGCAACCTCCGCCTCCTGGGTTCAAGTGATTCTTCTGTCTCAGCCTCCCAAGTAGTTGGTATTGCAGGCATGTGCCACCACACCCAGCTAATTTTGTATTTTTATTAGAGACAGGGTTTCACCATGTTGGTCAGGCTGGTCTCAAACTCCTGACCTCAGGTGATCTGCCCGCCTTGGCCTCCCAAAGTGCTGGGACTACAGGCGTGAGCCACTGCGCCCGGCCGGAAAGAGCCCTTTCTAAATGTGCTGATTGTCTCTGACCATTTTCTTCCCAGGGGGTATTTGCCAAATCTGTGCACAGGCCAAGGATAGGGCTTGACCCAGGCATAGGGTCTCTACTGGGGCAAAGAGAAACTGGTAGAGTTTTTGATGATCAATGTTATCTGGTGTAATGTTAGAATCTAGAGCTAAGCTGGAGCTCCTAAGAACAGAGCTGAATCTTCCATAGGCTTTCAGGGATGAGAAGACAGAGACATGCCAATGAAAAGCTTGAGTGGGCTCCATCCAAGGAATAGTGGTGACTCAGAGGTGGACTGGGACTAACCAAGACTGCAACCCAGCCTCAACCCAGCTGAATTCTTGACTAGGTTAAGGTGATCAGTCCCTCACCCCATCTGCTAACAGAAGAAAAAGAGATTCATCACTGGAGGAAAATAATATCATCTTTTGCCTCTGTTTTCTTTTATATAATTATAAGGCATGCAAAGAGCAGGAAAATGTGACTGATAAGGAAAATAAGCAGGGGCCGGGCATGGTGGCTCATGCCTGTAATCCCAGCACTTTGGGAGGCCGAGGTGGGTGGATCACCTGAGGTCAAGAGTTTGAGACCAGCCTGGCCAACATGGCGAAACCCCATCTCTACTAAAAATACAAAAATTAGCCAGGCGTGGGGGTGGACACCTGTCATCCCAGCTACTCAGGAGGCTGAGGCAGGAGAATCGCTTGAACCCAGGAGATGGAAGTTGCAGTGATCCAAAATCGCACCATTGCACTCCAGCCTGGGTGACAAGAGTGAGACTCTGTCTCAAAAAAAAAAAAAAAGAAAGAAAAAGAAAAAGGAAAAAAACAGGCTGGATGCAGTGGCTCATGCCTGTAATCCCAGCACTTTGGGAGGCTGAGGTGGGTGAATCACTTGAGCTCAGAATTTGAGACCAGCCTGGGCAACATGGCAAAATCCCATCTCTACTAAAAATAGAAAAATTAGCCAGGTGTGGTGGCACATGCCTGTAGTCCCAGCTACTTGGGAGGCTGAGGTGGGAAAATCACTTGAATCTGGGAGGCAGAGGTTGCAGTGAGTAGAGATCGCACCACTGCACACCAGCCTGGGTGATAGAGCGAGATCCTGTCTCAAAAAAAAAAAAGAAGTTAAAAAATTACCTGGGTGGCCGGGCAGAGTGGCTCACGCCTGTAATCCCAGCACTTTGGGAGGCCAAGGCGGTTGGATCATGAGGTCAGGAGATCAAGACCATCCTGGCTAACACAGTGAAACCCCTGTCTCTACTAAAAATACAAAAAAAATTAGCCGGGCGTGGTGGTGGGAGCCTGTAGTCCCAGCTACTCAGGAGGCTGAGGCAGGAGAATGGCATGAACCCAGGAGGCGGAGCTTGCAGTGAACCAAGATTGTGCCACTGCACTTCAGCCTGGGGCGACAGAGCCAGACTCCGTCTCAGACAAACAAACAAACAAACAAACAAACAAAATTACCTGGGCTTAGTCACAATACCTGTAGTCCGAGCTACTTGGGAGGTTAAGGAGGGAGGATTGTTTAAGCCCAGGAGGTCAAGGTTGCAGTGACCCATGATTGTACCACCACACACCAGCCTGGGCAACAGAGCAAGAACCTGCCTCAGAAAAAAAAAATAAAAGTAGAGAAAGAGCAGGCAATAGAAGCAGACCCACAACTGATTCTGATATTTGAGTTAGCAGACAAGGACTTTATAATGAGTATTATAAACATGGTAAATAGAGAAAATAGTACAATAGATGAAAAATAAAGAATTTCAACAGAGCATTCGAATCTATAAAAAAAGAACCAAATGGGCTTTCGAGAACTGAAACATGCAATATTTATAATTAAGAACGCATTAAGTGAAATATTTCCATAGCTGTTGGTAAATACCTACTGACCCAAGACTCCTAAGTTCCCTGTCCTCATCTCCTGGCCATCCTGGACCTCCTTGGGACACCCTGGACTTCCCCATGGCCCAACAACTAAGAGTTAATGGCTAGCCCAGCGTCCCTTGTGATTGGTTGGTGTCTGTGCTTTCCCATTGTTTAACTATTTTGATTTTAATGTCATCTCTGACTAATTGATTGACTGATAGAGTTGAGGGTTTTTTTGTTTTTTGTTTTTAGACTGAGTCTCGCTCTGTCACCAGGCTGGAGTACAGTAGCGTGATCTCGGCTCACTGCAACCTCCGACTCCTTGGTTCAAGCGATTCTCCTGCCTCAGCCTCCTGAGTAGCTGGGATTACAGGCATGCACTACCACACCCGGCTAATTTTTGTACTTTTTGTAGAGACGGGTTTCACCATGTTGGCCAGGAAGGTCTTGATCTCCTGACCTCGTGATCCACCCGCCGCAGCCTGCCAAAGTGCTGGGATTACAGGCATGAGCCACCGCGCCTGGCCTGAGATGAGATTTTACTGTGTTGCCCACGCTGGTCTCAAACTCCTGGGCTCAAGTGATCATCCTGCCTTGGCCTCCTGAATAGCTGGGACTTGATGTCTTGGTACTGTCACTGGAAGTCCCTATCAGAACCAAATAAATGAAATTGGGTAGAAAGAATTCCCCAAAGGTGGCAATACCAATAAGAGGAGATGTGGAAGGACACAGAAAGGATATTTGTTCACTTATGATGCCCACTCCGAAAGCCAGATATCTAAGACTGAAGCCTGCTGTTTGCCGAATTGAGCTTCTTTTAAGTTTCCTCACCACTGTATTTGAGGAGACTTGAGTGAGCCAGTGGGGAACAGATTCAGTGAGGCTAGATAAGTTTGCTGTGTGGCTTGGTCTCCTGAATATGATCAATTTGTAGCTCCTACACCAGTTATTTTCATGAAATAATCAGGACAGCCTTAGCAACCTGCGTTTCTCAAAGGCAAAAGAATTTAGTGTGGACTAACTGCCTCCCAGAATACAGGTTAAAAGAGTAGATTTTAGAGATGGACAGTTCCGGATTCAGACTCCATATCTGCAATTAACTGGTTGTTTGACCTTGGGCAAATCACTCTACCCCTCTGAATTGCTCATGTGTATCTCGAAGGTTTGCAGCAGACACTGTTGGTTAACTACCGAATGGGTTCCTCCCCTTTTCTTTGCTGAAAAATAGTGTTTTTGTTTTGTTTTTTTTTTTTTTTTTTTTTTTGAGCGGAGTCTAGCTCTGTCACCAGGCTGGAGTGCAGTGGCGCGATCTTGGCTCACTGTAATATCCGCCTCCCTGGTTCAAGCGATTCTCCTGCGTCAACCTCCCAAGAAGCTGGGATTACAGGCACGCGCTGCCACGCCCAGCTAATTTTTGTGTTTTTGGTAGAGAGGGGTTTCACCATGTTGGTCAGGATGGTCTTGATCTCCTGACCTCATGATCCGCCAACCTCAGCCTCCCAAAGTGCTGGGATTACAGGCATGAGCCACTGCGCCTGGCCAGATCTCATTTTTCTTTTTTTTTTTCAGAGTGTTTTATCTCTTCCTCTTTCAACTCAGGGGTGAATTATGCTTGGTGTAGGCCCATTGCAATAATACCACTTTTGGGTCAATGGTTGGATTAAGCATGCATGTATGACCCAGTTCTGGCCACTGAGATGAGAGGGGTGATCAACTAGAGGCTTCTTGGAAAGCTTTTCTTGTACTTAAAAAAGATACAAGGAAGAGATCGTCCCTCTGCTAAATACTGTCATGTCCAGATGGGATGCCTGGAAGTGTAACAGCCATTTTGTGGTCACAAGGGTACCCAGGCTGACGATCCAAGCCAACTAAGGATGGCAGAGTGAAAAGATGGCAAGAACTGGGGTGCCTAATGACATCATCAAGCTTCTAATTTAACCAACCCTAAAGCTACCCCTGGTAGGGACTTATTATTACATAGAAAATAACTCATTTCCTCACGTTTAAGCTATTTTTATTTGGGATTTCTCTTACATGGAGTCAAAAGCGTCCTAACAAACCCAGAGTTGTTTATGAGGATTTGATTCAATAAAATGATTTATGTAAAGCACTTAACACAATTCCTGGTATAAAAGGTGCTCAAAAAATAAGTATTATTATCATCATCATCATTTTTTTCTCATTTTTATCTCCCCTTATTGCCTTGGTGCTGGCTGTAAGCAGAGGATAATGAGTCTGGGATTTAAAGACGTGATGACAGGGATGGGGGAGTCAGAGGGAAAGGGATGAATTTAGGTGCCTGGGCTCTTCATCCAGAGCACCATTGAACAGTAATTTCAGTTAAGGGTTTTTCATCTGTGTGTGGATGCAGACAACAGAAACTGACTTAAGTTAGCTCGAATGAGCAAAAAGCTGTGTTTTTTGAAGGGTATGGAGTGTGTCACATAATTGAAGGAAAAGATGAACAGCAAAGATTTAGGCAAGGAAGGAATTAAGTTTCGGAAATTCTCATCCTCGGAACATCCCTCTCTCTTTGGAGCTCTCAGATAAGGAAATTTGGGCAAGGTGTCTGCACTGTGTTAATCAGCTTTGATCAAGGGGCAGGGGCATACAGTTGTGGTAATTGAGAGGGACTATCCTTGGCTATCAGGACCTTTCTGAAAGAAGGAAGAACCCAAGATGTATCTCTTGCTCCCAGATGCTTTTCCAAAACTGCAGGTTTCCCCTAACTTTACACAAAAAGCAGCAGCCCCAAGCCAAATTCTGGACATGCTCAGAATTCAGTAATGCCAAAGGTGGTCTGTTTTCCATGTTTTCCTTTCCATGACTGGGAAAGGAAAAGAAAAAGCTGGACAGGGGACTAGCCTGGACCATGAAGTCTAACCAGACGTCCTCACTTGGGGCATCCAAACACTCACTTGAAATGCCCAAGCCAGAAGGACCAACACTGCCCTGGTGTTTGCAAAAGTGCAAATATTGTCCCATGTGACAAATGTCTAAGTGCTTAAAAGCTATAAATCGAGTTATGCCCACCTCTATCTGACATTCTCAACCAGGCTTTTCCCTCTCACAAAGCTCACTTCTTTGAGTCTTGGAAGCTAAAGGAGACAGGTTCTGTTTGTGTCATTCCTTCCACCTGGATGCTTGAGTTGTCATACCCTGGTTATGCAGGGACAGGGCAGGGCAGTGCAGAAGCTGGCCTCAGGCCCAGGACTCTTGGGTGGTGACTGGATCCACCCAGTCTTGGGATAGGGACTGACTCAGTCAAGCTCTCTTTTTTGCCAGGGTGACCAGGTTACCTTCCTCACACCTTACTTTTCCAACTTAGGATCTCCAGGCATTTTTATGTGCCTCCCCAAACTACACTACCCTAACTGAAGAGCAGGGAGTGGGGAAGAGAGGGTCGGCAGGAAAGTAGTTACAGGGAATCAGTTCTGTTGAGACATGCACTTGGGTTGATTTGAGGAGATGACTTGAAATTGAAGCAACCACTCTCTCCCTGATTTCCCAGGACAGAGCTGTGATTCTGTCCCCCTACTCCCCACCCCCACCCCACTTTCACTGACAGCCTCAGGCCTCCTCCTCTAGCCTGAGGAGATGAGTTGGGTTTACACACACCCTCTTCCTCCTACCTTTCAGAAATCTTTCCTGTAAGACCCAAGAAGAAAATAACCTTTGTGTCTCAATGTGTATACTATATGAGGCCAAGGATGGGCTCTATTCTTTACTTGATCTGAGGGCAGGACTAAGAAGGACCTTAGAGATTATCTCAGAAGTTGAGTTCACAGAAAGTAAGAACCTATCAAACACCATGGAGTTGGGTCAAGAGGGCTCAGGAGCAAATTAAGAGATCCCCACAGTCCCACTGGCCAATGGTAGAAGAATCAATGAGGATTATAACTTCATTGATCTCAAACTCATTAAATATATTAAACCCATGAATTTTTAATGGTACTTAGAAAAAAAACAGCCTCATTTGTCATCTTTTGAAGGATGCTAGGAAATCAACCTATTATTTTGAAACTGACAAGGAAGGAAAACAAACAGCATTGATTCTGTCTTTTCTTTTCCAACTGTGTGTCATGATAACCAAATAGTTGATAAGAAGGCGATTTTCTTTATAGAAACATTCTAGCTAATAAATGAAGAAGAAAAGAAGCTAAGAAATGTTAGCATATCAACATTTTGCATATCGAAATTTTGCAACTCTTAATGAAATAATGGAGCTAGGCAATGATCATCAATAGCTGCTAACATCAAAAAAAGAAAGATAACTGGGCATTATGTGCCTCCTGATGGAAACACAAAAAGCTGGACCGGGTGCGGTGGCTCATGCCTGTAGCCCCAGCACTTTGGGAGGCTGAGGCAGGCGGATCACTTGAGGTTAGGAGCTCGAGACCAGTCTGGCCAACATGGCAAAACCCTGTCTCTACTAAAAATACAAAAATTAGCCAGGCATGATAGCGCATGCCTGTAATCCCAGCTATTCGGGAGGCTGAGGCAGGAGAATCGCTTGAACCAGAGCGGCAGAGGTTGCAGTGAGCCAAGATCGTGCCACTGCACTCCAGCCTGGGTGGACACAGTGAGACCCTGTCTCAAAAAAAAAAAAAAAAATTGTATGACGCCATCTGTGAAATTTGAACATGCAATTAATATTAAATGATATTTAAGGAGGCTGGGCATGGTGGCTCATGCCTGTAATCCCAGGACTTTGAGAGGCAGAGGTGGGAAGATCACTTGAGCCCAGGAATTCAAGACCAGCCTGGGCAACAAAGTGAGACACCGCTGTCTACAAAAAATAGAAAAAAAAAATTAGCTGGGGCAGGGTGGTGTGTACCTTTAGGCTGAGTTGGGAGGATGGCTTGAACCCAGGAGGTTGAGGCTACATGCCACTATACTCTAGCCTGGGTGACAGAGCTAGATATGCTAACATTTCTTAGCTTCTTTTCTTCTTAATTTATTAGCTAGAATGTTTCTATAAAGAAAATCATCTTCTTATCAACTATTTGGTTATCATGACACACAGTTGGAAAAGACAGAATCAATGCTGTTTGTTTTCCTTCCTTGTCAGTTTCAAAATAATAGGTTGATTTCCTAGCATCCTTCAAAAGATGACAAATGAGGCTTTTTTTTTTCTAAGTGTCATTAAAAATTCATGGGTTTAATATATTTAATGAGTTTGAGATCAATGAAGTTATAATCCTCATTGATTCTTCTACCATTGGCCAGTGGGACTGTGGGGATCTCTTAATTTGCTCCTGAGCCCTCTTGACCCAGCTCCATGGTGTTTGATAGGTTCTTACTCTGTCTCAAAAAAAATCATAATGATAAAAAATGATATTTAAGGAAGTATTATTAACATTTTAGGTCTGATAATGATTTTGTGGCTATATTTACATATTACTTATCTCAGAGTGACATACTGAAATATTTGTAGGTGAAATTATATAATTTCGGCACTTGCTTCAAAATGGTCTTTGGGATATTTAGAGGTCAGCTGATGGGAGCATAGAAAAGCTAGACTGGGCTTGAGGGATGATTCTTGGGGCTGGGTAATGGATGCATGGGGGTCTACTATGTGTCCTTTTCATGTGTGTGTTTGAAACATAATGAGCACTTCATGGGTGTGTGTGGTAAGAAGGCACTGTGTTAAGGATTCTAAAATGATGCATCACCATCCCTGCTCTAGAGTGACTTCAGTCTGGTTCCCAAACTCTTATCACTGAGCACCTATTTTATTTTTCTTTTCCCTCATGAGTCCTGTGTTTGGGAGATTCTCATCACCTAATAAATGTATTTATTTATTTATAAGGCAGAGTCTCACTCAGTTGCCCAGGCTGCAGTGCAGTGGTGTGATCTCGACTCACTGCAACCTCCACCTCCCAGGTTCAAGTGATTTTCGTGCCTCAGCCTCCCAAGTAGCTTGGATTACAGGCACATGCTGCCACACCCAGCTAATTTTTGTATTTTTAGTAGAGATAGGGTTTCTCCATGCTGGCCGGGCTGGTTTCAAACTCCTGGCCTCAAGTGATCTGTCCTCCTCGGCCTCCCAAAGTGCTGAGATTACAGGAATGAACCACTACGCCCAGCCAATGCATTTATTATGTAATAATTTAAAAGTACTCTTTGTGGTGTGTCCAAACATTTCTTCTTTTGTGAAGTCTTAAGGAAAGACTGGGAACCCCAAAGTGGCCCAACCTTTTAATTTTACAGAGACAGAAATTGAGGCCTAGACAGGGAGACTGCCCAGGCCACACGCATTGGCAGAGGTGAGACTGGAGTCCAGTTCTAGAACTCACTCTTCTGCTTGTCCAGTGCACCACCACTGGCTGAGCACAGATGGTGTTTTGGAGTGTGTAGCTGATCTAGTTTACAAACTAGAAACAGTCACTATATTAGCCTGTCAGCTTCTGTTTTTAAGACTCATTGATGCCAATTTCTTCAACTTTTCTTTTTAAAATTTTTTTTAAATTTTTTTTTTTTTTTTTTTTGTAGAGACAGGATTTCCCTTTGTTGTACAGGCTGGTCTCAAACTCCTGGGCTCAAGTGATCCTCCCACCACGGCCTCCCAAAATGCTGGGATTACAGGTGTGAGCCACCACGCCCAGCCCAACTTTTCTTCATAGATTTTCTTTACTTTCCACCTTCTGAGACTATCCCAAAGCTGTCTGACACATTGCCTGTGTCAATTTAAATTTTCTCTTTATGATGGGTTGCTGAGGACTTATTTTCTTCACCCCCTGTGGTGAAGAAGGGAGCTAGAAAAGAAATCAAGCACAGTGAACTCCTGGTTATCCCAGGGCAGGATGGCCAATTTTCCATCAATCATGCTGAAAACAAAACAAATGCGACTACATGATACGGGTAGAATAGCAATCAGTACATGCCACACTGGGTAACATTTTTTTTAAGACTGGTGAAGCGCAGTAGTGAGAAGGTCGGGAAGGAGTAGAACAAGGAGTATGGGCCAGGCGTGGTGGCTCACACCTGTAATCCCAGCACTTTGGGAGGCAGAGGTGGGTGGATCACGAGGTCAGCAGATCGAGACCATCCTGGCCAACACGGTGAAACTCTGATAAGCCAACCTACTTATCACCCTGCTTCCCTGACTTTCAGTGCTCGATTTCCCACCTAGAAACTCTAGTCTAATAACCACAACTACATATTATATAAGCTTAGCAAACTAAAACTAAAAATACAAAAAATTAGCTGGGCATGGTGGTGCATGCCTGTATTCTCAGCTACTTGGGAGACTGAGGCAGGAGAATCCCTTGAACAAGGGAGTCGGAAGTTGCAGTGAGCCGAGATCATGCCATCGCACTCCAGCCTGGGGTACAAGAGCAAGACTTCGTCTTAAAAACAAAAAACAAAAAACAAAAAAAGAACAAGGATTTCGATCTGTAACTGACTGAACAATCAATTGAGTTACCCCACTACCTTTGTACCAGCCCACATTGTGAAGCTTTGATGTTAGAATGTCCATCCTTTCACCAGTCCCACAGTATGTGCAGGTTGGTTTACTGAGAGATGCTTATATCTGAGTGTTTAGTGCTTTATTTTGGATGCTTATCACAAACACTTTTACTGAGATGTTTCCAGTGTTAAGTGCACCTCATTAATGTTTCACCTGCAACCTCCTCTCCCTCAGAACAATTTTCATGTCCTCCTTCCCAGCCTCTCATCAAGCTGACAAGGTAGTGTGAGCAACCAACCTCACTTGCCAACATTCTCACATGCAAGATTGAAATCTTTAAAAGCCCTTTTGGATGGTACTGTGGTCAACGCTTGTCTCCGTTGGGAATTATTTGGTTTCCTTCCTGAATTTCCATCAGGGAGAAAAAGAAGCTCAATCTGCCCATAGCAAGGACAAGAAGTAGCTTTCACAGCGCTGATTGGAATGGAAAACCAGCATCAGATCCACCTCCAAAAAAGCTTTCACTTGAAAAGGGATGTAGTTTCAGTTATTTGCTCCAATTTTTACCAAAAATCTCCTGGAAAATCCAGAGTTGCTTATATAAATTAATAAAAGAAGAAGCAAGAACTATAACTAGAGCCTCGTTTTGTCATTACTACACTCAAGGGTCACCTGAAATCTGAACTGCAACATCTCAGTTAGTTTATGAGCAGTGACTATCAGCACCATGACAGTCCCTCAGGACAGGATTCTCCACCATGCCCCAGCCTGCCCACTTGGCCTCAATTCTTTCTTCTGATATTCCCAGCCCAGGATACCTCCTATGCCAACCTACTTATCACCCTGCTGCCCTGACTTTCAGTGCTCGAATTTCTACCTAGAAACTCTAGTTTAATAATCACAACTACATATTATATAAGCTTAGCTAACTAGGCACAGAAGAGATCTCCCCCCAATTGGATAAAGACTGTTTGGTACAAAATCTAGAAAAAAGCATAATTAATGGCAAAAGATTAAAGGCATTTCCATTAAAGTTAGAACAAGATAGACAGCTATAACTGTAGTGGAGATCTTTGCTATTACAAGAGGTAAGAAATCAGAATCATTCATATAGGTGAAAGGGAGAGAGAGTTTTCTGGTTCTTCTCTGTCCTCACTGCTGACTGCTTCCCTTCCAACCTGGATTTTTACCTTTCCATCTGTGGCAAGGAGCAGATGAAAAATGGCCTGCAGCTTAAGATGCCTAAGTGATGAGAAAATGAGCATTTACTAGCCAGGCGCAGTGGCTCAAGCCTGTAATCCCAGCACTTTGGGAGGCCGAGGTGGGCAGATCTCGAGGTCAGGAGATCGAGACCATCCTGGCTAACATGGTGAAACCCCGTCTCTACTAAAAATACAAAAAATTAGCTGGGCATGGTGGCAGGCACCTGTAGTCCCAGCTACTCGGGAGGCTGAGGCAGGAGAATGGCGTGAACCTGGGAGGCAGAGCTTGCAGTGAGCCGAGATCGTGCCACTGCACTCCAGCCTGGGCGACAGAGCAAGACTCTGTCTCAAAAAAAAAAAAAGAAAATGAGCATTTACTGATTTTACTGTTACCATGTTGATTATTTCCTCTCAGCTATCTGCAGCCAAGGTAGAAGGCAGAATAGAAGGGGAGAATTTTTTTTTATGATCTTTCTGATTAGAGTTTTCATGCTATAAAGAAAGATGAGAGGAAAGAAAATAAGCAAGAGAGAATTAATTGAGCAAGAAAGACACATAAAAGAGAAAGGGAGAATGGCTATGTGGTGGATACATGAATGAGTAGTAATGAGGAAAGCGGAGAGGTAGGTGGAAAATGAAATGAGAAAATGGGAAGAAAAATAGTCAGGAAATCACCTAGAAGCTTATCATGACTGAAAAAGTGTGGAGGTGGGCCAGGCGCGGTGGCTCACACCTGTAATCCCAGCACTTTGGGAGGCTGAGGCAGGTGGATCACCTGAGGTCAGCAGTTCGAGACCAGCCTGGCCAATATGGTGAAACCCCGTCTCTGCTAAACATATAAAAATTAGCTGGGCATGGTAGTGGGTGCCTGTAATCCCAGCCATTCGGGAGGCTGAGGCAAGAGAATTGCTTGAATCCAGGAGGCGGAAGTTGCAGTGAGCCAAGATTGCACCATTGCACTCCAGCCTGGGCAACAAGAGCAAAACTCCGTATAGAAAAAAAAAAAAAAGTCTGGAGGTGTCCAAGACAGAGCTGGGGGGTTAACAGGAAGATTTTTTTTTTTTGACAGTCTGACTCTGCTGCCCAGGCTGGAATGCAATGGTGTGATCTCTGTTCACTGCAACCTCTGCCTTCCGGGTTCCAGTGATTCTCCTGCCCCAGCCTCCCTAGTAGCTGGGATTACAGACACCCGCCACCATGCCCGGCTAATTTTTGTATTTTTAGTAGAAACATGTTGGCCAGGCTGGTCTTGAACTCCTGACCTCAGGTGATCCTCCTGCCTCAGCCTCCCAAAGTGCTGGGATTACAGGCGTGAGCCACCGCACCCGGCCAACAGGAAGATTTGACTGGGAAAAATGGAGCTTATAGGGGCATGGAGAGCCATTTAGGTTAGAGGTAAAGTTTGCAGAAGCTCTGAGTCCTTAAAGCTGTGGCAGGCACTCTGCTAAAAGTGGTTTGCATTTCTTGTCTTATTTAACTCTTAGAATAACTCTGTAATATGGATGCCCTTATTTTTCCCATTGTACAGAAGAAGAAACTAAGGTTCAGAGAAAGTAAGCATTTTGCCCAGGATCAGTCTTTCAATAGCAAGTGGAGCTGAGATTCAGTTGTGCTTGGATCTGCTGACTCTAGAGCTCTGGCTGGGTTATCTCAGCTTCCCTCCTCCAAATTCTTGTCGCACCTGACCCAGTTTCTCTTCCAAGATAGGGTGTATTCAGGGTAATATGGGAGGGATTGCTATGCATTTTATGGGGACGTAACAACTTATGGATGCCAATGGGTACAAAATCCATGTCAAGTAAGGAAACTTTGGAGGAGCTGGAGTTGATTAGTCTGGATGAGAGAAAGTTGGGACATTGGATAGCTGAAGCACAGACATAGAAGAAACAATAATCTCCTGAGTTGTTCCAGAGAGATCAGTTGGTGCAAATGACAGGGAAGTGGATTATAATTCAGTCTTGGGACTGAACTTCAATTAAGGCTTTCTGAAAATGGATGAGCTGCTACATGCTGTAGAAGCTCCCCATCACCGAAAGTGTCCAAACCAAGGTCCCATCATTCATTCATTGATTCATTCATTCATTGATTCATTCATTCATTCCTACAAATTTTTGTGGAAGATCCACAATATGTTATCTCTGTTCTAGGGACTGGGGTACAAAAGGCAACAAGACAAGCACTCCTTCCTGGAGGTTTTAGTGGGGACAAACAAGGATAGAGACAAATAATTACACAAATTACTTGTAAACCATGACGTGTTCTATAAAGGAAATGAACAAGGGTCTGAGATAAGAAATAAGGGAGGGAACTGGAGTTGATCCTGTTGGTTGATGCTCTGCTGAGGTTTTCTTGAATCGCTTTTGCAGTTTTGATGTACTGGTTCCCCAGCTTCTGTGTGCTTTTATTTTTAAGGGCTGGGCACATACAGCTTTGTTCCAAGGGTAGCCCTTCAGCTACCAGAGCTCTTTGCTTACATGCACAGAAAGCCTCCTTAGCCAAGCACTCAGCTAGTCAGGTGAAGGCACGAAAGCCCAGCCCCATTATGTTTAGGAGGAACAAGTTCTGGCTGCAATTTATTCTGCAGTTTTCCTGAGGAATCAGGCTGAGGCTGGGTCTGGGCCTGAAATCCAGGCTTCCAGACTTTTCCTTGCCTGATGTATTCCACTTCCCTGTCCAGCTTTCCCTACTTTCTTACCAGTTTCTGCCTGGGGCTCTTTTTAAATAAAACACTTGCTCATGAATTTCTGTGTCAGGGTCTGCTTCTGGGAACCCAGCCTAGGATAGAGAGAGAGTCATGATCTGATTTACATTTTTAGAAAGTACCCTGGTTCCTGGGGAAGAATAGCCAGTAAGTCTATTAGGGACTAGCTGCCTATGTGTGGGGTGAAGGAGGCTTACTCTAGGAGAGTGCCAATGGTGCTAGCAGGAGAGGAGAGATCTAAGATCTTTTTTGAAGATAGAAACAAGGTTTGCTTGGGAGTGGCCGAAGGAAAGGGAGGAATCCAGGATATCCCCTAGATTAGACGAGGACATGTAGAGGTGTTTTCCACAGAAATCCCCTCATTGGTGGGAAGTAGAACTAGGTGACTTCAAAGGCCATGTATCCATTTGAAAATCCATCTGCAATGGCTGGATTCAGCAACCCAAAAAAAGGTAGGAGCTAGAGGTGGTTACACATGAGAACAAACATGAACACAGAGGACATACATATAGGCTGGCAGATAGCTTGCAAAAATCATTAAAGTTGCCCAAATTCCTTTTGAGTTATCTAATGGGGTGTTCCTATTTTCTGCTCCTACAGTGCCCCACCCACTTGAATCCAGGCATGCCTGCCTTGGTGAAATGTGCTGGGCTTTTCTCTAGGTGGGAGCGTCAGTGTGAGACTCATGCTGATCTTCTTGGCTTGGCTATCTTATGCTCTCAGTGACTACTTTTCTTTTCAAAAGAACAGGTGCTAAGCTTTATTATCACTATCATCATTATTATTGCTAGCATTTACCAAGCACTCACTAAGTGCCAAGTACTTTGCACATATAATCTCACTTAACCATCACAACAACTTTTATATTCCCCCTTCTGGGGTTGAGCCATCATGGCTTAGCCATTTGCCCAAAGCCAAATAGCCAGAGAGTGATTGAGTGGGGTTTTGAACCAGAAGTCCCATACTAGATCCCAAGTTCTCAACCAGTGTGATAAACTGACTAAAAAGAGTAAATGCTCTCAGAGGAGCCTGTGGACTTCCTCCATCTACATAAAACTCCAGCCCCTCATGGCTACTGGGCTTCAGGGCAGTAGTGCTGGGCTCTCACTTTCCCACCCTCCAGATTCTCTGAGCAGACACACCCACTGCCCACTGTCCCCACCCAGTCTGTCATCCCAGTTCTTCATAGCATCTGTCTTGCTCTGCTCCACAAAACAGGGCACCCTCTTACCACTCTGGTGTCTTTCTTAGTTCCTAGTGTACGGTACCAGCTCTTAAGGAGTCAGCACCCTGTGTGGCTTGAGAATTTCCTTAGAGGTGACTCCAAAGTGATTGTTGCAGGGCAAGTTGGATCCATTCCACCATGTTCATCAATACCTGCTTCATGTGTTTGGTAATGAGGGGAGAAGTGGTTGACAATGTCCTTGACTGCCGAGAACTCACACTTAATGTCAAACATGTCATACAGGTGACACATATCTAGAAAGGTATTTCCAGTAGCCTTATATCCCCCCTTCTCTGGAGACTTCAAGGGCCTTTTCTAGTTTAAGAGGGGATCCTCAAAGCCAGGAAAACTTCATGCCACAGGTGAAAGCCTAATAGTCTGAAAGTAAAGGATCGGTTAGCTCACTAATTTAATCCACATCGTGAAACATTCTTGTAGACTTTAAAAAAAAAAAAAGAAGAAAAATCCTGAATTACGTAGTTTCATACTATGTTGTTAAGTGGAAAAGAAAGGCAATATAATATTTTGCACACTATGATCCCATTTACATGAAAAAAGTAAATCGTGTGTATGGTTAATAGTGATTATCTTGAAATAGTGAAGTTTCTGATGATTTTTGTTTTCTTCATTGTGGTTGGCTTTCAATTTTTGATTTAAAAAATAAATGATTCAGGAGCCTATCTGAAAAGACACACTGTGTGATTCCAAGTATGTGACATTCTGGAAAAGGCAAAACTGGAGAAAGTGGAAAGATCAGTGGTTTCCAGGTGTTTGGGTGGAAGGAGGGATGAATAGGTGGCACACGGAGGATTTTTAGGGCAGTGAAACTACTCTGTATGACACTCTTATAGTGGATCTATGTCATTATACATTTGTCAAAATCCATAGAATGCATAATACAAAGAGTGAATCCTAATGAAAACTGTGGACTTTAGCTAATAATAAGGTATCAGTATTGGCTCATCGGTTGTAACAAATGACCCACAGTAATGCAAGATGGTAATAATAGAGGAAACTGTGAGGTGGGAATTTAAGAAGAAACTCCCTGTACTTTCTGCTCAACTTTTCTGTAAACCTAAAACTTCTCTAAAAAATGAATACTACTAATTTAAAAAATAATGATGTCTATATTTCAAACATGCAGAAAAATACAGACTATAAAGAACACATTTATTCATCACAGATTTAATACATTTTAAGGTTTTGCTATATTTGTTTTAAATCCTTTTAAAAGAAATAGCAGGCTGGGCGCAGTGGCTCACACCTGTCATCCCAGCATTTTGGGAAGCCAGGGTGGAGGATCTCTTGAACTCAGGAGTTCAAAACTAGCCTGGGCAACATGGCGAAACCCTGTCTCTACAAAAAATACAAAAATTAACCTGGCGTGGTGGTGCATGCCTGTAACCCCAGCTACTCAGGAAGCTGAGGTGGGAGGATGGCTTGAGACTAGCAGGCAGAGGTTGCAGTGAGCCAAGGTCATGCTACTGTACTCCAGCCTGAGAGATAGAGCCAGACCTTGTTTCAAAAAAAAAAAAAAAACCCAAAAAACAAATTATAGAAACAATCAAAGCTCCTTTATACTCCTCCTTAATTTCAACCTGTTTCCTCTTTCCCTGCAGAAAATTTTTCCCATACATTTTCTATACTTTTTTTTTTTTTTTTTTTTTTTTGAGACAGAGTCTCGCTCTGTCGCCCAGGCTGGAGTGCAGTGGCGCAATCTCGGCTTACCGCAAGCTCCACCTCCCAGGTTCATGCCATTCTCCTGCCTCAGCCTCCCAAGTAGCTAGGACTACAGGCGCCCGCCACCACGCCCGGCTAATATTTTTGTATTTTTAGTAGAGACAGGGTTTCACTGTGTTAGTCAGGATGGTCTCGATCTCCTGACCTCATGATCCGCCTGCCTTGGCTTTCCAAAGTGCTAGGATTACAGGCGTGAGCCACTGTGCAGGCCTCTATACTTTTTACATGTAAGTCAACATAAACAATGTATAATATTGTTTCAGATTTTTTTTTTTTTTTGAGATAGAGTTGCCATTTTGCCCAGGCTGGAGTGCAGTGGCACAATCATGGCTCACTGCAGCCTCTGTCTCTCAGGCTAAAGCAATCCTCCCACCTCAGCCTCTGGAGTAGCTGTGACTACACCAGCTAAATTTTATATTTTGGTAGAGACAGAGTTTTGCCATGTTGCCCAGGCTGATCTCAAACTCCTGGGCTCAAGCGATCCATAGGCCTTGGCCTTGAAAAGTGCTGGGACTACAGATGTGAGCCACTGCTTCTGGCATTAGAGCTTTTAACTTCTCAAAAATGACATTGAATTATATATTAATACCTGGCTCTGCAAATTACCTTTTTATTAACCTTATATTAACAATTATTTGTGTTGCTACATGAAGCTCTAGTTTATTCATTTTAACGGCTATATAGTATTCCATTTCATAAAAATACTACAGAAAAAGGTTTTAAAATAATGTTTTGTGGTTTTTTTTGTTACCTTCTTCCCCTGAAATACCACAGTAAAATAATGTTTTGGAATATATCTTAACAATATGAGGAAATATGATATTAAATGAAATAAACAAGATGTAGAATGTTATTTACAGTATGACACAAAACACATATATGCAAAGTAAAATACTATAACAACAAATTATAAAATGTTAGCAAGCAATGCTTTTTTTTTTTGAGACAGAGCTTTGCTTTTGTTGCCCAGACTGGAGTGCAATGGTGCGATCTCGGATCACTGCAACCTCTGCCTCCCAGATTCAAGTGATCCTCCTGCCTCAGCCTCGCGAGTAGCTGGGACTACTGGCGTGCACCACCACACTCGGCTAATTTTTTGGTATTTTTAGTAGAAACGGGGTTTCACCATGTTGGCCAGGCTGGTCTCGAACTCCTGACCTCAGGTGATCCAGTCACCTTGGGCTCCCAAAGTGTTAGGATTATAGGCATAAGCCACTGTGCCCGGCCACTTTTTTTTTTTTTTTTTTTTTTTTTTTTTTTTATACAGGGTCTTGCCCTGTTGCCCAGGCTATAGTGCAGGGCACTAGCATGGTTCACTGCAGCCTTGAACTCCTGGGCTGAAGAGATCCTTCCATCTCAGCCTCCTGAGTAGCTGAGGCTGCAGGTGCATGTCACCATGCCTGGCTATTTACTTTTATTTACTTCTATAGAGACAGACAGGGTCTCACTGTGCTGCCTGGGCTGGTCCTCAATGCCTGGCCTCAAGCCATCCTTCCACCTTGGCCTCTCAAAGTGCCGAGATTACAGGTATAAGCCACCATACCAGCAACAATGCTATTTTTGGATTGTGGGATTATAGACACTTTCCCATATTTCCTAAACCTTGTACAATGAATAAGCATTGATTTTATAATTTCTTAAAAGTTACAAATAAAAGCATGCAGTACTACTGAAACTGGAGTTTGAGCTATGTAATCTGTGAAATTATCACGTCCCTCTTCACCACCATTGGCAGAGCCCCTCCATAATCTCTAAATAGCCCCACCCTACTTCTGCCCAGGGGTCTCTCAGGGGCAGCAGCTGCCTCTACAGTTCCCATATCTCCCTGGTCTCTCTGTGGCACTTTGGGTTGGTTTTTCTGATGCCTGATACCCGCAGCACAATTGCAGGATTGGCTATAATTATGCCTGCAGTGATATTATGGGATTGGATATAAATATTCTTGCTACATGTGAACAGGGTTTATTTCTGTCCACAGTTTACCATCTGGTTGCAGCACACCCTTTTCTAGCTGGGACAGAGGGAGAAGAGCACTTTTCAATCCAGAGGTGAAACGGGAGTTGGATTAGAGGTTTTAAGTAATCAGCTTCTGAAAAATCATCTCAACATGTGTGATGCTGATGGGGCCATCGTGTCAGGAATCACAGGAAAGAGGCAGAAGTTCGTATCAGGTTTATATTGCACCTAACGTAGAGCGGACAGGCAAAGAGATCTCCATTTTTGTCCCTGCTCTGAGCTCGGCATAAAGCTCAGTCAGGCTGGCTCAGACCTTCCTAAGTCACAGTGCTCCTGTGGAGGTGACGCTCCCCTGTGCACAGAGGTATCCACATCTCAACCTTCTGTCTTGATCTCCCTCTCCAGGTCAAGTCCTACATTTTCTCCTGCCTGCTGGATAGTTCCATCTGCCCGCCCTGCTGTACCGTCAAACTAGATTCGGAATTATTTGTTCTTAGATGCCCAAACTAGTTCTTTCTCCTGACTTTGCTATTTCTCTTAACAGCAACACCATGGTCTTTGGTCACCTTCAGCTAGGACCTGGTATTCCAGCAGAAGGCAAGCCGTGCCACACCTTCCTTGATGAACTTAGTGGCTGATCTAGTAGAGTTCCTGGTTGTCAGTGATTAACAAATGCTTGTTGGATGAATGAATGAGTTGATGAATGAAATGTCTCTTCCTTTCCATTCCTCATCGTCACCTCCCTCATTCCAGCCCTTATTACTTCACACATGGACCATTGCAGCAACCTCTCAACTGGTTGTTCTGCCTCTGATCTTTCTCAGCTCCAGTTCCTCCTGCTCCTGCCACGAGGCAGGTTGTCCTTATGTATGACCTGCATCTCACCAGTTCCCTGTTTAAAAACCTTGGTGACTCCTCACCGGCTACCACATAAATTCAAAGTCATGAGCTTAGCTTTCAAAGCCACTGCACTCCAGCCCCAATTAATATCTCTAGCGTGTGACTAAAATTACTCACATTCCTGACCCTGTTTCTATTCTCACACATCTTTCACTTGACCATCTCTGTGGCTACGCTCAGGCCATTCTCTTAGTTTGAACTGATGTTGCCATTTCCATCTGTTCTCCAAACCTTCCCATCTTTCAGAACCCAGCTTACATTCCTTCCCTTCCACCAAGTTTGCTCAGGTTATCCCACCCCTGAATTCTTGGCCTAGGACTTACTGTCTATGCTATTGTTGGAAAATTAATCATGTTCTGCCTTGTGCCATGTTTAAATAAACTTATTGTTTATTCCTTGTTTTTGTTTTACCCTTTTCTATGCTTGTCTTAGTTTTCTAACTAGATCATACAATCCTTGCAGGGGAGACTGTGCTGTCTTAGGGACATTTTTGTTTGGGTGCTTTTGTGCTTTATCCATCCCCTCCTCCATGTCCATTTCCCACCGTGACGTGTGACCTGGACCAGACATTCATAGTACCCAATCCCCTTGTCACATTGATTATTCCAGGGATGACTCATCATGGTCCATGATCCCAACTCATCCAACCCTGGTCTTTTCCCAGTATTTGTCTCATTGAAGCTAGTGGGGAAAGACATCTCACCTCTGGGTTCCCAGAAGTGGAAAAGTATGAATCTGGGACCACCAAGTTCGCCTTCAAGTGGAAAAAGGTGGAGGTATCCTGGATTGCAGTAGGAGAGGATAGGGCCAACACCCAAAGAAAGGCAGTCAGAACTGAAAAGAGAGAGCTCTGACAATGGCTCTTGGATTGCTGGATCAGATTTTGCCTAAAGCTGGATTTACCCTTAACATTTTAATTACCAAGCCAGCAAATATCCTATAGAGGCTAATACACCTTACTGAATGAAAAAAAAGGGGGGGGGGCTTTTTAAGTTGATTACATATGTGCCATTTTATTACTTTATGTATTTTTATTAAAATTTTCTGAGGATAAGTGTGCTGTTAATAATTTTAGACAGTTTTGAGTGCAGAAAAGTTTAAAGAAAAAAACGATAATCATCCATATCCCCACCAGCCAAAGTTACTGCTGTCTACATTTGGCATGCTTTTTAAAATTTAATCCTTTTTTCTATGTATATTTTTTGTAAAGCAATGTCATTGTACTGTATGTTTGGTTTTATATTCTGCTTTTCTTTCTAATCACTATATTGTAAGTAGTTCAGCATTCACTGTTTTATAAACTAGTCTTCAAGTTGTTTATGTTTTTCTCTTAAAACTGTTTTTATTTTTTTTAACATTTGAAGAAGGGGCTAAGATGAGAGAGAGAGGGAGGGAGGGAGGGAGGGATTGAGGGAAAGATGAGACAGTTGCCAAGGAGAATACGTGAGAGAGAGAAAGAAAAGAAAGCAGAGATGACCCTTGTTTGCTTTCTTAGAAGTCCGTATTTTATGCTGTCTGGTTCCAGAGAAGATTTAAGGTACTATTGTCCTTGTAGCCTTAGAACAGCTCTCCGGTTTCTTTTTCAGTGGTGGTGGCTGCAGTGGCGGCTGTTGTTCCGAGTGTCTGTCCCCCTGAGGCTGAGCCAGAGCCGGCTTCTGCAGGCTGCAATTCAAGATGGCCAATTCGCAATCCTAGCAAAATCAATCTATTGGAAACTAATGAGGCACAAATAGTTCATGCACTTTGAGGCTGATCTGCCAAATGAGATAAACAGGGCTCAATCAGCAGGGAAAATCAGTGATGCAAAAATTCATTTCAATCTAGCATTATTTCCCCCTGGGATGCCCACGACATCACATTCTATTGTTTTGATGCTTCTGTGGCAATTCTTGTCTAAGCTTCTGTAGACCAGGCCAGGAGAACTCCCTCACTCAGGGTTTTATGCTTCCAGAGGCTGGTAAATGCCAAGATTTGATGGCTAAGACTGGGAGGTCTGGGCAGCCAATATGTGCAAGAAGCAAAGATTTTCTGTTTTGTAAACAACACTAACCTCTGTTTCTAAACCATTTTCTGTATTAGGCAATGTGATTAGCAAATAATATGATTATGAACTTTGTAAAAGAGCAAATCACAAAAGTATTATACAATTAATTCACATTTATAACACATATAGAGTAATATTTTTAAAATCCTATCATTTTTGTGCCACTAAGTTTATTTTTCCTTAAATGTTATACTAGCAAGATATGATCATTGCAAAAAATTTAAAAAGTACTGATGAGCAAAAATAAAAAAATTAAGTCATCTGTATTTTTTTATTTTTTATTTTTGGAGACAGAATCTTGCTCTGTCACCCAGGCTGGAGTGCAGTGGTGCAATCTCGGCTCACTGCAACCTCCACCTCCCAGGTTTAAGTGATTCTTGTGCCTCAGCCTCCCAAGTAGCTGTGATTACAGGCATGCACCACTACAGCCGGCTAACGTTTGTATTTTTAGCAGAGACATGGGTTTCACCAGGTTGGCCAGGCTGGTCTTGAACTCCCGAGTTCAGACAATCTGCCCTCCTTGGCCTCCCAAAGTACTAGGATTATAGGTGTGAGCCACCGCACCCGGCCTCTATTATATGTATTTTTAGAAATAGAGTTCTGCTCTCTTTCCCAGGCTGGGGTGCAGTGGTACAATCATAGCTCACTGCAGCCTTGCACTCCTGGGCTCAAGCAATCCTCCCACTCAGCCTCCCAAAGAGTTGGGACTACAGGCTTGTGCAACTATGCCTGGCCAATTTTTTTTTTTTTTTTTTTTGTAGGCACAGGGTCTTGCTATATTGTCATGCTAGTCTTGAATTCCCTGCCTCAAGTAATCCTCCACCCTCAGTCTCCTAAGGCGCTAGGGTTACAGGTGTAAGCCACCACACCTAGCCCCTCATCTCTATTAAATTTCATTTATGCTTGCCAAATTTCTTTCCATGCAGAATTATTTAAAAAATAAGATCATGTGATTCATGCTGTTGTATAACCTACTTAAAAAAATTGTAAAATATTGGAGTTGCCTATTCTATAATAAAGAGGCCTTTTCTGCTGTCATAATGTTGCTTGGATGGGTAAAGCCTCTGTGGATGCCCTGTGTGTTCAGAAGCCCACTTGCTTCTTCAGAGGCCTGATTAGAATAGATGGTTTGGCTCAGAAAAGTGGGGAAGGAATCAGGAAACACCAAGTCTGATCCTAGATAAGGAGTGTCCTGCTGAAACTGGGTCCCAGGCAAGGAGCTAAGTCTGACAGGCCTAATCAGTCAGCTAGCTCCACCACAACCACTGGGGATAAATGTCCACCCACTTTCCCCTATGGGGTCATCAGGTGAAACCCAAGGATGGCCAGCAAACTGAGGTTTGAGATCCAAGGCCCAGCCTAACAGAGAAGATGCAGGGTGAGGCCATGCTGGGGTCCTGTAGAACCTGTGGGGAATGTGAAATCATTGACCCATCACAGATCCTTTCCTTGAGAGTGAAGACTGAATCAATTTGTACTAGCCTCAGTGCCCGGTAGAGGAGAAATTCAGTAAATATTTGTAGAATACAGGAATGATTGTTTTACTTCTTCCTAATTATCCTTCTAGTTTTGGCTCAGATATTATCTCCTCCAGGAAGGAAGGCTTCCCTAAGCAACCACCCCTTTATTCATCATTTCTACCCTCATTCTTGGATAAATGCTCTCCACTGAGACTCATACAACTCAACAGTCAAAAGACGAATAATCCAGCTAAAAAGGCAAAAGATTTGAATGGACATATCTTCAGAGAAGATATACAAGTGGCCAATAAGTATATGAAAAGATGCTCAACAACATTGATCATTAGAGAAATGCAAATCAAAACCACAATAAGAAGCCAGGCAGGGTGGTGAGTGCTTGTAGTCCCAACTACTCCGAAGGCTGAGGCGGGAGGATCACTTGAGGCCAGGAGTTTGAGATTGCAATGTGCTATGATTACATCTGTGAATAGCTATTGCACTCCAACCTAGGCAGCATAGAGAGACCCTGTCTCTAATAAAAATAAAAGAAAAATAAAAAAGATACAAACCAACCAGAATGAGATACCACTTTATACCTGCTGAGATGACTATAATAAAAATTACACACAATAACAAGTATTGGTGGGGATTTGGAGAAATTGCAACTCATACATTGCTGGCGTGAATGTAAAATGGTGCAGCTGCTTTGGAAAACAGTCTGGCAGTTCTTCCAAAACTTAAACATAGAGTTCGCATATGAGCCAACAACTCTACTCCTAGGTATACACACAAGAAACTTGAAAACATATGTTCATACAAAAACTTGTACATAAATGTTCATAGCAGCATTATTCATAGCAGCCAAAAAGTAGAAACAACCCCAAATGTCTATCAGCTGAGGAACGGATAAATAAATTGTGGTATATATGTACAATGGAATATTATTCAGCCATAAAAAGGGGCAAAATGCTGATACATGCTACAACAAGGATGAACCTTGAAAACATTATGCTAAATGAATGAGGCCAGATGCAAAAGGCCACATATAGTATGGTTCCATTTATATGAGATGTCCAGAATAGGCAAATCTATAGAGATGGAAAGTACATTAGTTATCACCAGGGATTAGGGGAGAAGGAAAATGGGGAGTGACTGCTAATAGATATAACTTTTTGTGCATGTGGTGATGAAATACTCTAGAATTTCATTGTGGTGATGGTTGCACAATCTTATGACTATACTAAAAACTGCTGGATTATACACTTTAAAAAGATAAATTTCATGTATGTGAATTGTATCTCAAAGAAAGAGAAGAGTCTGTTTATCACATTGTCTTGTGATTGACTGTATATTTGTTGGTCTTTTCACTCAATTGTGTCTTCAGGATAGGGTCCTTATTTTCTGGTTCTCCAACACTGAGACCTGGAACACAATAGGCCCATGATGTTGGTTAACTGAACAGTTTGAGAGTTCTCTTTCTACAATCCCAGGGCCACCTGTCTGGCTGCTCCCCACCCTCTGAGAACTATTTGGGAGTTAACAGCCCTAGTCCGGGTATAACATCCTCTGGAATCAAAAAGTAGGCCCCATCTACCCAGCAGCCTATGGTTTGTATACCAACTGGGGGAACCACGTTGTTTAACGTATTGAGCCTTGTCAATAGAGGCCACACCAAGCCCAAGTAAAGGGGCTGCCACTGACCCCTTGGGAGTCCTTACTTTGCTCCTGTTGGAGGATTCACTGTGAATAACACTTCTTCTCTGGAGGAGGCAGCTTGGGCTGCAACAGGTTCTGGAAACCTGGTTCTAGCATGCTCTCTGTTTCTGCTCTACTTCTCCTTCAAGGTCAAATGAAGAAGTCCTTGGTTCTTTTGGCCTAAGGGAGGAGATAGGTATGTCTGTCCCATTCTCCCATCTACAAAGTCCAGTTGCCCTCACTCCCTTTGGCTGTAGGACATGGTTCTTTCAGAATATCTATTTTTTACAAACTGAGCCACAGAAACAGGTAGGTCATGCAAGCATGGCTTAGATTTGTCCATTTAAAGAGGGTTCCAAACATCCCTGGAAACAGAGGACTTTCCCAGGCCTCCTCTGAGAGACAGCCTATGTACACTTGAATGAACCACTTGGTTCAGACAGTTGGGTGAGCAGGTGGTAAGATCCCTATGGGGCATGGCCAGGTGACCAGAGATGGTTACTAAACTGCCCTTCAAGAAAGTGGGTCGAGGTAACTCAAGGTTTAGGCTTTGCTGAGAGGGGGCAGGCAAAGCAAGTTCGGGGACAGGACAGACTTGCTGAGGTAATGGAGAAGGGGTTGATACCCAATGCGCAGTCCAGCCACCTTCACTTCTGCCCTCCTCCACTCCCCCCAGCACTCTGCATCTCCACTTGAGAAACGCTGAAGAAGTGGAATTAGCCTTCCCAGGGCACCCCTGTGACTTGATTTGGTCCTGTGTAATGAGTTCCCTCAGTGAACTGTTCCAATCACCTCTGACAAGCTTCCAGCAGCTTCCAGAACATCAGTTATTCTGTTAACACCATTGTCGTTGATTTTTTAACCTTGTTAGGGTTATATTAGTGAGCCTAGTTGCTCTGTTTCTGAAGCTGCAGTTTTTTTCTCTCAGTCCATCAAGATGATCTCACTTTCTCTGGCTCTCTCCCAATTTCCCTGTGCCACCTTCTTCTTCCTCCTCTCTCTCTCCTTATTCCTCTTTCCTGGCACCTCTCCTCATCTCTTCAGTCTCAATCACAATGCCTCTCTTAGAGTTATCAGCTGTATCCTCCAACCTAAAAATGGTTTTCTCAAGTAAACACTTCATTAATGTAATTACTTTAGAGTAGGAAGCCTTCTAAGGTAAACTCAGCATGTTCTAACCAATAAATCCCCTGCCCCAGTCAGAAAAAAAAACTGATCTCTCAGCAGCTGCCTTCAGATTGGCACCTTGTGTTACCCTCTCCCAAACCCCAACCTTCCATTGACACAGTAGAAGTTGACAGAAGTGTATTCTGTACTTGTAATTTCTCTCAAAGGTCCATTGAGGTCAACTTCCTTCTTTCCCCTTCCCTCTTTCCTTCCTTCCTTCCTCCCCTCCCCTCTCCTCCCTTCTTGTCCCCTCCCCTCTGCTCCCCCCTCCCCTCTCCTCTCCCCTCCCCTCTTTTCTCCTCCCCTCCCATCCCCTCCCTCCCTTCCTTCCTTCTTTTCTTCTTCTTTTTTACAGGATTTTGCTTGCCTGCCTGCCTGCCTGCCATCCTTCTTCCCTCCCTCCCTCCCTCTCTCCCTCCCTCCCTCTTTTCTTCTTTTTTTAAAGGATTTTGCTCTGTTGCCCAGGCTGGAGTGCAGCGATGTGATCATGGCTCACTGGAGGCTGGAACTTCTGGGCTCAAGGTATCCTCCTGTCTGAGCCTCCCGAGTAGCTAGGACTACAGGTACACACTACCATGCCCAGCTAATATCTATGTATTTTTTTTTTTGAGACACAGTCTCACTCTGTTGCCCAGGCTGGAGTGCAGTGGCACGATCTCGGCTTACTGCAACCTCCATTTCCTGGGTTCAAGCAATTCTCTTTCCTCAGCCTCCCGAGTAGCTGGGATTACAGGCACCTGCCACAACACCTGCATAATTTTTGTATTTTTAGTAGAGGTGGGGTTTCGCTGTGTTGGCCAGGCTGGTCTCATCTCAAACTCCTAGCCTCAAGTGATTCACCCGCCTCACCCTCCCAAAGTGCTGAGATTATAAGTGTGAGCCACCATGCCTGGCCTTGCCCAGTTAATTTTTAAAAATTTATTTGTGGAGATAGAGTCTTGCTATGTTGCCCAGGCTGGTCTCAAACTCCTGGCCTCAAGTGATCCTCCTGCCTCAGCCTCCCAAAGCACTGAGATTATAGGAATGAGCCACTGTGCCTGGTCAGGCCAACATTTTAAATGTCTTTATTTTGACTATCTAATAGCATAAAATAATCTCCAAGCCAAACCTTGGATATTTGGTCAAATACAGTACAATATTTGGGGTGCTATTATGTGTACAAGTTTTCTCCCAAGCAACAACACAAGACACACTGGAGCAAGTGTTTTTATTTTTATTACCTTTTAGATACAGCATCTTGCTCTGTTATCCAGGCTGGAGTGCA
This sequence comes from Homo sapiens, assembly GCF_000001405.40. NCBI lineage: Eukaryota > Metazoa > Chordata > Mammalia > Primates > Hominidae > Homo > Homo sapiens. Next base: position 95,566,657 of record NC_000010.11, on the reverse strand, counting down.
GTGGTGCAATCATAGCTCACTATAACCTCAAACTCCTAGGATCAAGTGACCTCCCAACTCAGCCTCCCAAAGCACTGGGATTACAGGCGCGCACCAGTGTGCCAGCCAGAGCCAGTGTTTATAGATTGATAAACAGAGGCCCTGTGACCAGAGTCCTGGGGTTACTCATACTCATCCTATCCCTGCTTCCCAAGCACAGCAATCCCTCCTACTCCTCTGGGTTTCTACCTGGCCCCATAGACTTCTCTTGATCAACCTCCACCATTTCACCAAACTTCCCTAAAGCATTGTCCACCAGCATTGACCTCTAAGGAATGTGGAATTCTTGGCTCGGGCGTTCCATCATCTTCAAATCAGTTCCGTGCCCTGAGGCACGCGTTTGTAGATTTACTTTTTTCTCAGTAATTAATCAGTAAGAAACAAGACAATCAGTTATTAAGGAGTTTTGCTCTTTCCACTACTTGCTTCGCTTTCTGTAAGATGCTACAGAAGGCATTAGACAAAAATCATCAAGGGGTGTTTGGTGATACAGCAGCAAAACTCTTTGATTCATAACTCTCTTTCTCTCATTTGGTTTTCTTCTTTTCTCCTGGCATTCTCCAGCACGGCATCTCTGAAAATGACTATGGTCAATATTTCGGGTAACTGGGAAAACAACTTACCAAAACCAACGTGTTCTAAGAAGTTGTCTTTCTCAACACTGCCTCCTAGTAATGTTAAAATAATATTCACTTATTGATGCTTATGTGTGTCAGGCAGTGTGTAGGCACTATCCATGCACGATCTCATCTTCAGCTTGCAAGTAAACCTATGGAGGGTTGTGTTTTCTCCAGGTTACAGATGAGAGAAGTCTGCACACTAGGCACTGGAGCTAGGATTCTGCCAGGTGTCTCTGGAGCCCGCAGCCTTAACTGTTATGCTACTGCCAGCTCCAGGGCCTCTAGTTTATTTCCCTCTCTCCCAATCTGTGTGGCTCTGAAGATGAAGTAAAGGCTGACGACTCTGGGCTGTCCTCTGAAAAATCCTGCTCCCTCCTTTCCTAATTCCTCACACTTATGACCTGCTTGGGGATGCGTCCCACAGCATGTTTATGATCCTGGTTTGTGTGCATGACTCTCCGCCTGATATTTTAAATTCTCTCCAACAGCGGAAGGACTGCTGGGAATAATCTGATACACATGAAGAGAAAACGAGGAGTTACTAATAAGATTAAATTAAACTTAAGCACATTTTAAACAGCGTGTAAAACACAGGACTAAGCACTGTTTGAGATGAGCAGACACAAGGCACGACCTCATGGAATTTACAATCTGCTGGGGAGAGGAAATGAGGGATAAGACTACACACAAATATACAGGAGTTTATGCCAAATATGGCAAGTTCCATGAGAAAGGAAGAAATGAAGCACTGTAGGGCTGGAAGGCAGGAGTCCTCCCGTTTCCCTGTGGACCCAGGTTTAAGAGAAACGGTGGAGACTGAGACTGGAGAACAGGAAGTTTTACTGTTTTACTCAAGGGTCAGTCACTGATGCACTGACAAGGCCTCAAGGTTCACCCTCCCCAGGACAAGTTACATAATTTACAGGGCTCAGTTCAAAAATTAAAGGCAGGGCCCTTTGTTCAAAAATGAAGAATTTCAAGATGGTGACAGCAGAGCATGTAATCAAGTGTGGGGCCCTCCTCAGCACAGGTTGCATCCACACAGGGCTGGCCCTGCCCAAACGAACCTCCCTGGGCCTCTGATTCCCTAGGGCTCACCTTTGGGAAGTAGGGAGCAAGTATCTCTCTCACCACCTTGTAGCCAGCACCTAGCTCAGGGCCTGCTGCCCAGATGAATCTATGAATGACTGGAGATAGGATGAACTGACACGATTACACCTGATGATTTCTTGGGTTGCTTTCAGCGTTAAAACATTGAAGGACTGGCCAGGTGTGGTGGCTCACGCCTGTAATCCCAGCACTTGGGGAGGCTGAGGGGGGCAGATCGCTTGAGTCCAGGAGTTTGAGACCAGCCTGGCAAAATGGTGAAACTCTGTCTCTACCAAAAATACACAAAATTAGCTGGCCACAGTGGCCCATGTCTGTAGTCCCAGCTACTTGGGAGGGTGAGGCAGGAGGATCCCTTGAGCCCAGAAGATCAAGGCTGCAGTGAGCCGAGATTGCGCCATTGCATTCCAGCCTGGGTGACAGGAATGAGTGAAACCCTGTTTCAAAAACAGAAACAAAAACAAAAACCCAACCCATCGAAAGACCGTGACTTTCAACATTTCTTGGAGGAGACACCTGAGATGAGTCCTGAAGGACAGTAGGATTTTTCTTTTCTTTTCTTTTTTTGAGATGGAGTCTCGCTCTGTCGCCAGGCTGGAGTGCAGTGGTGTGGTCTTGGCTCACTGCAACCTCCACCTCCTGGGTTCAAGCGATTCTCCTGCCTCAGCCTCCCGAGTAGCTGAGATTACAGGTGCGTGCCACCACGCCTGGCTAATTTTTTGTATTTTTAGTAGAGATGGGGTTTCACCATGTTGGCCAGGCTGGTCTCGAACTCCTGACCTCGTGATCCGCCTGCCTCGGCCTCCCAAAGTGCTGGGATTACTGGCGTGAGCCACTGCGCCTGGCCACCAGTAGGATTTTTCTTTCTGTTTTTTCCACTTTCCTTCTTTCTTGACTTTCCACTATTTTACCATTTCTTTCATAAATCCTAATGGCAATGTTATGCCTTACAGTGAGACATGCAACAGTGACACAGACTGGAAACAGCAGAGAGGTTCAATATTTGAGGGATGACCTGAAGCCTTAGGCCTCCCTTAAGATTCCTTGAGATAGTGTAGATGAAATCTTCATTGATAGAGTCTGGTTTTTCATCTTAAAATTATTTTATTTTCACTGGACAAGTTGGTAGATGTTTATGAAGAAAAAAATCAGAAGACTATGGATGAGCAAAAATAATTACTTGCAATCCCATAAGAATAGTTCTAATGGGATTGCAGTATAAAACTAGTTTTCTACCTATTTTTCCATTCAATAATCTGAGCATCTTTTTTTTTTTTCTTTTTTTTGAGATGGAGTCTTATTCTGTTGCCCAGGCTGTAGTGCAGTGGCACGATCTTGGCTCACTGCAACCTCCGCCTCCCAGGCTCAGGCAATTCTCCTGCCTCAGCCTCCCACAGGTGCACGCCACCATGCCCAGCTAATTTTGGATTCTTTAGTAGAGATGGGGTTTCACCATGTTTCCCAGGCTGGTCTCAAACTCCTGAGCTCAGGTGATCCACCGCTGCCCACCTTGGCCTCCTAGAGTGCTGGGATTACAGGCGTGAGCCACCACTCCCAGCCTATTATGAGCATCTTTATGTGTCAATAAACCTCTTCATTTTTTGTAGCTATTAATATATGATATTCTGTCATATGGTTGTACTATTATTAACCAATGCACTCAAATTGGATATTTGGATTGTTTTGATTTTTTTTTTTTTTGGCTATTCTAAAATGGTGTTGCCCTGAATTTGCTGGGTAAGTAACTAGTCTCTCTACCCTTTGTTATACACCTCTGTGGATAACCTCAGGATAACGACACTATTCCCACCTGGGGTCGTGTGGTGGATGTGAGTTAACGCATGTAAAGCTCTTAGCACAAGTATAGTACGGTGCATAGCAGCCTAGACGTGCTCAATAAATACTAGCTGTTTTATTACTTTATAGCCCAGAGAGAGCTGTCTTACACAGATTGTGGAGTAAATAAATAGGAGAGCCGGGGAAGTGTTCTTTGAAAAGCTGCAGGATGAGGTGCAGATAGGGGAAGGCCGTGGGCTGGGGGCTCCCTAGGTTGAGTAGTTCCCCAGTGTTTTCTCATTTATAGAGTAAGCTTCCAGATGGCTAGGACTCTTCTTTTTTTTTTTAATACACAGCAGAGGACACCAGGTGGTCACCAAAGACTTGTCACCGTTCCCTGACATCTAAGAATCTTTGCTGATGAGTTTCCGATCAGTCTGTGCAGTTATCAAGGCCAGTCTTTACCCTGCCACCCACAGCCTGTTCACTGAGAATGTGCTCTGGCTGAAGATGCTTGCAAGGGCAGCTGACAAAAATCAGTTGTGCTCAGCCCAAAGGGCGAGTGTCTTATCTTCAGGGATGTGGGAAGCTGGGCATGGAGGGAGCAAGTTCCAGACCAGTACTTGCTGGCTCTGCGACCTTGGGCCAGCAGATTCCCCACTCTGATCCCTGTCTCTGTTTCCTTTTCTGTAACTCTGAGGGGGACTAGAGGAGGTCAGGAGAATGGCATAGCACAGTGGTTAGCTCTGAACCCCATCTAACACGGTGCCTTCCCCCCACTTGCAATGACCTTGTTGCATTGTATGCACTCTACTTTTCACATTGTAGAGGATCTTATTTATTTACTTGTCTCCACTAAAATGGAAGCTTCCTAAGGGAAAAGGCCTTGCCTGTCTTGTTCTCTGCAGTTAACACTGGGGTCCAGCACTGCCACAGAGCCTCTAAATATATGTGTGTTGCATGAGTGAAATCTCAGAGCCTGGGTTCAAATCCTGGTTGCACCACTTGCTGTGTGACCTCGGACAAGCCACTTAAACTACACCTCAGTTTTCCTGCATAAAAATAGTAATTATTTTCAGTTTTCTCACTAGAAAAATATGGATTAGTAATCGTTCCTCTCTTATCAGGCTAAGAGGATCAAATGAGGAAATATCCGGGAAGCATTAAGCACACTGGCTGGTACAGAGCACACGAATGACAACAGCAAACGTTTATGTAGCACGACGGCCAGGAACTGATCAAAATGCATCACCTATGTTAACTATGTTAATCTTCACTAGATTTTACGAAGTCGGACTATTATGCCATTTTACAGATGGGTAAACTGAGGCCCAGGAGTTAAATAACTTATCACTGTTATTTTACGTCTAAGGTTCCTTCCAAGCTCCCCGTGGGCGACCCTTCCGAAGGACCAGAAGGCGCGCCAGGCCAGCGTCCGGCCCGGCCAGGACGGAAAGGGTTACTAGGCCCGCGCGCCCGTTACCGGCGGAGGCCGGCGGGCTCACAATGCCAGGAGCCGGGCGCCGGACACTTCTTCGCCTCCCATCCGCGCACACGCCCCTTCCTGTCACGGCTGGGCCCGGCCCCGCCCCCGGCACCGCCCGCTGGCCGGGCGCTGCCAGAGTGGACGGTTCCAGAGGCATGCTAATGAGGGGGCGGGCACCGCAGCCCATTGGTTGTCCGCGGAGTGTCGGTGAAGTCAGCGCTGAGTCCCAGAAAAACAGAGCGGGGCCAGCTGCAGCGTGTAGTGCGAGTGGGGCGGACGCGCGCAGCCCGCCCGCCCGGCGACCAGCAAGGTAAGCCCGCGCTCGCCCGCCCGGCCGCGCTTGCCCGCTCGGCGGCGGCAGCGCCGGGGGTGTGCGCGGCTCGGCCCCCGCGGGCGGCGCCTTTGTTCCGCGCTCGGAGGAGGCGCATTTAAAGGGCCAGCTGTTGGAGGGACTTGGGGGACCCCCTCCCCCAGAGCATCCCCCCATGGGCACAGGGAAAGCGGTGGTCCCTCGCGGCCGAACCGTCCATCCTGCCTGCTCGGCGAATCCCCAGTCTTTCAAGGAAAGTTCCCCAGGGTGCGGAGGATCTGGGGGCTTCCAGGGTTGGGGGTTTTTAAATTTCCTTTTTTGGTGGGTGTGGGGTAGTACGATCATGGCCTCTGCTAGGAGAGAATGTCCGCCCGTCTCAGGGTGGCTGCAATTTGGGTGGGTGGAGGAGACATCAAAGCCCGAATGGGTTTGTGCTGTAAAGTGAAACTACCGAGGAGGGGCACCTCTGCAGCAGCCAGAGGAAGGCGGAGGGAGCGAGCGGCGGGATGGAGGCATCTCAGGTGTGTTCATTCATCAGCATCCCCTGGAGAGGGCGGCGGGAGGGGCGCAAGGACGACGCGGTTGGCCGGACCCGCCTGAATGAACGGGGACTAGTATGCGCCGGGGACACGGCGCCTGCCCGTGCCGCCCGTGCCCCTTCTTCTCCCCGAGTGGCTGACAGCATCTTGCTAGGCAGCTCATCACCGACATGGACAGCAAGCAACTCCTTTCTCCGAATTCCCCGGGCATCCCCTGCTACCACCTCGCTGCTTTCCGATGTGGCTTCCTTGATACGTGGTAGCGCCATTCAAGATAGAGGGGAAAGAGGCTTGAAGTCATTATGTTTCCTTCATGGGGGAATGTGCTGTCGAATTCTGCATCCCCATGCATCCGCTGTCGTAAGATGGCTTTGAAATTCACCAGTGCATGCTTTCTCCAGGCAGACAAGAATTTATTACGCTATTACATTGCTACGTAAAAGCAGAAGGGATCCCACTGAGCATGGCTCGTTTTGTTCAGTCCTCGGTTTTTCCCAGCATGTTCTGGGCGAGCCTTTGGATTTTTGTTTTAAACACTGAGCGTTGGGATGCCCCTGTTGTCACAGGGCCGACCTGCTGAAATTGCTGGAATTGGTTTCATCGTCAATAGGAGGGAGGTTCATCTAGAGACATCATGGAACCTATCTGGCGTGTCAGGCCTCTGACTCCATCTCTCCCCTCAACACCCCCCCCCCCGCCCAGCCCCCCGCGCCCTTTTTTCCTCTTAAGTGGAGGCGGGGGATGGATTGGCTGTCTTCACTCTCCTTGTGTTTTGAGCTCCTCTGCTTAGATTCAATTCTGTGGTTTTGGTTGGAAAGGTATCTTGGTGGTGATCGAAGAGAGGAGGGTTGGATTAAAAGTGGGGTGGACACAGAGGGGTCAGCAGCATCAATGACAGAAGACAGATGATGGACATATCTACAGCCTTCAGACACCGATGAGGCAGATGGCTGTCTACAGAGTGAGGGGCGTGTGTTTGGGCTGTGAGGGGGAGGGGTGGAGGAGGAGGATGCCTCCAGCAGTTTTCTGCCCCGCCCTCTGGATGCTGCCTTAAATAGCCCCTTGCCAACCAAGCTCTGATGTCTCTTTCTTGGCCTGAGGGGAAAGAAGGGAAGGGTTGGTCTGTTGGCACCTTTGCCCAAGGCACTGTTGGAGCAGATGGTTAGGAAAGGGTTAGTTCTCCAGGGGTTGCAGAGAGCACATTTCTCAGCTGGAGGGCCCTGAGACCACTCCTTTGGCGACTTCCCTGCAGGGAATTAGCAACTGAAATGAACTGCTGTCTACCCTGTGGGGTAAAGAGTTGGGAGGGTATTGTCATCTTGTGGACGATACCCGCCTTGTTGGCCTTTTCCTTCTCCTACCTGCTTTCATTTGTTGTAGTTGGAGAGTTTCTGTATACTTTTCGGAAGAGATTGGGCATATTGGGGAGTGGGTAGGAGTTATGGGAAAGGATGAGCAAATTCTTCCTGGCAGAACAAAGCACTGTTCAGCTGTTCCTCTCTTTCCCCTTCTCTAAAATAAGAGTTCAATACAGATAGCAGAGTCTAGGGTTTTCTTTGTAAACAATGAAAGGGCAGGGCCAGGAAAGAAAGTTTTTATTGTGCAGCATTGATAATGATCAGGTCATCCTAACTTATCTCCAGACCCTTCCCTGGATGTGGAGATAGATTTGCTGTAGAGGGCACTCTATGGTAATTTAGGATTTGACCTGTCTCTAGGAGAAAGGCATGGATGGTCTCAAAAAGCTTTGGTGGAGAAGCTCTGGACCAGAGGCAGGACAGCTAGCTTTGGTCCTGGCCACCAATCTTTGGGCTTTGGGCTAGTGGCTTCTGCTCTCTGGGCCTGTGTCCTTGCTGGTGAAGTGGAGGATGATAGGGCAGAAGGTCTTCCAGGGTTCCTGACAACTCCACTGTTCTTAGAGTCACAGTTTGTGATGGCATTTTCAGGTTCTTTCCTGTTTGCTAAATTGATAATAAATTCAAAGTATTGCACAATGGCATAGAAGAAGCATTCTAGGATGCAGGCTTCTGTTGGATTCACATCTACCTTTTCCTTGATTAGTGTGATTTGTGAGGTTTTACTGTAAGTATGTAAACAATTCAGAGCTAGAACGGTCCAGAGTGAGAGGCACAGACCCCAGAGTGAGTGGTTGTGGGAGATGAGGGTGGGATGATAGATTGCTGAGGAAAGGGAGTTTCTGTAATTTGTTCTCTTTCCCTGTGGATGTTTAACTTGCTGGTTTATTCATGGTTACACAGGTGAACGTTTACCTATCTAGAAGATGAGAGTTATAAAAGACCTCTGTGATTGCCATGTTCCTCCCCCTTCCCCGCCAAACTGAGGAATTTGAGGGGTTGGGAGGTTTGGCCATTTTTCCAAGGTTGCACAGCTAGCAAGATGTGGAGCTGGGGTGGGAACTCGGGGGGATAGATTGTAGATCTTGTTTCCAGATGTATCTGGGTTTTTTTGTTTTTTGGTGGTGGTGGTTGTTTTGAGACAGGGTCTCACCTGTCACCCAGGCTGGAGTGCAGTGGCACAATCATGGCTCACTGCAGCCTCGACCTCCTGGGCCCAGGCAGTCCTCCTACCTCAGCCTCCCGAGTAGCTGGGACCACAGGCACGCACTACCACACCCAGCTAATTTTTGTACTTTTTGTAGAGACAGAGTTTTGCGGTGTTGCCCAGGCTGGTCTCAAACTCCTGGACTCAAGCGATCCGCCTGCATTGGCCTTCCAGCATGCTGGGGTTATAGGCTTGAGCCACGGTGCCCGGCCTATATGTATCTGTTAAGCCCCCTCTTCCTCTGAGAGAAATGATTCTAAGATGGAATAGCGAAACATGAGGAGGAAATAGGAGCACAAGAAGAGAGAGATTGGAGAAACAGACGAGAAAGTAGGAGGCTGGGGACAGATTATGTGGGGAAGGGAAAAACACAGAAACCAAGCTTGGAGGAGAAAAGGATGGAGCTTGAAAGGGGGAGGCTCTATTGTCTCTGAAACAGCTGAGCTCTTCTGCAGCCCTTGGGGTGAAGTGAGGGGAGGTTTGGTAGCCTAGGATGGGGGGTGGGGGGGTGGACTGAGAGTTCAACCTCAGCCTGAGACTGTCTTGGAATCTCCTTGGGATTGCTCCTGTTGACCCTCAGATTGCAAAGTGTCATGGAGGCTGCTTAGTTTCAGGACCAACTGAGGCCTTTAGATCCACGGGAGCATGCAGAATGTGGACATGTGGGAAGTCAGGTGTGCGGGTGGTGATGCTGGCTGATGCTGAGGTGGGACTCAGTTCTGCTGAAGTCCCGGTTTTTTTGTAAATGCAAAACTCAGAACACTTTTCCATGGATTTCGTTTCAGTGCAAGCAGCATTTTCTCCTTGGATTTTCATCGGTGCTTTGAATGTTTTATGAGATAGTGTTTCGAATACTCCCTTTTCAGAGGAGATACTTGGAGATGAATGATTTACTGAATTGTAGCTCATTTGGGGGAGCTTCTGGCTTGTGACCTAAGCTAAGCCTCAGAATGTTTCAATGAGCAATTAAAGAGCTGTGAACAGTGGTTGACCAGAGCACTAACCATTCAAAGGCAAGGATAAAAGGTGATAATAGTTCAAGGTCTGGAGCTACAGCCAACAGCTGGCCATGAACAATGTAACTGACTTTGGCTAACTCTTCAAGCCCTAGAAAGTGTCTCTGTGGGTCCTTTGGTGGCTCCCCCTTTTTGTGTGCGGTTAGGCATGTGGACCCGTCCCTGAATCTTGCTGTCTCCCATTCTTCTTTTGCTACATCTCCCTCCACTATCCATTTCTTTTTCTTACCTCTTTCTCCTTGCCCTCCTCCCTCATTCTTTCTTTATTATCAACAATATATCTTTGTAGTTTCTTTTAATCTATTGCCATTAAAATTTCATGTTCTCTGTTCTTCATTTCAAATCAGTCGAGGGCCAGGCAAGGTAGCTCATGCCTGTTATCCGAGCACTTTGGGAGGCTGAAGCAGGTGGATCACCTGACGTCAGGAGTTCAAGACCAGCCTGGTCAACATGGTGAAACCCCGTCTCTACTAAAAATACAAAAATTTAGCCGGGTGTGGTGGCAGGCACCTGTAGTCCCAGCTACTCGGGAAGCTGAGGCAGGAGAATGGCATGAACCTGGGAGGCGGAGCTTGCAGTGAGCCAAGATCGCGCCACTGCACCCCAGCCTGGGCGACATAGCAAGACTCCGTCTCAAAAAAAAAAAAAAAAAAAAAAGACAAAAATTAGCTGGGTGTGGTGATGGGTGCCTGTAATCCCAGCTACTCAGGAGGCTGAGGCAGAAAGAATTGCTTGAGCCTGGGAGGTGGAGGTTGCAGTGAGCCGAGATTGTACCACTGCACTCCAGCCTGGGGGACAGAGTGAGACTCCATCCAAATAAATAAATAAATAAAATCAGTTGAATTCAGTCTTTTTTGAATGTGTATGTGTTTTACACACAAAACAAAAAAGAGGCAAATGAACCAAATCCAACTAAATTGCTTTTTACTTCTGTGTGGCCTTCCATTGATTTATCCCCCCACTTCTTCTGTGGTCAGCAGTGGCTTTTTATAGAAAAAAAAGTTCCCAGGTCTCTGTCATGCGGTTATTGTTTTCACAACAATAGAAAAAAGTTTCCACCCTTGTATTGTGGACCACAAGGGACACCCTCTCTCAAGGGATGTACCCTGTTTCTAGACTTCCTTCCATGGAAAAAGTGTCTTTAATGCATTCTGTAACAGAGGCCTGTACTGTAAGGGGTTAGGGGTGCTGATAGTGGAGGTGGGGCTCTTCTCAGTGACTGCGGTACTGCTTAGAATAGGGGCTGGCGGGCTATGGCCTAGAGAGTATATCTAGGAAGAATTAGCATCGTTGTTTTCTCTGTTTCCTCAGGCTGAGCTAACCTAACTGGCTGTAGCAGGACCCAGACCCTTTTGGAAAAGAATGAGATGCTTGTTAACTTTCTGATTAGTGTTGAGTGGGACCCAAGGTATGTCTTCTGCCCACCTTGGGAGGGTGGGCACCCACCGACAGTTGCTGGTGTAAAGTTCCCGGATTCTTTGATGGATGGATGCTGTACCGCTTTATGATTTTCTTCTGACTCTAATTAGTTACAGAGAGGATTGACTCTTGATGCTCAGTGGTCAGCAAGTACTTTAGTATCTAAAGTGGGCCTTGCAAACAAGAAGTCACCTTGTCACATTAGGTTTGTATTCTCTGTAATATATGTGTACTGGTTTTAGTATAAAAGTATTTAAGTTGCTTTACTGTTGAATACAATTGACGTTCTACGAAAATGTGTTTATTGTGGGCCCTCATTTGTACCAGCCCTCTGTAAATATGCATATCAGTCTCATACCCCAACTGGAGAAGCCGGGGATAGGGTAGGCATCAAACCTGCTGGTGCTGAGAACCACCCCTCCATGCTTTCCTGCTGGCTCTGCCAAACCACCAGATGCCCGGTCATTCCCTACTCCACGTCCCCAAAGGCCAGGCCCCCCTGCACCCCCCACCAGGACTGGTTCCCTCACCAGAAGGCCTTTTTCTGCGTTTCCTGGCTGATGCCTTCTCCCCTCAGACTCCCCTCACATCTTAAAGAGATGCCTTTCAGCTGGGCGCGGTAGCTGTAATCCCAGCACTTTGGGAGGCCGAGGCAGGTGGATCACCTGAGGTCAGGAGTTCGCGACCAGCCTGGCCAACATGGTGAAACCTCCTCTCTACTAAAAGTACAAAAAATTAGCCGGGCGTGGTGGCGCATGCCTGTAGTCCCAGCTACTCAGGAGGCTTAGGCAGGAGAGTCACTTGAACCCGGAAGGTAGAGGTTGCAGTGAGCCGAGATCACGCCATTGCACTCCAGCCTGGGTAACAAGAGCGAAACTCCATCTCAAAAAAAAAAAAAACAAACAAAAAAAGAGATGCCTTTCTTCTTGTGTTCAGCTTTCTACTTCTGTTGATATTGCTGGTTCCCTTGTCTGTTTCCTCCCCCATATTGTGAGTTCTGGGAATAGAGTGAGTCTGTGTTTCTTCTCTTTTTAAATTAAATTTTAATTTGTATAAAACTTTCGCGTGTGTGTGTGTGTGTGTGTGTGTGTACACAGAGAGTTTCTTTTTTGTTTGTTTTGAGACAGAGTCTCCCTCTGTTGCTTAGGCTGGAGTGCAGTGGCATGATCTCAGCTCACTGCAACCTCTACCTCCCGGGTTCAAGCGATTCTCCTGCCTCAGCCTCCCTAGTATCTGGGACTACAGGAGACCACCACCCCCCCAGCTAATTTTTTTATTATTAGTAGAGACAGGGTTTCACAGTGTTGGCCAGGCTGGTCTCGAACTCCTGACCTCAAGTGATCTGCCTGTCTTGGCCTCCCTAAGTGCTGGGATTACAGGCCTGAGCCACTGTGCACCCCCACCCCGCACAGAGTTTTGAAAGACAAATAGGCTGGGTGTGGTGGCTCACGCCTGTAATCCCAGCACTTTGGGAGGCTGAGGTGGGCGGATCACCTGAGGTCAGGAGTTTGAGACCAGCCTGGCCAACATGGCAAAATCCCATCTCTACTAAAAAAATACAAAAATTAGCCAGTCACGGTGGCGGGCGCCTGTAATCCCAGTTAATCTGGAGGCTGAGGCAGGAGAATCACTTGAACCAGGGAGGCGGAAGTTGCAGCGAGCTGAGATTGTGCCACTGCACTCCAGCCTGGGCAACAGAGCCAGACTCCCTCTCAAAAAAAAAAAAAAAAAAAAGTCAATACTACTAGAAAAATATAAAGGCTGCCTGGGCGCAGTGGCTCATTCCTGTAATCGTAGCAGTTTGGGAGGCTGAGGCCGGCGGATCACTTAAGGCCAGGAGTTCAAGATCAGCCTGGCCAACATAGTAAAACCTTATCTCTGCAAAAAATACAAAGAATTAGCCAGGCATGGCAGTTAGGATATAGACATCCTTGAGGGGCTGCTGTTACTCTGTTTACAACAGTTACTTCTAATGCACTGAGCTGTTTCTCCTGATATTACTATCATATTTATTGTTACCTGCTTACAATGCTGTTTTCTGATTGTCCATTTTAGATGTTATTTTTATTTTTCCTTATTTTTCTTTTTGTAGAGACAGGGTCTTGCTATGTTGAGACCCTGCTTGAGGCCAGGGTGGACTTTAACTCCTGGCCTGAAGCACTCCTCCTACCTGGGCCTCCTAAAGTTCTGGGATTACAGGTGTGAGTCACCATGCCCAGCTTAGAGGTTACTTTTAGATGTTATGTCTTGATGTCTTACTATGGATTAGATCCTCTCCTCTGCCCCCCAATACTTCCCTTTCTCCCTATCCTCTCATTATAGATATATCACAGTTTTTGATTACATTGATATTTGGTGCTTACATTATTTTGGCTGTGTAAATAGTGTTCATGACAGAGCCATATAGTATACTATAATATTTTCTTTCTTGTACATTTTTTGAGTTAATAATTATCTTACATTTTCTATTTACTTAGTTTCTATGTACTTATTGCTAATTCTCAAAGTATTTGACAGCATCTTAAGACATTTGTTTTATAACATGTGTTCCTATTTATTTATTTATTTATTGAGATAGGGCCTTGCTCTGTCCACCAGGCTAGAGTGCAGAGGTGCGATTGTAGCTCATTGCAGCCTTGACCTCCTGGGCTCAAGTGATCCTCCTGCCTCAGCCTCCTGAGTAGCTAGGACTACAGGCACCACCATGTCCAGCTAATTTTTAAAGTTTTTTGGTAGAGATGGGGTTTCACTACATTGCCTAGGCTGGTCTCTAACTCCTGCCCTCAAACAATCCTCCCTCCTCAACTTCTCAAAGTGCTAGGATTACAGGCATGAGCCACCGTGCCTGCGCTTGTTCCTTTTTATTTTATTACTGTTTTTTTTTTTTTACGCCCGCTTGGAGACTTCCCTCCTATAGGCCTCCATTCTGTCTCCTTTGTTCTTGCCCATTGACCTCTAGGCCTGTGGCATGACTCATCCTGGGAATTCCCTCACCTTATCCTGGGTGGGATCCTGTTTCCTTTGTTGATTTATTCTTCCACAAGTTTCTGAGAGAGGGTCTGTGGAAGTTGATCACTTTAAGCTTACAGGTCTGAAAATGTTCATATTCTACATTCATATTCGATTGGTGATTTGATTCATCTAGAATTTGAAGTCGAAAGCCATTTCCCTTAGAATTTTGAAGCCATCATTCCACTGTCATCTAGGTTCTAATATTGGTATCAAAATTCGGATACCATTCTGATTCTTGATCATTTATGGATAACCTGATTTCTCACTGAAAGTTTTTGGGATCTTCTCTCTTTTCCTGTATTTGAAATCTCCTTGCTTTAAAAATGATTGGCCTGGGTCTTTGGTGTGGGCCTTTTTTTTTTTTTTTTTTGAGATGGAGTCTCACTCTGTTGCCCAGGCTGGAGTGCAGTGGTGCAATCTCGGCTCACTGCAACCTCCGCCTCCCGGGTTCAAGCGATTCTCGTGCCTTAGCCTCCCAAGTATCTGGGATTACAGGCGCATGCCACCACGCCCAGCTAATTTTTGCATTGTTAGTAGAGATGGGGGTTTCACCACGTTGGCCAGGCTGGTCTCAAATTCCAGACCTCAGGTGATCCACCCGCCACGGGCTCCCAAAATGCTGGGATTACGGGTGTGAGCCACTGCGTCCAGCCGGTGTGTGCCTTTTTGATCTGAAGATTGACGTCTTTCAGTTTGGGGAAATTTTCTTAATTAGATATATTTTAATAATTTCATTTTCTCCATTTTCTGTGTTTTGTCTTTGGCATGCCTATTAGCTGAATGTTGGACTTCCTGGAGCAAGTTTATAATTTTAAAACATTTTATTTCCTTTTTTCATTTTATTATATTTTTGTCTTTCAGAGAGCTATCTTCAGCTTTATCTTCAACTCTTTTCCATTTTTAACTGTGCTTTCATGTGTTTACGTGGAACATATTTGCATGTTTTACTTTGTAAGAGCTCCCTAGTTCTCTGAATACTTGCTTTTCTTTTTTAGATGACATTCTATTCTTGTTTCATGGGTACAGTAAATTCCTTTATATTAAGGGTTTTGTTTGTTTGTTTTTGTTTTTTTTATGGTTTTCTGCTGTTCCCTGCTGTCCCTTGGAAGATGTTGTTTCTTCCAAGTCCCTTTTTCCATTTGTTTTGGTTACTGTATCTTCCATTGCAGCTATCCTTCCATGCATGCTGATCCTTGACTGTCTATGTATATTTTAAGAATGGACACCGAAATGCTGATTGGGCATCAGTGCCACAAGGAAGGGAGTCGTTAACTTCATTGTAGAGTGACCCAGCAGAGAGCCCCCTTTTTCTCTACTGGAGCAGCCTAGATATCAGCGCCGGTAGATCTTTTTCCTGGGGCTTTCCTGGATAGGGCTTTCTTGGAGAGGATTTTACCTGGGTGTGGGGTAGGGTGGGGTGGGGTGGTAAACAGCCTGGCCTTCCTGCATTCTGGGAGCCTCCATGGGGAAAGGGGCTAGGTATTAGTCTGTTTGATATGCAGACTTTCACTCAATCCCTGGGTCTTTTGAAAGTTGCCCCCACCTGCCATCCCTCTCTCCCATCTCTCTACCTCCCTCAGCTGTGTCCCTCCCTTGGCTGTATCTCTGGTGTAAGTTACCTGATCAGTGGATCTCCACCTTCTGCTAGCTGAGGCAGGGAAATCACCAGGCTGAGCAGACTGCAAGAGGGACCCTGGGTCTGACTGCTCTTTGTACCAACTTGCAGGCAGGCACCCTTCTTTTTAGCTTTACCCTGCTTTTCCCTTTAGAGTCCTTGGTGCCTCCACTTCCTGAACTGTCTTTGTGTTCTGTGCCATGAGTTGGGCACTTGTTTAGTGGCTCCTGCTCTGCTTGCACTTAGCAGAGCAGACAATGCGGAAACCTAAATCAGCTACTGCATGGTGGTCAGCTCTCCACTGCTGTTGACATATCTCATCTGCTGGGGTCTCTTTTTTCATTAAGAAATGCATCCGTCTACTGTCCTTTTAGTGGGAGTCCAGAAGAGAGCAGAGATAAACATGGGTGTTCAGCTCTCTGATTTGACCAAAAGTTTGTTTCATTTCTTCATTCACACACTTAAATTTGTGCCTGATATAGAGTATATTCTCAAGAAGTGTTTGTTAAATGATTGAAAGCCCGTTCCTAGGATGATATGCGTACATTTAGTCATCAGATTTCAAGACACCCAAACATACAGTGTTGCAAAAATAAATCCGTCGCTTATTCTGAGATAGACATAATAATAGGCAGCAGATCCTGCCTATTCTCCCCATGCAGTGGAGGATAAGACGCACTGGGAGGGAGACAGTGTTACAGAGTGTTGCTGTCTTCAGCCCTGTCAGTAACTACCTGAGTCACTTTGAGAAGTCCCTTAACCTATCTGGGCCTTGGTTTTCCCAGCCTTAAAATGAGATGTTGGTCAAGGTTTGATTCAGTTCTCTGCATTGAGCACCTGCTGTGTGCAAGCCACGGTGCTAGGATTCTCTACGTGTCTCTTCTAAGGCAGCCACTGTGGTGTTTTGTATGTATGTTTGTTTTGGCATGGGCCACACTGAGTTGATTGTGTTTGGTTTATATGTCTTTCTCCTGGCTTAGTTCAGTGCCTTGTACAAAGTAAGTCCTCTGCACATTTTGACTCTCCCTTTTTCTAAACCGAGGGCTCCTTGTGAGTATCACGTCGCCATCCTCTGTATCTCCTGTGTCTATCACAGTTGTTGGTACATAGGAGGTATGTAGGAAATATGAAAATGTGAGTTGTTCTGCCAGAATCCCCAGACCCTGCTTGGAGAACAAGCCTAGCTTGTTGAGGGCCTAGCTGCACGTTCCCTGGCCCACTTATGGAGTTGGGGGACTCAAATGCATTGGTATTAAAATCAATGGAGACAGCAATTCTGGACCACAGCCTTGACACTAGAGGATTGTTTTCTCCCAAACAGATAGTAGTCATATATTCATTTCAAACAGCACAGTGGAGCGGAGAAAGACTTGTTACCAGTTAAGATCAGATTCATCTTAACCATGAAAATGAATTATAGATGTATCCCTGCATTCAGGTGTTTAAAAACATTTAAGTGTTTTTTCATAACTTCTTTTGGTTTTCCCACACTTCTGAGTTTATGTGCCAGGACTAGTAACTAGAAATTTTAGGGATATTGATTTAGCTCAGTGGAAGATATTTTTTATTGTAAGAGCAACTCCCTACCAGACTGCATTAGGAAGCCCTGAATTCTGTGTCAAGCCAAGGCTAAATGTCCACTCTCCAGGGAACATGAAGAATCAATGCCTGTGTGGGAGATGAGGTACTATTAGAGCACCTGAAAAGTCCTTTGCTTTTGATTTGTTCATCAAATAGTTATTGAGCACCGGTTATAGACCAGCGTCCATGCTGGGCTCTGGGAATATAGCAGCGAACAAAGAGAAATGGCACCTTCCCTCTTGGAATTTATAGACTAGAGCTGAGCTGTCCAGTATAGTAGCTAGTAGCCACATGTGGCTATTGAAATTAATTAGATTGAAATACCGTTAAAAATTCAGCTTCTCGGTCATGCTAGCCACAAATGCTCTGTAGGCACGTGTGGCTAGTGACTGCCCTACGGTCGGCATGGGCAGTTGTAGAGTGTTTCTGTAATCTCAGGAGGAACTCTTAGGCAGGCTGATCATAGAGCTAAGATTCTGTGTTTCTAGACCCGACATTTATGATTAGCATTTCATGGTGGAGGCAACTGAGGCACAGAAAAGCCATTTGTTTAAGACTGAGCTAGGAACAGGTCTCTTATCTTTGAGTGTGGCTCTTCTCTCCCTGAGGTGAGGTAGGGCAACTGAGAGTATAGTCTTTGCACTCAGGCTGCCTGGGTTCAAATCCTGGCTTTGCTACTTCCTAGATTTAGGTCTTAGGGCAAGTCACTGCCCTGTGCCTCAGTTGTATCACCTGTGAAATGGAGGAAGTAATAGCACCTATCTCACAGGATTGCAGGGAGGATTAGATGACCCAGTCATTCAAGTCTTTAGAACTATGGGCTGGGCCTGGTGGCTCACACCTGTAATCCCAGCACTTTGGGAGGTCGAGGTGGGAGAGTCAGTTGAGCCTAGGAGTTCGAGACCAGCCTGGGCAACATAGGGAGACCCCCATCTCTACAAAAACTTGAAAAATTAGCTGGGTGTGGTGGTGCAAGCCTGTAGTCCCAGCTACTTGGAAGGCTGAGGTGGGAGGATCTCTTGAGCCTGGGAGGTTGAGCCTGCAGTGAGCCAAGATCACAGTACTATACCACTCCAGCCTGGGCAACAGAGCAAGACTCCAACTCAAAAAAAAAAAAAAAAAAAAAAGGAAAGAAAAGAACTATGCATGACACATAAGTAGTAATAATTCAGTAAATTCTGGTTACTATTATTGAGACTGAGAAGGGGACAGAAGATAGTGGGAGAGCCAAGGAGGCATTTTCAAACAGCAGAGTGGAGTGGAGAAAGACTGTTAGGAAAGGCTATGCTTGTAGAGCTGACTGACCACCTGGGGAGGGATACGTAATGGAATGTTTCTCAGCCAGGGGCTGCTTTAGTCATGTGAGCTGATGTGAAAATGCCAGTATGTCCATGAAGTCCTCTGAGTGTCACAACTGGTCACTGGTCCTCTGAATAAGGATCCTTTCAGTATCTCCTTTCTCCTGGCTTGCCTGCACATAGGCTGGTCCCCACACCCCTTTCCCCTGTCCCCATGCATTTCTTCTCCCCTCACTACATCTCCATCATGGAATGGGTGGGACATTTACCATCACCCCTGTGGAGCAGCGGGCTGCATCGAAGGAATGCAGAAGAGAGCAGGGACAGAAGCCCAGCTGGGCCCTGGTATTTTCTTGGAGGTTTGCATCTCTTGTTGGTGTCATTCCCTCTGTTGCTCAGTCTTTCACAGTGTTTTAGGGGTGCCCCATTTTGCTGCATGAGGAGAAAGAGAGCTCTGATGTTAGCCCCAGGGATGGGAGGGTGCCCCATTGGGTAGGTAAATCTCTGCTTATATGTGGAACTTTGGCTTAAGAAATACTTTATTTATTTATTTTTTGAGATGGCATTTTGCTCTTGTCACCTATGCTGGCATGCAATGGCGCGATCTCGGCTCACTGCAACCTCTGCTTCCCGGGTTCAACCTCAGCCTTTTGAGTAGTTGGGCTTATAGGTGCCCGCCACCACACCCGGCTAATTTTTTGTATTTTTAGTAGAGATGGGGTTTCACCATGTTGGCCATGCTGGTCTTGGTCTCCTGACCTCAGGTGATACACCCCCTCGGCCTCCCAAAGTGCTGGGATTATAGGTATGAGCCACTGTGCTCAGCCAAGAAGTAGTTTAACAGAGCAGTCTCATCAACACTGTAGACATGGGCCCCACCCTGCAGGTGTTTATTTCTTCATGAACACCCAGAGGGCAGGGCTCTTGTCTTCCACAACAGACATCAACAGTGCATTTCAGGCTATGAAATAGGAAGGTTCTAGTATGATACAGTGCGTGTGGAGGTGCAGGTAGTGAGGGTGCTCTAGAGGTACATAATGGATGTGGCACCTTGCCTCAGCCAGGGGAGGCACACAGGGAAAGTACTATAATAGGCCAGTGATGTATCTGAGGTCAGGTGTCTAGTAGTGGCAGACCCTGAGCTGACCTGTGAGGAGACTGTTCCTAGCAAGCCTGATTCTCAGCATGGCATAGAAATACAGGTTCTCCCTGAGTACCAGTGATCAGGAGTATTGAGTGCTTGGCCGGGTGCGGTGGCTTACGCCTATAATCCTGGCACTTTGGGAGGCTGAGGTGAATGGATCACCTGAACTCAGGAGTTTGAGACCAGCCTGGGCAATATGGTGAAACCCTTTCTCTAATAAAATTTAAAAAATTTGCAGGTGTGGTGGCACGCGCCTGTAGTCCCAGCTGTTCGGGAGGCTGAGGGATGAGAATCGCTTGAACCCAGGAGGCAGATGTTGCAGTGAGCAGAGATCATGCCACTGCACTCTAGCCTGGGCGACAGAGCAAGACTCTGTCTCAAAAACAAACAAAAAAAGAAGTATTGAGTGCTTGAGGCTTCACCTATGGTACAGTTTGGATGTGTGTCCCCACTCAAATCTCATATTGAAACATAATTCCTAATGTTGGAGGGGGGCCTGGTGGGAGGGGATTGGATTGTAGGGGCAGTTTCTCATGAGTGGTTTAGTATCATCCTGTTGGTACTGTCCTCATGATAGTGAGTGAGTTCTTGTGAGACCTGGTCATTTAACAGTGTGCAGCCCCTCCCTCTTTGCTCTTTTGCTCCTGCCCTGGCCATGTGACATGCCTGCTCCATGCCTGCTCCTCCTTCACCTTCTGCCTTGATTGTCAGTTTCCTGAGGCCTCCCTAGAAGCCGAGCAGATGCCAGCATCATGCTTCCTGTACAGCCTGCAGAACCATGAACCAATTAAACCTCTCTTGTTTATAAATTACCTAGTCTCAGGTATTTCTTTATAGCAATGCAAGAAAGGACTGATACAGCCTGTAACTGGCTTTGCCAATCCATTCTTGTTTGGGCCTTGATGTTCCATCATCTTGGGTGGTGGTCTAGCTTATAACAGTTATGATAGGAATGGGTGCTTAGTAGATCCCGGAATTGTTCTTCTGTTTGCATGTCAGTGTGAAAGCTCATTACACATTTATATAATAGCTTATGCATTGATCATTAACATCAACCTGTGGGCTGACCTCGGTTTCCTAGTATGAAAGGCCACTAGGACATACCTTGTGAAATTCAGTTTCTCTTATTGCCTGGAGTCTGTGTGGAACCTGGTGGCTGAGCATATGAGCAGTATGTCTGATGTGTAAAAAGATAATTCATTTGCATATTGCTTTTCTCCACTTAGAATTTATCTTCAGTTGGGGCAGATCCAGTGTTGGGTGACTGTTTCCTGTGAGCATGGAATTATGGCCAGGGGTTGTAATTGCTTATAACAAATTGACAGGGAGGAAAATGGGACTGTTTGCCTGGTACGTTGATGTAAGGGAGTCTTTCCAGTGCTGCTGTAAGATATACAGTGCTGAGTCTTCTGGGCTTGGGCCTTTGTTTCTCTCCCTTTTTTTTTTTTTTCAAGATGGAGTTTCACTCTGCCACCCAGGCTGGAGTACAGTGGCATGATCTTGGCTCACTGTAGCCTCCGCCTCCTGGGTTCAAGCGATTCTCCTGCCTCAGCCTCCTGAGTAGCTGGGACTACAGGCGCCTGCCAACACTCCCGGCTACTTTTTTTGTTTTTAATAGAGGCAGGGTTTCACCATGTTGACCAGGCTGGTCTCGAACTCCTGATCTGCCCACCTCGGCCTTCCGAAGTGCTGGGATTATAGGTGTGAGCGACCACAGGGCCTTTCTTTGTAGACAGTGCACACAGGAGGCTGGCGATAGGAGACTGGGCAGAGTCTAGAAGCCAGGGATGAGGTAAGAAAGGCTGGAACTGGAGCTGGGAGATCTGAGTTGCTGCCCCAGTGGCCTTGCCAGTGGGGAATCTGGGTGGAGAGGTGAGGCAGGAGTGGGAACTGCTTTTAAGCAGGACAAAGTGAATAGAGGCTCTGGAGAAGGAAAGCAAAATCCCAACAGGGACAGAAATGAGAGTAGCTGGAGAAAGCTGGAGCTTGGGAGAGCTGAGGGCCTAAGCAGGGTTTGGTGGTTGCTGAAAATCAAGTTGCCAGGCCCATGAACCGAGGCCAAGGCAATGTTAGGCCTTTTAGGACTATTTTGTGTTTGCTTTGCAGGGCCTCTATGTTGGACGTGGTACATTAGTGAGCCAGCAATGGCAGGTGTGAGGGGGCGAGGCCCCCTAGGAACTGGGAAATATTAGTCATGCCTGAGCACTGTTAGAAGATACGGCTTCTCATCAAGACAGCTGCTCCGGGAGGAGGGTCTGCAGCCGCCAGCCTGCATTACAGTTTATGTTCTTGGTTTTGTCTTTAATTATTAAAGGCACGGGCTATTTAAATACTCACCTGAAGCATCATTGTGAGTAATTTTCCCTTCCTGGGGTCAAAGGAGCTCCAGCAGGGAAGGGGTTTGGTGGCCTATGGTTCTGGGTTCTCCAGGTGCTTCCCTCAAGGAATGCAAGGATGTCATGAGGACGTTGTAAGATGCCCTTGACAGTAGGGTGCAGACCTCCCTGGGCTGTCTTGCAGATTGGCATTTATTTTGAGTGAGTCCTTAATTTGAGGAGTATAGGGTGTTCCCTTTTATCATAGGCAAGGAAGAAACAGTGCTGTTAGAAGATGTAAAATATTTAACACTCTCTTTAAAAAATTAACTGTCCAGGAACCTTTGATTGCTGGTGCCTATGGCAACATGCATGGTTTTCAGGAGTGTCTTCTCGGAGTCCCTGGGCTCCTCAGAAGGGGTGATATGGGGGTCCATGGGTTAGGGGTGATGTGAGGGTCCAGTCTTGGGAGGGCTGGCTGGGAGGCCAAGAGCCCACCTGTTCTGCTTGGCTTAGAGGCTGGGCAGTAGCAGGGCTGAGCCACTGCCTCAGAGGGTGGTAGTCGGGGGTGGTCTGTTTTGACAAGTGGAGAGGAGTGAAGGGGAGAAGGAGAGCTCGCCATCCTTCTTGGGCTTGCTGAGTTTATGCATTTGTTTTGTTTTACTGGCCTCTGTTAGTCCCTGGTGCCTACCGTTCTCCGTCCAGCCTCAGGACTTTTGCGCATGTGGTTTCCTTAGCCTGGAATGTAAAGGGAGCCTTCCTTCCTGACCTGGTTCGTGCCTCTTACCCCTCAGATCTCACCTGGAGCGTCATGTTCTGGGGAAATTATCTCTGGCCCTGCTTCCTAGGTGACACTCTCCTGTTTGAGGGCTCTTATGGTTCGGTGGTCTTTGTTACACTTTTTTGGAAAATCATTGTTTGCCCACCCTACCAGCCTGTAGGGTTATGACAACAGTGGCCAGGGCTCTTTCTTGTCACCAGTATGTCCCCAGTACCTAGCACGGGCCTGGCCTACAGAGGGGCCCCACTATCTGTTAAGTAAATTAATTCATTTTTTCATTTATTATGTTTTGGGTTCGGTAGAGATCCTGGGAATACAACGAGAATGAAACACCCCTGCTGTCCTCACCGAGCTCCTAAACTAGAGCAGTAGATAAGCAGTGCTCAAGATAGCCATTGAGGGCAGGAAGAAAGCTTTATCAGTTGGAGTTCTGTTTATGCTTTAACTAAAGGAAAGACTTAGCTTTCCTATTTATAGGAGTACAGATTTATAATTACTTTGTAAGTATCCTCAAAACTATTTCACAAATAGGAAGGTGTGATCAAAAAGTTTGGAGACTACTGGTCTGAAGGGAGAGGTAGGAAAATGAAAGGGTTTTTTTGTTTGTTTGTTTTTTGTTTTGTTTTGTTTTGTTTTTTGAGACAGAGTTTCTCTCTTGTTGCCCAGGCTGGAGTACAATGGTGCGATCTTAGCTCACTGCAACCTTCGCCTCCCAGGTTCAAGTGATTCTCCTGGCTCAGCCTCCTGAGTAGCTAGGATTATAGTCGAAAGGGTTTTTATGCCAAAGTGTGATGAACAATATGTTAGGGCAAGTACAGGGTGCCATGAGGGCATGTGGGTTGGGGGGTGAGCTGGAATCCAACCAGAGGACAGAGGGACCGGCACATGCAAGGGCAGGCTTAGTGGATTGGGAGAAGGGCACATACTTTAGTAAGGCAGGAGGAGGGCTTGCTACTGGGATTGGGAGGGGTTAAGAGTTAGGATTACTAAGAGAGATGAGACTGGGCCCCTGCCTGCAGCATGGGCATAGTCTAGCAGTGGTGCAAATGTGCCTTAGGAGAGACACAGCATGAGGAATACTTGGCATTCAGAAGAGGGTATATATTTTGCTTAGCAGGGATCGGGCCTGGTCATGCTTTAAAAATGGAACATGCTCAAGATCACAGAGGCCCCTCTCTTCATTGTAGAAGGGGAAGAGGAGGGTGCTGGAGGTTGACTTCAAGGCTCTTTAAAGCCCATCTCAGGAGAATGACATTCTCCTTGGTCTCCTGCTACCCAGTGGGATTTTTATCCTAATGTGATTTAGACCCCTCCTCAGGTTTTATTCTGCAGGTTACAACATTGTATAGGAACAAGAAAATGGCGTATGGTATATGTAAATAAGCATATTTGGTGTGTTTACTTACCTGTGTAATCACGCACACTCCCTTCTTTTCTTTGTTTGTTTTCAAGTCCCAGGGCTTGAAGTAATTACGTAATTAGAATCCACAAAGAGTATGGCGAGATAAGGTGTAATTAAAGAGGAAAGCCTAATTTTGGAAGAATGATAAGAGGTCATTTGACTCAGTCTGGGCCCAAATCCAATCTTGGAAGAACAGTGAGAGGTCATTTGGATGTAGGCAGCTTGAGGCCACCCAGGAGCCCAGACTGGCCTCAGAATTGGACAGATTCTGTTTCAGTTCACTGTGAAAGCCACTCATTGAGCATCCTCTTGGTATAGGGTATTGTGGGAGGCCCAGCTATGAGTAAGGAACAGAAGTCCTAGATCTCAGGGAGGACATGGGGAAATAGGGCCTGAGAGTAAAGTGGAGAGATGGCTCCTGGGGACAGGGTGGGGGGCGGTGTGGGGAAGGATTCACAGAACAGGTAGCATTTAACTTGTGCTTTGAAATGTAAGGAGGGTTTCAAGAACATGGACAAGAACTTTCTGGGTCTATTGGAGACACTCAGATAATATTTGTGGGATGAATGCCAGGCTGAGGTTGGAGGCAGAAGGAACATGGCCATATTGGTGGATGGTCATTTTGCAGTTTGGTGATGAGGTCAAGCTTGTACAGCTCAGACAGTGTAGTGACAACTCACAGCCAGGAGGCCAACAGGCTTAGGCCCTGAGTGTGTAGTGAGGATTGTGTGCAGAGGAGTCAGAGAGCACTGCGGGGGTCATGGGAGGCCTCCTTGTGGAGGGAAACTTGGACAGAGCCTTGAAGGACCAATAGGAGGGAGGAAAGGGGAGAAGGAAGGACCCTCCAAAGGAAGGGAATGACATGGGTACCTAGAGAGGGATTAGAGAGGAGATAATCCCCGCAAGAGGGGAGGGGTACATAGGGGAGCAGGGTGAAACCAGCTTGGCAGGGGTGGGTAAGACTGGTTTCTGGGGGTTGGGCATGTTGGGCAGGACAGGATTGATCCAGTGGGATAGAGGAGCCATGGCAGATTGTTGGACAGGTGAGTGGCATGAAAAAGGCATGTTAGGGCCAGAGGAATCTGGCCCTGGTGGGTGGGATGGGCTCTGGGGAGCTCAGCCTCAGCTCCTGGGCATGAGGTGGTAGGGACCAGGCAGTAGGCTTGGGAGGTTGGGGCCCTCTGCAGTTTCTTATCACGGAAGGGTTCTGGTCTTGGATGAGAGAAATAAGGCAAGGGAGGAGCTGGAGGTATTTGCAAGGTCCCAGCCTGGGAGAATGGAGATACTTGAGACAGGAGGGGTACCCGCTGTTGGGGAAAGAGGGCGTGAGTGGGGACTTGGTATGTTGAGGGCCCCAAGATCCCTCTTCTAACCCCCAGTTGTGATCTAGTGGAGAGACCTCAGGCCAGTCCCTTCATCTCCTGAGCTCCATTTCATTGTCAGCAGGAGTCACTGCCTTTACGGTTCCATCTCATCTCAGTGCAGTCATTGCAGCCCTGGGCTCAGGCAAGGGGAAGGGTCTAGGCTGAGGATTTGTGAGGCCATCCCTTAGAGGTGAGAGGAGAAACACATTGTCCTGTTCCTTGTTCTCCTGGAGTGAGCAGGAGCCTGGGGGAGGGCCTCTGGCTGACCAGCTTGGATGAGGAGTTGTGGGGAAGAAGGGGCTGTCCTGACTCAACCAGCCCATCTCAGGGTGGTTTTGAGACTCTTTGACGAAGGGGTGTATGAATTCTAAGTTTATGCAGATGTTGAGGTATGTGCACTATTCTGGGGCACAGCAGGGAAGGGGTTAATCTTCCTGAATTTGCAGAAAGGAAATTCTCAAGGTAGGGAACTGATGGCTAGTGACCTCCTACCTAACCTCCACAAAGCTAGTCTTTGGGAAACTTAAGGCCTTCGGTCTTTAGAGACAGAGTCTACAGGGAGGGCTTCCTGGCAGAGGAGGACTTGGACAGAGCCATGAAGGATGAATAGTATGTGAGAAAGGAGAGAAGAAAGAACTTTCCAGAATGACATGGAGTTATAGTACAAAATTCACAGAAGAGATTCCAGAAAGGAAGGCATATGTTTTTGAATACCTAGTATGCCTACCAGCTCTGTTTGTCAGGTGCTTTCATGATCTTTGTCTTGTTATCTTTACACCATTTCTGCCTCTCTTATTAGCCCATGTTACAGATAAGGCAGTAGGATTAGAGGGGTGAACCACTTTGCCCAAGGTCTCAGTGGTAGGGTGGGATTTCATTTTATTCAGATTTCTGACTCCAATGGCAACAAATAGCCATGCCACTATATTCTGCTGGCTCTCTGGGAATATAGGAACAACAGATAATGATTTGTCTACATGACTTTATTCCCAAGTTAAACACTTACCTAAAACGCGGCTGCGGCTGCCACCCCTGCTGCAGCTTTGCAGTACTGTGCAAGACCTTAGAGGCCAGTGATGGGAGGCCGTTAGAGCTCCTCTGAGTCTGAAACCCTCATTTATAGATGAGGAAACTGAGGCCCACAAAGGAGAAGAGAATGTGCCAAGGTTAGGGGCAGAATGGGAATGAGAACTAGAGGAGTCTGGAGACTTTGGCGCTTGTGGCTGTTTAAAGGCCCCCTAGGCTCCCTGTGTAAAAGTATGTTTTTAGACAACAATGGGAACCTTTGTCTGGAGGGTTGGTCTGACCAGGGTTGAATATGAAAGGGTCTGTGTGTATGTGTGTTTCTTTCCTTTGCTTTAACCTCAGATACCTTTGAACTAGCAGGAAGGATTCTTTCAGACCAAAGGTTAAGACTAAAGGCATTTAACAGGTGGAAAGAGCATAGGAAGGAGGGGGAAGATCAGAAGCCACAGAAATAGAAGACTAAACTCCAGGCTTGGATAAAAGGAATTTTCCAAGCCTGTAAATAATCACTAACGTTTATTGAACACCCACTGTGCCAGGCAGTCTTTACATGTCATTTTATGTAACTGCCATCGCTTCCCCATGAGGTAGGTGCTGTTTAATTGTTCCCATTTTGCAGATGAAGGAACTGAGGCTCCAAGAGTCTAAGTGACCTATTTAAAGTCATGGAATTAGTACAATGTAGAGCCAGGACTCCAACTCACCAGATCCTAAACTCTCCCTTTAACTCCCAAGGCATTTTATTGGACTAGGTGCTCCCAGGTGCCTGAGCATATGAGGATATATGAAATAGCAAACTTAGGGAGGTCATCCTTTGGCAATGGTTCTCATGGGGATGTGGATTTTACCCCTAGGAGACATTTGGCAGTGTCTAGAGTCATTTTTGGTTGTCACAAATCTTACTGGCATATAATAGGTAGAGGCCAAGCATGCTTCCGAACATCTTAGAGTGGACAAGATAGCTCCTCGTAACAGAGTTACCCCATGCAGAATGTCAGCAGTGCTGAGGTTGAGAAACTCTGGCCTTTGGGATCCTGGTTGTATCGTTACCACTCAGAGCACAGTGCTAGTGGAAGGTCCCATCTGAGGAACTTGAGTTGTTGCTTTAGCTCTAGAGACTTAAATTGTACCTTACTGAATATTTATAGTTTGGGTTTGTCACTGACTGAGACTTGATGGGCCAAGGTGGGGCTAGTGGTGGGTAGAGGCTGGAAAGAAAAATTCTAGCAAGGTGTGACCAGCCATGGTGGCCTAGGGCTGCATCTTAGTTGCAGCAGGTGAGAGGTGGTTGGGGTCCACTCCAGGCTGCTGAGAATTGATTTGCTCACTTCATATGTAACTGAAATAAGAATTCAGATGCAGCTAATTGTGCTTTTGTAAAATTTATTTTTATTTTTTTGTGAGACAGGGTCTTGCTTTGTCACCCAGGCTGGAGTTCAGTGGCACAATCACAGCTCATTGCAGCCTCAACCTCCTGGGCTCAAGTGATCCTCCTGGCTTGGCTTCCCAAAATGCTGTAATTGTGCTATTTTTTAAAAAAATTAAGTTATTGCTCTGACTACTCAGCATCAGAAACCTCCGAGGAAGGGTTACATGTTGCAGATACACTCAGATACAAGTATGCTGCTTGCCAAATTCCTCTGTTACCAGTTACTGTTTAATCTAACTCGAGTCAGCCCCTATCCACTTGGAGAATAGCGCACAAATGTGGGGAGCCCCAGGACCCTTGGCTTTTACTGGAGCCTCCCATGCTGAACTGGTCAGTCAGAGCAGCCCGTCTCCTGAGGGCAGTGCTGAGGAAAGGGGCCACTGCGTTACCCTGACTGCTGTTGCTTTCCGCTCCCTCTTCCAGGTCAGACATGGAAAGGTGGCTCTGTGGACATATCTCAGATGGTGACCTCCCCAGGCCTAATTTCTGCCCCAGCGCAGCCGCTCCCTCTGTAACACTGATTGAGTGCTAGCACTGCCTTGTCAAGCATCTGCTGTGGCCACAGACACATAATTATGGCCCTGCCTTCACCTTGCCGGCCACTTCCTTTCTATCACCTGGGACTCACCCCAAGGCCTCTTTCATGAAGCTCTCTGATCCCTCCAACTAACAGTGTCCCTTCACAAGCACCTTTTTTTTTTTTTGGAGACAAAGTCTCACTCTGTCCCCCAGGCTACAGTGTAGTGGTGCGATCATGGCTCACTGCAGCCTCAACCTCCTGGGCTCAAGTGATCCTCCTACTTCAGCCTCCCAAGTCACTGGACTGCAGGTGTGAGCCACCATGCTTGGCTAATTTTTTTTGGAGAGATGGGGTTTCGCCATGTTGCCAAGGCTGGTCTCGAACTCCTGAGTTCAAGTGATCCGTCCACCTTGGCCTTGCAGAATGCTGGGATTACAGGTGTGAGCCACCACACCGGCCTCTTTTGGCTTTTTATCCAGTCATTAAATTCTGAGTCTTTCCTGGATCACCTTCTGACCTCTCCAGTGGCCCAGCCACTCACTAGCTGTGTGACCGCAGGTGAAGCAGCACAGCACTGAATCACTTCCCTTCCAGCATCAGGGTGGAATGAGAGTCATAGTTGTGGGACCTGGGGTGTTGTTCCTCTCAGGTCAGTGGAAATTCAGGTTCTCCTTTGATCTCATACAGATTAATGGAGAATTGAGAACTAGTTGTTAGCAAACTCTCTTCAGATTAAGTAAGTAAGCTTCTTTAATATTAATTCTTCACCTAGCAAATGTTTGTTGAGTACCCGCTCTACCCAGGGGCGTGTGATAGGTTTAGCAGGGGTGGGAAATGGACCTCTTTGGCCTAGCCCTCAAGGAGCTTACTACAGCCTTGTGGGGTGGTGGTTGTGTCTGTTCAAAACCATAACAGGGTGGCTTCTCCAGCATGTCACTGTGTGTCTTCCTTAGGACCAATTATCACGGTTATGTGAGTGTGCATGCACCTCCCCCAACACTTGAATTAAAGTTTCAGGGAGATGGAATTTTTTCAGTCTTTTTCACCATGTGCCATAACAAGCAGGCAGTACATATTTGTTGGATGAATGCAGTAATGAATGATACTAGTTAAATTCTGTTTTGAATGCAGGGTGAGATTTAGACCTACCTAGATGGATAAGGGGGCGTTACAGACTGGTGGGGATGGGGATGGGTGGAGGCAGGAGGAGGGACTGCCGTGAGCAAATGGACAGAGACAGTGAAGCCCAAGGCATGCTGGGCACCTGCAGGCCCACTGTGATTAGACCATGTGGCACAGTCAGAACGCAAAAAGACTGTGAAGTAAGTCGGACCCAGATGGTGGAGAATCTTGAATTCAAGCCGTTAGAGGGATTGGATTTATTCTATATAGTAGGATGACCTTGTGGTCCAGTTTCCCAGGGTGCTTCGTCCCAATGTGACTATTACTAGTGCCCCCTTTTCCTCTTAAGTGTCCCTGCTTGGATGATAAATTACATGGTCTTGCAATCCTCAAGGCCATATGGCACCCCTGAAGGTTTCACAGTGGGCCATGGTCAAGCTGGTCTTAGGAAGGTCAGTGTCCACAGTGCCTGCTGGAGTCTAGGGGCAGGAGATGAGATGTCTCCTGGTCTAGGCACTTCAGGCCTTAGCTGGAGGAGCTGTAGTGACTTCTGAAAGGAGGAGATGGTTACAAAAGAGATTAAAAATCCAAGTGACACCCACACATGGTCTCTAAAAAGGCTCCAAAGTGGCTCTTCCAGCATAGACCCATTCTAAAGTTCAGGGATCCCGGACAGGCATTTTTCTAACTTGAGGTTATGACTGATTAAAAAAAACCCCCAAAAAACCAAAAAAAACATTGTGCCTACTTCCTGAGCAATTAGAAGTTAAGAGAAGCTTCTGCCCAGCCTCTAAAATGGCCTGGTGGAACTCACTGGTATTCACTTTCCTAAACCCCGGCATTGTTCCTTGGAATTCAAAATAGGTTATGAATGTGCTTGATGTCAGGAAAGATAAATCTGTGAGGAGGACTGTAGTCAATACATTTCCTTTTTAAGTAGAAACAATATAAAGAGCTTAATTCAGCCCTGAATCAATCTCACTTTGTTGCCATGATTGTGTAAAACCTGAACTGCTTTACGTCTGTCTTACAATGTTTATATTCCCCTGATGTTCCCCGTCTCAGCCGGCCGTGCAGAGTCCCAGCCTTTTTAGGCCATGCACGGCTCTCTCTTCTTGAGGCTGTTTTCTTGTGTGCTGCCAAAGGGCTGTGCGACGAGCAGTGATTTTATTTCATATCTAGGGGTTCTCTTCAGGGTGGCTATTCAGTGGTGCCCGCAAATGAGCTTCCTTGTCTAAGCAAGTTGGAAGGCTAAATTCTTTTGCCTTTTCCTTTCCATTAAAAGATTATTAAATGTAAAAATAGTTTGATACATACACATGGTTTGGAAATTAAGGCACTATAAAAATGTATACATTGAAAAATTTCATTCTTACCCCTGCTGGGTCCCCTATACTCCCTCCCTCACCCCACCTCCATTAGCTGGAATGAACTAGTTTGTCCAGAGCAGTTCCGGTTTACCTTCTTTGTTCCAGTGAATGATCAATCACACCCTCTTTCATTTTCAAAAGTGTCCCAGTTTAGGTGATGAATTATATATTATCCAACAGATAGGTAGTTACTTTTATCAGTTTCTTGCGTATCCTTCCAAGATTTCTATATGCAGATACATACATGGGGAATGTGTATAATATATATATATTGCTTTTGCCTCTTAACAATGGATCCTAGAAAACTCTTATCAGTACAAATGGAGT
Organism: Homo sapiens; assembly: GCF_000001405.40. NCBI lineage: Eukaryota > Metazoa > Chordata > Mammalia > Primates > Hominidae > Homo > Homo sapiens. Next base: position 95,535,477 of record NC_000010.11, on the reverse strand, counting down.
GTCTTCATTCTGCTAAACTGTCTTTGGAGAGTAATGTTTGTAGAGACTGATAGTTAGTTGCCTTTCCCTTGGTTTATCAGTTTAATTGCTGTTTAGGGCCTGCTTCTCTTTATCTAGAGAGAGATGGTAGGCTATAGGAAGTGAAGGCAGATTCCTTCACTTAGGAAAACCCAGTTCAGTAGTAAACCCATCCAGGATGCATTTGTGAAGCACCAACTTTATGCCTCCCTAACATGGTACTAGGCACTTTGGATGAAGTGGTCTCTTCTTCATCTCCACTTGTTCACATCCTTCAAGTTCTAGCTCAGATGCCTTAGCCCTCATGAAGCTTTCCCTGATTTGCTGGCCAGAATTCCTGGGCATCTGTATCCATCTACTCATCCATCCATCTCTCCACCCATCATCCATCCATTCATTTATCCATTTCATCAACTAGTGCTTATTGAGTCCCTCCTTGTACCAGGACTTGTGCTAGATATGTGAGGATGAACGAGATGTTGAGTCTCTTGCTACGGGAGACAGACAGATATGGTGCAGTGTGGTAGCTGCAATGATAGTTATATGCCGAGGGTGTTGGGGAAGCACAGAGTGGAGGGTGCCTGATCACTGAACTTGGGAGTGTAGGGAGGTCTTCTGAAGAGGACACTTCCCCTAATGGTACTTGCTTTTCACTTTCTCCTCTGTGTTTGCCTTATCCTCACTGTTAGACTGAGATGCTTCGTGCTTTCTTCAGCTCTGGCCCCCTCCCTTGTCACTGCAACCCCTAGTGTAGCCTTCTTCATTTAATAGTCACTCAAATACTTATTGAATGGGGAAAAAAAGCCAAAATGAATTAAATAGGCCTACCCGAAGGATCTTAACATCAAAAAGAGCAGGTGAGATGTTCTTTGCTGCCCTTGGCCTTCACGGTTTATTCACACAACTCATGTCCTGAAAGGGCTTCTCTAAATTGGTGCTGATGCCTCCTTCCAGTCTCCTTTTATCCACACCACACAGTCTCTGCCCCCTGATCATCCCTTAGCATTGCCATGGTAGGAAACCCCTATGACTCTGACTAGTGTTGAAGGAGCTGCATGGGCCGGGCGCGGTGGCTCGTGCTTGTAATCCCAGGACTTTGGGAGGCCGAGGAGGGCGGATCATGAGGTCAGGCATTTGAGACCGGCTTGGCCAGCACAGTGAAACCCTGTCTCTGCTAAAAACACAAAAATTAGCTGGGCATGGTGGCAGGCACCGGTAATCCCAGCGACTCGGGAGGCTGAGGCAGGAGAGTCGATTGAACCCGGGAGGTGGAGGTTGCGGTGAGCCGAGATCACGCCACTGCACTCCAGCCTGGGTGACAGAGCTAGACTCCATGTCAAAAAAAAAAAAAAAAAAAGGAAAAAGCTGCATGATTGGGGGCCCCAAGTCCCACCCCCTCTCTGGTCTTGGTTTACTCTTGGAATTAGGGGCATAGCTGTGACCCCTTAGGATTTCTGGATATTTGACATTTCAAAAACAATGATTTCTAGACAGCCTGGTGGCTCAGCCAGCTCCTTCTTTTATCTTCTTCTAATAAATCCAGCTTCCTTTGCCATTTCCTGGTGCCACAGGGGGTGATCTGTCCAGGATAAGAGATAGCCAGGCCAGGAAAATGACCTTTTAATAAAGTTAAAATGGCCACCGGGAGAGCGGGACGGCCAGTCATGTGGCCGTGAGCCTGTTTGCTGTGCTGTGTGCTGAGGTCCACAAGAACAGAGGTCCAGGTAGACTCCAGCTGTGCAGCTGTGGAGGCAACCAGCAGCAGTGGGTTGTCCTGGGAGAGAATTTTGGCTGAATGTTAGCAGACGGTTTCCTAAAACCACGCAGAAGCAGCCTTTTAGGGGAAGAGGTGCTATTTGTTTGACAGCTCATCACTCCCCTTTTGGTTGTCCTCATCTGTTCTTTCTGCAGTTTTTCACAAGTGAAAAAGTGGGATGGTGTTTCTCTGGTAAGTCCATTTTGGACTGTGGCATAGTGTTGTCTGTGTGCCTGGCATTGCACTGGACATCTCTACATTCCATTAAATCACTGGTTCTTAAACTTGGGGAGCGTAAGAATCCCCTGGGGTGCTTGTTAAAAATGCATATTACTCTCTGGTGGACCCAAAACTCGTGATTTTTAATATATTCCCTAGGTTATGCAGGTCATACCCAGATTTTTTCAGCTGCAAGTCAGAAACCCTAAGTCAGATTGGCTATGTTTTGCAGTGGGCAGGCCTATGCGAACCTACCCCCAAAGTTCAAGGATGCTGACAGGCTGAAGAAAGAGGCTGATTTATCTAGTTTCTCAGAAAGAAACATTCAATAGGGACTTATGAACAGAAACCATGTCTGTGTCTCGGATGGTGGTGAGACAAGATGGTGGATCCCTGCGCTATTACCCCCAAGACCCAGGGTTTATATACGGTACCATAGGGAGGGAGTGACTTACGAAGGGATGTGTAGGACATTTGAAGCATGATAATATCAAGGTTGTTTTCACCTAAGGGCAGGATTTATGTACAGTCTCTTAGACAAAGAAGAACCGATACACTGGAAATCTTAGAGGCCTTCCATGAACAGTGGTTAATCAGAAGTCAATGTGATGGATTAACATTCAAGATGGAGTTGTCTAGCCTGCACAGGATGACAATAGGGAAATTCATTGTCTTTCAAACAGGAGTGGTTTCATGTGGACTGCAATGTGAATCATGCCCCCTGGAGTTGTGCAATGGGGCCATTCTTAATCCAGACACTGGGCGGGTTTGGGATTGATTGTTTCAGTGGCTTGGTGATGTCAACAAGACCCCAGCTTCTTCTCATCTCTGTCATCCTTGGCATTATCTTCATTTGCAAGCTGGGAATGAGACAGCCACAGCATTTCCAAGCATCTCAGACACAACATTCTTGGAAAGAAGGGTATAAATGGATTCTGGTGCTTCTTCTCAGGAGTCAGGAAGCTTTTGGAGGCACCACCAGCTCTCTTCTCATCATGCCCTCTTGGCTGGAGTTGGGTTACATGTCTTCCCTGAGTCAATCACTGTTGACTGAAAGGGGATCCCATTTCCTGAGCCATCTGGAGGTGGGGTGGGTACCTGAACAGAGTGGAGGCTCTGTCAGGAAGGAAGGAGCAGGAACCAGAGGCCGGGAAGGTTCCCAGCAGGGCCTGAGGTGCAGGGGGTGTGCAGGCCACCCTTGGAGAAACCCTTCCTTCCACCATCCTGGACAGCTGGGGGTTGTTGGTGAGGTTATCTGTGTCGTGCAGATGAGGAAGTGAGGCTCAGTGAGGGTTAGTGGCTTGTCTTAGATAACAGGCCTTGTAGGTTGTGGGGGTTGGGACTGAGGGAACCTGGGGCATTTGAGAGGCCTTTTTAGCCCCAAGAGAGTAACCATCCCCTTTTGCCTTCCTAAGGTGTCCAAGCTGCCCCCTTCATTTCTGATTTCTCCTCCATGACTGCATTTATTTGTGGCAGGAGGCTTTCCTGAGTATTTCTTATGGGACGAAATCTCAGGGCATGAGAAAAATACATATACTGTGTTTTCCCCTCCAAGTTGACTTTGCCTGAAAGTAATTGAAATAATATCAGTTCCTATTCGGGGAGAGAGTTAAAATAATAAAACGTAACTTAAGAGGTCGTTGTTAGGATTTAAGGTCACACAATGCACATGTTGGCCCCTGTGCATGTTATCTTAAATCCTAACAACAATCCCTTAAGTTAGGTTTTATTATTTATATTGTGTGGTGGGGAAACTGAGACCTGGGAAGGTGAAGTTGACTGTGGTGGATTGCACAGCTCGTCTTCGGGGGTGGACCCGGGACGGGGGCTGCCTCGTTGAAAGTCCGTGCTGCTTCTCCATGCCACGCTGTGGCTTATCAGCAGCCACCAGCCTTGTTTTGCCCCTGAAGGCAGGTTCTCAGGGAAAGAGGTTTTAGTGTCAAAAGAGTTCCAAATGAGCTGAATGTTTCCTATGGGAATAATTCTCAGAGCATTAGGAAAAAATATCCTGACCATAATAAACACAAGAAAGAATCAGGAAATCTGGTTTGTTATATAGCAGCTAAAATGCAAATAGGGAAATCTCTCAAAAAGGTTTCAAGGGCTGTTGGCTTTGAAAATGGAAGGCCCCAGTTAAGACGGTGAGAAAACCGTACTGGGTCCAGGAGACGACTGATACATGTGGCCACTGTGGCAGCAATGAGTGGAAAGTCTGCACACCTTGCTGTGAGCCCCAGTTCTGCTGCTTTTGAGCTGTGTGACCTCCGGCAAGTCGCTTAGCCTTTTAGGGCAGTTTCTGCACATGTGAAATGGGGCTCTGGCTCGCAGTTTGGTGGGCAGAGGGAGCCTGGCCAGCTGCACAAGGCCTTGCAAAGGTGAAGGAGTAGCAGGTGTAAACCACAGAGTTGGCACCTCTGAGTTGGAAGTTTAGTGCTGCTCTACCTGGCTGCGAGCTGGTAGTTGCCTAGAGTGCGGGGATGTGGCAGAGCATGGCAGAGCAGGCTGAGGGCAAAAGTCTGGCTTTGACTTCTCAAAGAGAAACCGTCTTTGCCTGAAAAGCCCCTCTCTAGCTGTGGATGTTTGGAGAACCTCCCTTGGTGCTTTGCCTGGCCTGTGCACCAGGGAGTATTGTATGGGGACCGATGTCCTCCACAGATGCCCCAGGGCAGGTAACATGTACAGGGTGGGCAGAGATAAGTGCTCGGTTCTCAGTACAGACCTGTGGGAAGGTCTGAGACTCGGGAAGCTCTGGCTAAGCTGGGAGGAGGGAGTTGAAGGAATGTGTTGAGGGTGGACCACAGGTGTGTTGGGGTATTCACAGGGGAGGACCTTTCCAAGTGCTGCCAATACAACTCTCTGATCATGGTGGCTCTGGAGAGAAGGTGACTTGACTTTTCAGATTTGAGCAGAGGAAATACTAAAGTATTTCTTTACCCCAGCAGAGCACATCTACAACTTTGTAGGGTTTTGAGTCTGTAGTGAGATATTTTAGATTAGTTTCTCCCTTTCATTCTTCCTGCCTCCCTCCGTTTATTGAACACCTTCTAAACATTTGTTGAGCAACTTCTGCATGGCAAGCTGAGCTAGGGGCTGAGGTTTCAAAGACAAAATCATTGCTCTCAAGGAGTTGTCTCATAGGTAAACAAGATGATTACAAAGCTGTGTGATAAGTACTAACAGGTAAGTACAGGGTCCTCTGGGAGAGGTAGGAAGGAACACCTGGTTGTGTCTGGTGGGAGGAGGTGACACCTGAGCTGGAGCTGGGATGAAGGGAAATGCAGCAGGTGAACCAGCGTCTTGGAAGGCATTCTATGCAGAGGGTGGTAACAGCGTTCATTCTTGGAATAAAAGAGTTCATGAAGACTTTCTATGTGACAGTGGTGATGCAGAGATGGATGGGACCCAGTCCCTGCCCTGCAGGTGTTCACAGTCAGGTGAATAGGAAGTGGCAGTGCAGGTGACAGTGTTTGGGGTGTAGACAGAGTTCTGTGGCAAGAAACACAGGGGCCCTGCTGAATCCAGTTATTGCTATTCGCTTATCAGTCTTCCTTCCAGGGGACCTCTTTTGCAGGTTCTTTCATTGGGAAGAGGCTCTGTTTAAGGACCTAGCTTGCTGTCTGCTGCCCTAGGGGCTGACCATGCTCTTCAGCAATTTGGGTTATAATGTGAGGCATCTATTCTTATTTCTAGCTTTCTTCCTTGTGGAGCCATTATTGGACTTAGGAAGTTGGACTTGGGCAAGTCACTGCACTACTTTGGGCTTCATTTTTCTTACTTACAAAAATAGCCCATTGGACCAGGTCAGCGTTTCCTCAAGAGTTGTCTAGGGACCACCTACCTTTGAAAGGCATGGGGTGCTTACTGAAATATGGAGTCCTTATGGGGCAGTGCCTTTTTTGCGTTCATACAGTTAACCTTTTTAGGGGCTGGGCCTGGGGTTCTGCATTTATCAAGCACTCCAGGTGATTCTTAAACATCTTAGAGTTTTGGGACCTCTGGGCTACAAGATTTCAACCTGCAATCTTTTCCTCCCTAATCTCCTCAGCTGTATGTCTACAGGAACTGGACAATAAAATGTTAGCTTTTTGAATGTTTTATCGTTGCAGTGATGCCCTCGGCAAACTGCTTGGTAGTTTAAGTGTCCAGAATCTTGACAGTGTATGCTTATGAACTGTTTCTGCAGGCTGTTTTTGATATTCCTTAAGGAAGAAAAGCCTTGTTAACAGGCACCTGAATGTGGCTGTCAGAATCTGTTTAAGAGCTGAATCATGACAGCAAACACTCATCTCAGCCTTTCATCTCTGGCTTTGGAGTATATGACTGGCTTCCCTTTTCTGAGTCATTCTCTCTTGGCCTCCTACATTCTGAAGAGGTCATTTGCATTGTCTAACATGGGAGCCAAAGGTTTCAACTTCTCTGACAAATGGAATCTCCGCTTTGGTTCCAAACTGACCGTCTTTGTAGGGTCCTCCAGGGAGTTCTCAGTGTTTTAATAGCTGCTGTGTGGGTTCTCATTTGTTGGTACTGTGGAAACAGTTTTTTTTTTTTTTTTTTTTTTTTTTTTTTGAGACTGAGTCTTGCTCTGTCGTCCAGGCTGGAGTGCAGTGGTGCGATCTTGGCTCACTGCAACCTCCACCTCCCGGGTTCAAGCGATTCTCCTGCCTCAGCCTCCTGAATAGCTGGGATTACAGGCATGTGCCACCATGCCCAGCTAATTTTTGTATTTTTAGTAGAAATGGGGTTTCACCATGTTGTCCAGGCTGGTCTGGAACTCCTGACCTCAGGTGATCCACTCACCTCGGCCTCCCAAAGTGCTGGGATTAGAGGCGTGAGCCACTGCGCCCAGCCAGAAACAGTTTTTAATATACAAAGTAAGTAAATAAAGAGTCTTAGGCTTTATATGGCTGCCTGGGAGTCTTCCCCAGTTTCTTATCCTTTCCCCTTGGAAATCTAGTGCCTCTAAGACTTCACAGTGTTGGTGATGTTGAGAAGCTGTTGCCTAAGAACCATTCTCAGGATGACCCCTTTATATCATTCAGGTGTGAGTGAAATGGATTTTGGACAAGGGCTGGGCCAGGCACAGCACTGTGTTCTGACCCGTTACGAAGAGGTAAACCTTGACAACTGGTATCCTAGACCTTAAAAATTAAAAATTTTCATCTGGGTCTTGGTTCACTCCTCATTCTATTATTCTGTGTTTTGGTTTTCCTTGATGAAATCAATCTGTAAACACAGCTCTGCACTAGTAAATTTTAATGAAGCCCTCGACATTACCCAGGTGGGGGAAATTCAGAGCTATCTTTAAACAATGTGGTAGTTGCAGGTACACACCCAAGAAGGCAGAGAAGGGCATGAGCCTTCTCTGTATTCTCCAAGGGTCTTGCATAGTGTTCTGCCCACAGTGGGTGCCCAGAAAGTGGCTGTTAGAAGAATGGACTTTTAAAAAATAATAGACTGATAATTAAACTGGCAAAGGTATGGAATTCAAAGGGTGGCTCAGTGTGGTTTTGGATTTGCCCTTGGTTCTTCCTCAAGTTTAATTTTCATGGAGATATCAATTAGATGCAGGATTAGTTGCAATGCAGAATGGCAGAGAGGGGAAAAGGCAGACGTCGTATGCATTTTAAGTTCTTGGGTACATCTGTTAGTTGTTTATTATTTGCCAGTCACTTTGTTAGACAATCCCAAGAGGTTGACAAACCACTTCCTTTTGTGTCCAGGGAAATTGAGGCTGAGAAGTGCAACAATTGGTGTAAACTTATGTAGTGAAGCTATTGGCAGGCTTGCTGACCAGTAGTCAAGAAGGATTCATAGAGTGCCGCCTCTCTACTGGATCACACAGGAGTTAAATTTAGCTTTGTGAAAAATATTAGAGGTGATGGAGATCAACTATACATTGTCTTGGGGTGTATAGTTGCTTTGTGACATTTCTGTTACATGGCTATTTGGCCTCTGCTTGCATCTTTCCAAGGACAGGGAGCTCACTACTTATTGAGTCAGTTCATTTTATTTTTTGAATTATTTTAATTGTTAAAATTCTTAATTAATTAATCATTTTTGAGACAGAGTCTCACCCCGTTGCTCAGGCTGGGGTGCAGTGGCGTGATCTCGGCTCACTGCAACCTCCGCTTCCTGGGTTCAAGTGATTCTCCTGCCTCAGCCTCCCGAGTAGCTGGTATTACAGGCACCTGCCACCATGCCTGGCTAATTTTTGTATTTTTTTAGTAAGGACGAGGTTTCCCCATGTTAGCCAGGCTGGTCTCGAACTCCTGAGCTCAAATGATCTGCCCACCTTGGCATCCCAGAGTGCTGGGATTACAGGCATGAGCCCCTGTGTCCGGCTAATTGTTAAAATTCTTTCATATGAGCTGAAATCATCCTGTAATACAGTTTTCTCATTTAGAACCCATGTCACACTAGTTTTTACACCCCATGATTCATTTCGTCATTCAAACGTATGTATTGAGCACCGACTGTTTTAGGTTCAGGAGGAATACGAGTAAACAAGATAGATAAGGTTTTTGCCCTCTTGGAATTTAGAGCCTGGTGTTAGTACAGTGGAAAGAAGATTGAACTATATGTCAGAAAACCTAAGTATAAGCCAAAGAATTTTACAGAAAGAAAGAAAAGAAGAAGTGAAGATTATATAACACTTATAAACTTGGCTAAGACACTTGAGTATCAGTTTTCACTTCATTTAACAGAGGACATTATCCCATTGGACCTTCCAGAACAGTGAAGGCTCGCTGGAATAATGTACCTTGAAAAATGTTAATTGCTATGTATTACCAAGAGGAGTAGTAGTAGCTCTTGCTTCTGTAGAGTAGTTCTTAAAGCATGGTTCTTGGACCACCAGCATCAGTATCACCTGGAAACTTGTGCAAATTCTCCAGCCCCACCCCAGACCTGCTGATTCAGAAACTCACAGGGTGGGGGCCCCAAAATCTTTTTTACAAGTAATCCAGGTGAATTCGATGCCTTTCCTAGTTGGAGAACTACTGCTGTGGGTTAGAGCAATAATTCTCAGCCTTGCCTGCACATTGGATGCGCCTGAGAGAGGGGGGCGCTTTCAAAACTATATCTGTTCCCCCCAACTCCCCTCAAAAGTTAGATCAGGATCTGTGGTGGGGCCTGTGCAGAGGCTGCCCAGGTGATCTGCAGGTGCGCCAGGTCTGAGAATGCTGCTGTGGCCACAGGGCCCAGCCCGGAGGGACAGGGGATTAAGATAAGGTGCGGCAGCCTTGGAGTTACCTGGGTTGGTTTGAGTCTGAGCTCTGCCCCTTCCTGGCTCTGTGGCCTTTGGCAAGAGGACTCTGGCCTGAGTTTCCTTATCTGCGTAGTAAGGATAAAAATGCCCATCTCTCAGGGTTGTTGTGACAGTCGATGAGATGATGTATGCAAGCCTGCAAGCATGTGTCAGGCACAGGGTTGGTGAAGGAGGACTGAACTTATTGATGGTAGCTGTGGGTATCTGAGGGTGATGGTGCTCATCTTTCCCTGCAGCCCTCTTTGCTCCATATTAAGCCTCTTTAGTTCTTCCATCCGGGACATAAATTCCAGCCCCCCTTTTTAGAAAACTCCATTTTGTCCGTTTCTCTCTTTAAAAGGTGGTATCCAATTAGACAATATCTATCAAAATTACAAAGATACCCACTTTATCCTATAATTCCACTTTGTGGAATCTGTCCTACAGATATACCTGCATATGTGAAAAAAGATGTATGTCCATTTCTGACAGCATTGTTTGTGGTAGCGAAAGACTGGAAAACCTAAATGTCCATCAGTATAGTGTCTTCATGCAATCAAAGACTGTGCAGCCACAGAAAGAAATGAGGCAGCTTTTTAAGTACTGACATGGGACTCTGTAGCATATATTTTTTATGTGAAAAAATAATGTTAAGCTGTATGGTATGCTATCATTTGTGCAAAAACAGGACAGGACATTTGCTTGTATGTGCATATACTACACCTGGAAGGGTACAAAAGCAATGGGTAATGTTGGTTGCTTTTGACTTGGGGGTGGAATAGGGACTTTTCACTATAAACCATTGGGTGTCTTTTAAACCATGTGACTGGAATCTATTAAAAACAATACATTAAAAGAAGTGTGGTGCCCTGAGCTGAATCCTCCACTTGTGGCCTGACCACAGCAGGGTACAGTGTGAGTATTACCATTTTTTCTGTGAACCAGATGCTGTCCTACTTTTAATGCCTTTGAAGATTGTATTACTCTGGGCACTGTGGGCTCTGATGAACCTTGTGGTCAGGATGGCACCCTTCTCTGTTTCCCATGAATGGTTGCCAGGGCAGGTCTCGTGGACTTCAGGAAGTTTAGACCTGCCCCCAGCCCGTACTTTTGCACAATCGGCTTTGTTTTTCGCCCAGAATGCTGGGCTGTTAAGGTCATTTGAATCTTGATTCTGGCATCTATAGCATTAGCTCTTCTTCCCAGTTTTGTGCCATCTGAAGGTTTGATAAGCCTGCCCTTCATGTCTGTCTCTAGTCAAGTCATTGTTAAAAAGACAGTGGACAGTGTGTGCCTAAGAATTGAACCCTGCGTCATTCCACCAGTAACCCTTCTCTAGCTTGTCATCAAGTCATTAGTGATGCCAATGTATACATTTACTCACCAGATGTTTATTATGTGCCCATTATGTGCCAGGCACTATGCCAGTGCCGAAGGTATAAAGGAGTAAGACAACTGTCCTGCCTGGAAAGAGATCATCAGCTTGAAAAGAGATCATGATTGGCACACTTTTTCTCTAAAGGCCTAGATGGTAAATATTGTCAGCTTTGCGGGCCATACATTCTCTGTTGTAACTATTCAACTCTGCCATTGTGGCACCAAAGTAGCCATAGACAAGATGGAGACAAGTGGCGTGGCTGTTCCTATAAAACTGCAAAAACAGGTGACGGGCTGGGTTAGGCCTGTGGGTGTGTTTGCTGACACCTGGTCTAGTAGAAAGACAAGTAACTCAATCAAGTTTAATAAGTGCTCTGAGAGCATATGCACAGAGCACAATGGCGGCCCAAAGGAGGGAGTGATGTACGGTCAGTGGGGTAGTAACCACCTGGCTACATAGACAGTGGTGCAAGCAGCTTCACTCTGTTTCACTGTCTTATCTACAAGTGGATCATAGGAGGTTTTTCTAGATGCTTTGCTGAAATCTAGGTGCATGATATCTTTGGCATCTCACCTGATCTACCAACTTGGTAACCACAAGAGAAAAATCGATTGGTTTTGGCATGCCTTTGTCATTGTGGACGCACATTGCCTTTTCCCAACATTCACATTTTTTTCGAAATGTTCCCAAACCATTTGTTCTATAATTTTGCCGGGAACCATTATTGGTCTGTAGTCGTCCAGGCTTATTTATTTGTAGATATCAGGATCACCCACTTTCCTGCTTTAAAATTGAGACATTGGCCCATGTCTCCTACTCTTAGACCCCGAACTTTGTGTGATTTTGAAGTTGATCAATAGCAGTTCTAAGAAACTTTTATAATCAGTTAAATATGCACGAAAGAAATTATATGTTGTCAAAAGAAAAGTTGGAGCCACATCAAAAAGTGGAAATCAGCCATGGTCTTGCTGCTCCAGTGTTATCCCTGCTAACATTTTGGTGTTGCTTTTGCCAAATACATGAGAAATAATCAAAGCTCACAATCATATCGCTCTGGAAGGGGTATGGCTTATAGGGGGAGCCTGATGTGTAAGCTACTTAACCTTTTAGAGGGGCACAATTCATGTGTGTTTAAGGGATGGTGAAGGCATAGAGGAGAAGGGTTTGTTTCACCTGAACAAGTGGATGTCTGGGAAAGGCACAATAGAACAGGTGACCCTTGATAATCAAGTAGAAGTAGTTGAAATAAAACAGAATTGCATATGGGCTACGGTTACAACCATGTGCTAAATGTATTTTTTAAAAACTGCAGGGAACTGTCCTAAAATAATACTGTGGTTGGAATGTTGATGAATGTGGTTTTATTTTCTCTGGGTTTCCAAATGGGAGTCTATTGCCTCTTATAATTATTTTTCTTAATGCAACACATGCATGTCCCTGTCCTCAGGAACTCAGGGCTGCAGAGCTTGGCTGCAGTCTGCTGCAGGGTCAGGGAGCTTAGAGCCGTGTTCCATGCACCGTTGTCTTTTTCATTAGTGGTAGCTGAGGATGAAGTAGAGAATCTAATAATTCTCTGATAGCCTAGCCCTGGGAGTAGTCTAGTCTTGGGCGTGGAACCTGAAAGTTTTAGACAAATCTTGGAATATAACTCGAATACAGTAGTGCAGATTGCTTCTTTGAAACCCAGTCTGAATAGGTGAGACCTTGCTTTTCCTTGCTGAAGTATTTTACTTAGCAAAGAATTACTTGCTTTTAAACTGTTCAAGTGCAAAAGCATGAGGTAATGGTTTGAGAGGTAAGTGACATTATTTAGGGCATAGAGAAAATGTTTACACGTTTATTTCTGACACACAGATTTCCCATCCCCAGCATTCGTTCCCACCTGCCTTATCCACAGGCAGAAGAGAGGGCACCCAGAACTGAGGAGGGTCTCCAGACATTCTGAAGTCCTGTCTCACTCCTGTCCACCTCTGGGGAAAGGAGAAGTGTAGTTGTTGGATTGCCTAGGGTCCAGATTTTAGTGCTGCTTCTTAACTTGCTGTGTGACTGTGGGCAAAGTCTTGGAGCTCAGCTTTTCTTCTCCAATAAATTGGGATGATAAAATTGGCCTCAGTTGTAAGGATTGATTGAACCAGATAATGTATGTAAGCACCAGCTTAATGCCTGACCTATAAACAGGTACCCAATACAGCATGGCTGCTTTTACTCATTATTACTGTTCGATTGTTAGTGCCAGCCTTGGAAATCGGCTCTTGTGTGTCCCCTAAGTGGCCATGCAGAAAGAACTCTTGCCAAGCATTCATTATCAGTATTTTGCACCCATATGAATGATCTGCCTCATGGTTCTGAATATTGACATGAAGTTGGTGGGCACTAGTGGGATTTGTGGTCCAGCAACCCAAAATAATGTTCAGTGACATTTCTCTTCAGGGATTATTTTTCACAAAAGGCTTTCTATAAGATTGCTGAAGGGTTGTGTTCATAAAATGTCAGGTGCTATGTGTGTGACGGCATTATGTTGATGAAGGCAGTGTTAAACTGGGAAACATGCATATGTTAAGTAGGGACTCAAGAAATAAGTATGGGTTGAATAGAAGAACAAAAGGGGAATAATCAGCAACAAGGAGAAGGAAAGGGAGAAAAGGAGGCACCTTTCGGTTGGGCCTTGGGACCCTGTCAGAACTTCTGCACCCTTCCTGTCTCTCTTTAACCTATAGAACCACACTGGCACCTGGCTCTGAGCTTTATGAGGCCTGGAAAACTTGTGTTCTTGAAGTTAGTGATGTGTCTTCATCCTTTTTCCAGACACCCCCATTTTCACTTTTCTACCACTCTGAGATTCTACTAAGTTCCAGATTCAGTCTTATTGGTGACCAGAAACAAGATAAAATTAGAGAAGGAAGTCCGGGTGTGGTGGCTTACACCTGTAATCCTAGCACTTCGGGAGGCCGAGGCAAGGGGATCACTTGAGCTCAGCAATTCAGGACCAGCCTGGGCAATGCATATTGAAACCCTGTCTCTGCAAAACATACAAAAATTAGCTGGGCATGGTGGCGGGTGCCTGTAGTCCCAGCTACTCAGGAGGCTGAGGCAGGAGGATGGCTTGAGCCCCAGAGGTTGAGCTGCAGTGAGCTGTGATCACGCCACTGCACTCCAACCTGGGTGACAGAGAGTGAGACCCTGTCTCACAGAAGAAAAAAAAATTATGGGAGGAAGCTCTGTCCTCAATCAGGAAGGCCTGAAGGGTGGGAAGATAGGCTTATAAGTTAAGAGAGAATGCCAAGCATGGTGGCTCACGCCTGTCATCCCAGCTACTCGGGAGGCTGAGGCAGGAGAATCCCTTGAACCCTGGAGGCAGAGGTTGCAGTGAGCCAAGATCGCACCACTGCACTCCAGCCTGGGTGACAGAGCAAGACTCCATTAAAAAAAAAATGCTAAGAGAGAAAGGAAGATGAAAGAGTTACTTTTGTCAGCCTCTTAAGATGAAAAAGGATGACTTAGGGCTGACATGCTCCTCGGTTGCACTGAGCTCCAAGCTCTCTGTGTGCCGTTCACCTCTGCCTGCTGGTAAATATCAGCTGTATCTGAAGGTGTGGTATGGCATTCAGTCCCTCTTCATTCTTAACCTATCATGGCCATTGGCGACTGGGAAGACAAAGGGTCAGGCAAAGGGGGTACCTTATTAGCACTGAGGTCTGGCATATAGTAGGTATTTAATAAACACTCGTCTGTCTATTTTCTGGTTCAGAATCCATCTGTGGTAATTACTTTGAATTCAGGGCATGGATAGAACTGGAACCATTCTTTGTGTGTGTGTTGCTTTTAAAATATATTTGAGCAGTAGGACAGATGGTATTGAGAGTACTGAAGTTAATATATAAAAAAACACTTTAAACATCTTTTTGTAGAAATGTCCATTTTAGCAAATTTCACAGAGAGTAAAAGTCTGTTGGTTTCAGTTTAACTGCCAACTACCCTTTCCCCTAATTTGGAAAACCATAGCTAGATCTAATAGATTAGATTCTCAGTCTTTCTGCATTCTCTTAGGCCCCCAGGCATTTATGGCCAGATTGTGGGAGCATGTTGTGCCCTTTGAGTATGAATGCATAACGCTTCCTTTATTTTTAAATACCTTAAAATTTTAATTTCATAAAGCTGCATTTTACTATTTAATTTGAAGGGGTTTGCTGAAGTATATTTAGGCATTTATAAGCTTTTCTTTTGGAGATGGAGTCTTGCTCTGTCGCCCAGGCTGGAGTGCAGTGGCGAGATCTCGGCTTACTGCAACCTCTGCCTTCCGGTTCAAGCGATTCTCCTGCCTCTGCCTCCCAAGTAGCTAGTAGCTGGGACTACAGGCGTGCGCCACCATGCCCGGCTAATTTTTGTATTTTTAGTAGGGATGGGGTTTCACCATGTTAGCCAGGCTGGTCTCAAACTCCTGACCTCAGGCAATCCGCCCACCTCAGCCTCCCAAAGTGCTGGGATTATAGGCCTGAGCCACCATGCCTGGCCTAGAAGCTTTTTTTTTTTTTTTTTTTTTTTTTTTGAGATGGAGTTTCGTTCTTGTTGCCCAGGCTGGAGTGCAATGGTGTGATCCGGGCTCACTGCAACCTCCACCTCCCGGGTTCAAGCGATTTTCCTGCCTCAGCCTCCCGAGTAGCTGGGATTACAGGCATGCACCACCATGCCTGGCTAATTTTGTATGTAGAGATGGGGTTTCTCCATTTTGGTCAGGCTGGTCTCGAACTCCTGACCTCAGGGGATCAACCTGCCTCGGCCTTGCAAAATGCTGGGATTACAGGTGTGAGCCACCGTGCCCAGCCTAGAAGCTTTTTATAAGAAGCTGGAAATGTCTTCAAATTCTGTGTCTGGTATTTATGGTGGTCCACTTAATATTTGTCAGTTTGCTTTTCTGATTTTGCAGGAGATTGGGTGCTGACTTAGTACAATTATTTTGTCAGGTTTTGTTGTGTTTTTGGTGTTTGATGGTTAGAGTGGAATTGCAGAACTCCCTTTTGAAAGGCCTTGGTAAGTAGGGGGAGAGGAGAGCAGGACCAAGGCTATGAGGCAGCTTCAGGTTGGGATGACTTAGCATGGGGCTTTCTCTTTACACTGTTCCCCTTTCTGTATTTTTCCTTCTCCCCCTCTTTCTTTCCCTCATTTCTCCCCACTTTCCTGCTCCTGAAATATTTCATATACATTGCTGGATTTAGTGCATCTAGGATTATGGTAAAAAAGAGGGATTTTCCTTCCTTCCTCCACTCCTCCCCTTCTGCTCTTGCTTAAAATTCAGGTTTTATTTTGACGAACATTTTACAAAGTATCTTTGGCCATTTCCTCCATACCCTGCCATACATGTAAAAGTCAGTATGGGTTTTGCAGATTATAGAGCTCAGGAGTCATATAAAAATGGATGTCAGTTCTTTTGTGACTCCTATTTTGGTTCTGGGGTGTCTGTGCTCACTCTTAGTGGGGACAAGCAGGAGGTGGTAACATTCACAGGTGCTGGTGGCAGCACTGGTCTGTGTGCTGGAGGGGACCAGCAGGAGGTGGTGACATCCACAGGTGCTGGTGGCAACACAGGCCTGTGTGCTGCTGAAGCCTGGCCAGCACCAGGCGCCTTGGCTCCAGCTCTGCCCGTTGCTGATTGCATTTGGCTGTTGGGTTTTTTGGCTTTCTGATGTGTCGTTTGTATCGGCCATTTAGCCTATTCTGTTTCACAGCCTTTTCATCCTAGGAATCACACAACTTGAGCATTTTTGACCTTGTAAGGCTTTGTAGAAGAGACTGTAAATTCCAGATCACTCTGTACAGCAGTGCAGGGGTTGAAGTGAGGGAAGATCTGTTACTTGGACGGATGGCCTTGGCCTCTGAAGGCAGTCCCTGCAGTTGGTCTTGGGTGTATGTTGAACACATCCCAGAGGGAGGTGGGGCTGCACAGAAGACTGCTGATGGGTGTGAGCCCATGGAAGACTTGGAGACTGACACCTGCTTCTTTTGCAGCATATGGTATTTTTTCAGTTCTCTGCAGGAGGGAGGGAGGTTTAGATATTTAAATGTATGGTAAACAGTCTCCTTTCCCTTATTACTTATCTTTGATTCATTCCAAGCCAGTTTCAGGGGGCCTAGTAGAAAAGTAAGTGTCCTCTGTCATTCCTTCCCTCCCTACCAGAAAGCTCAAAGTTTCCGGCTAACCTCCGGTTTGGGTGAGAGATTGCTGAGAGGCAGTGTGGCTGGGTCCTAGGTAAAGGCCAGGCAGATGTGGTTTCATGATAGGTTCTAACTGGCACGTGTTTTTGTGTGCTCAACAGCATCCTATCTCTTCTCTTAATGGCCATCTAGTTCATTCTTTAACATTAGTGGGGAGGAAGCCTCCCTGGGGCCCAGGGAGGTGAAATGACTTACTCTGGGTCACATAGTAGTAGAAGATTCCACACTAGAATTGTATCTCTTTTCTGTTTTATATCATGTTGCATTGAGTCTCCAAGGTCTGTACATACTTCACAGACTCTTAGAGAAACTTATACCTAATATGGTGATGGATAGCTGAATATGGCTAAGAGCACACACTTTGCGATCTGATTTGGGTTCTATTAATAGTTCTGGCTCTGCTACTTATTCACTATGTGATCATGAGTATGTTCCTGGTCTCCCTGAGTCTCAGTTTCTTCATCTGTAGAAAGGGGACCATAACTACCTCATTAGGTTTTGAGGATCACCCAGGACTATTGCTTGGTACATGTAGACACTCAGTACATTGCAGCTGGCAGCATTATTTTCCATACCTTGCTGTAGAGCTCCAAGGTATAGTGAGGCTGCCAGCTGTGGTGAGGCTGGCATCCCTCCACTTTGAGACTGAGGTAGGGAGAACTGCAGCACATCTCAGACCTGCCTGGATTCCTGTGCCATTTTGCTTCATTCAGCACATGCCCTTTGAGCAGCCTGGGGCATGTGCACCCATTGGAAGAGGATGCCTTTGGGTTTAATAACTTGTGCGTTTAATAATCAGCCTTTTTGGCTGAGTGATATGGCAGCAGCAGATTGATTTTATTGGGGCAGAAAAAGAGTTGTGTGCTTTTCCGGGTAGCCCTGAGTCACAGACCGCCAATTTGTTATCTGCACATATGTGCAGTCAGCTGTGCACAACGTCCTCTTCCCTGCCCAGCTGCTCTGGTGTGATTCATTCTACAAATATTTGAGTACCTACTGTGTTCCAGGCACAGGACAAAGTACCAGGGGAAGATACATTGATGAGCAGAAACAGACCTGAGCCCTGACTTCATGGGCTTTGTGAGGTTGTGGGGAAAACAGGCATTAAGCAAATGAGGGTAACATTATAATCAGTGTAAGGCTATGAAGAGCAAGTACATGGGGCTACTGAAGCAGGTACTAGAGAGATTTGACCTAAGCTGGAAGTCCAAGGAAGGTTCCCAAAGAAGCGGCAAGTGAGCTGAAGGAAGGCCAAAGGTGTGAGGAGTGGGTGAGGGCCGGACCCGACTCTTGTGCCATCCCCTGAGCCCAACACCCTTCCTTCTTTTCCTTGGTCCTTTAGGAGGCAGTTAATCCTCTTGCAGTCAGTCTTGTTATAATTTCAGATGTATTTTATTTCTTTTCAATTGCATAGGTTTCAGGGCAAAAATAGAATATGGCCTCTACTTTAGGAGTTCAACAACAATGCAGCCACTTGTTGAATATCAACTGTGTGCATTTTCATTGAATCCTCTCAACCCTGGAAGGTCAGTATTAGGATTCCCAGGCGAAGAAACTGAGGCTCGGAGAAAGGCTAAGTAACTTGGGCTTTTGTCTCCTGTTGGTTACTGATTAGAAAGCTGGGATTTTAACCCTATGGCCCATTGCCAAACACTCTTGTGTCCTCTGCCTCTCCCTCTCAGAGACAGCTTTGTGGCTTGACCTGGGGATCCAACAACTATCTCCATGTCACGTCCATGGGAAAATGCAACCTGAGTTCCAACCCTCCAACTTGAAAATGAACTTTTGGCGCATGGCCTGTTTGTCGGTTGAGGGCTGTTGTCTTAATTCTGTGTCAGAGAGGCATTGAAAATCCAGAATTAATGGAAGATGGTCTTGGAAATAGTCACTTGAGGTGAGTGACAATGGACCAGATGAAAAGAAAGTCAATTTCACCCCTGTTGTGGCCAGTATACCTGTGGAGCGTGGGGAAGAGAAATGGGTGTGGGCTGGTAACTTTTAATTATTTAGAGTTAAGTCTCTAATTTTTGTGCGCTTTTTTAATGAGTGGGCTCTGGGTAGGGGTAATCTATGCTAGTTACTTCATCTATCTGAGCCTCAATCTCCTCTGTAAAATGGGATAATGCAGCTTATCTACTTCAGCACTGCTGTGAGATTCAAATGAACTACAGAGCCTTAGGATTAGAAGAGGGTATCAACATTTGATATATTATCAAATGTATTAAGATAATACACTTGAAAGTGTTTTGTAGGCCTGTGTATATGATGCTACTTTTGTTGATCTACCACCGTGGTTCATGTTATTATTAATAGCACAACACACTGGTTCTTAAACTTGAGCTGGATCAGAATGACCTGGAAGGCTTGTTAAGACACAGATTGCTGGGTCCCTCCCCCAGAATTTCTGATTCAGAAGCTCTAGGGTGGGGCCAGAGGATTTTTATTTCTAACAGGTTCCCAGGCAATGCTGCTGGGCTGGTGACCACACCTGAAGAACTACACTACCCAGATCTGGAGCCACCAGGCCCAGCTGGTGCCTCAGACCTAGACAGTGACAGGTAAAACCCACTGACCTTGGTGGGGGGTGGGTGTGGATGTCAATTCAGGGCTATCGTGTGGCCAGACAGAGCTGAGTTGGCATTGGCGACCCTAGGTCAGGGACTGTGATGTCTGGAGTAGGGTGGAGGCAGCTACTCTGCTCTCTTGGGTCCCTGAGGACTTAATATGGCCGCTGGCAGTCACCATTTCTCGGGGCTATGGTTTATGGTGCAGAAGGTACCTCTCTCATAGGGTGCGTTAGGCCAAATTTGGATAGACCTATCCACACTGGTGAACTCCTTCATTCTTGAGGCTAACTCAGCTCCATCCAAGCTCAAGCACCCTTGGGCTTCTGTAAAGAAATCATCTTCTTTCTAATGATTTTCCAAGGGTGCAGTAAAGGGAGCAGCCGCATTAATTCTGGGGCTGGGTGGCTGATCCTGTCTCATATCCTGTCCCTCATCCTAAGAGATTTCCTACTTCCTGCTCCAGCCACACTCCTTCCTGCCCCCCAGCCCGTGTGTGATTTCTGCTTAAATCTCTTTCTTAGTTGAGATAGACAACTTTTTAAAAAATTACCCCCCATTTCAGAATAGGGCAGGCTGGAGCAGGCTAGCAGCAATTTTTGTATTTTTGGGATCATATTGAGTGGGATCATTAAAGTCACCCCGAGAAATGGTGACTGCCAGTGGCCATATTAAGTCCTGAGGGACCCAAGGGAGCAGAGTAGCTGCCTCCACCCTACTCCAGACATCACAGTCCCTGACCTAGGGTCGCCAATGCCAACTCAGCTCTGTCTGGCCACACGATAGCCCTGAATTGACATCCACACCCACCCTCCACCAAGGTCAGTGGGTTTTACCTGTCATATTGAGTGGCTTGCTAAAGATGCAGATTCCCTGGCTATCCCCTCAAAGGTTTTAATTTCTCAGGTCTGGAGAGATCGCAGAAATTCTGATGCAGGGGTCTGAGAAACATACTTAGGGAGATAATCCAAGAGAATTGGACCTGCTTTTCAGTCTGCTGACAAGTGGATACCACTTTACTCCAGCTACCCAGTGCCCACGAGCCCCTGCTTGGACATCTGTCCTCTTTAGAGTCTGTGCCTGAAAGCCTATGCCCCATATTTGAGAGATGAAGCTGTAGTGTGGGAGGGGAGTGGGGCTTGCTTAATGGTTGCCTTCTTGGTTAGCCAGCTTCAGAGTTTCCATTATGGCCTGTAAAGAGGTCTTTTTACCTGCAGTGTCTTCCATCGATATTCTGCCTCATATACACTCTACTTCTGCCTCAAGGCCCAGTATGAATCTGAAGTCGAAGTGACTTTTGTAGCCCATACTTGGTTCCTGCTCACAACTTCTCTATGAATGATGATGGGTCTTCTGGTTTTTCTTTTGCCTTGTATGGCTGTCTGATTAGCTTCCATTGGGCTGATTTTATCTCTGAAATTATATTGTAAGCATCATGAAGGTTGTGGGGTCTGCATGGTGTTGGGCATACAGTTATCGATGATTATGGATAACTTGGTTCACCGTGATGTTTCTGGGGTGGAGTGACCACTGTTTGATACCTGGTTTGACAGATATCAAAACCATGGCAATAAGGGTCTAGAATTGGCTTGATCTCCACAGTATCTCTTAGATGCAAAGATGTTTTAGGTATAGGGCTTTGAGTATCAGTGCCATCAAATAGTACTTCCAGGGGGAACCCCAGACAAGTCTGGGTCCTAAGTGAAACCAGAGGTTTTAGCCAGAAATAAACCAGCATCAGGAAGGGAGCTGGTCAAACACTGTTCCACTGCATCAGTGGGTGGCAGAGGTTGCTGGCAGGACAGAGTTAGCTGGCATCAGTCATGGCAGAAGATGACTCATAAGGCTAGTTGAATGTGTGTGTATGAGTTTGTGTGTGTCAGAGACAGAGAGAAAAAAGATTCTTACTTCAAACGGCATTCTTCCTGTGTCTCCCGAGGATGTATTTTTTCCCCTCAGATGTTTCTTTTTTTCTACATAATAGTCAATGTTCAAGATTGTGTAAAAAAAAAAAATTAGGAAATAATCCAAGAACCCAATATTCAAAAGGGCCTGGGCAGACTGTCAGCATTTTGTCAATGGCTCTTTCTAGCCTGGGTTGCTTGTGTGGTAGCATGCCAGATCTATCCAACAAGATTGCCACTTGCTTTGCCTGTTCTTTGCTCTCAGTCTAAATAACTTCTCAATTCATTCTAGTCCTTTTAAATTTTCATGGCTTGCTGCATTTCGTTAGCTCACTTAAAATGAGAACATGGAATCAATACAGTACAACCACAGACCCAAAGATGGTTAGACTTAAAAGAGTCCTTTCTAGATGGTCCCATGTGGCCAAGGGAGATCTTAAGCTCCTTGGTGTAAAGGTCCTCAGCCCAGGTGTCCCATGTCTGGTGAATTTAATTTTCTTCTTTCAGCCCTGCACCTGCCATCCTTGCAATCCTGCTTTCCCTCTGTTCTTCCCTCAGCCAAACTGATGTGTGGTCTATAGAGAGAAATAGGTTTCTCAGGCCTGAGGTAGCTGGAACCATTTAAGTACAAGGAATCCAGTGTGGAAAGGGGTGTTGTTCAGATTGCATTTAAAAATGGGTTGGGAATAACACTGGCTGTGAAAACATTATCAAAAATCTGCAAAATCAACACTCTTTCTTCCTGGTAAACATGAAGGGCTCGGCAGCTGCACCTCCCTCACGTGTGTTTGGCCAACTGCTGCTTGGGACATTGTGCCTCCCTCAGCGGCTCATGGGTGCTGATTGGAGCCAGGATTGGCTCTTTGCTGGATCGAAAGGTGTCTCAATGCTCTGAAATGCCATACCAGTCAAGGGTGCAGTTGAACTTAACGGTAGCGTATACCCGTCCATCTGGGTTACATGCGCCCCACATCCCTGTTGAGGTTTCACTGCGTCAAGACCCAGGGCAGGCAGAACTGACCCTCCTGCTTAGGCAAAGGTGACTTATGGGTGATTTCTTTCCATCAGAATCCTCACCCTCTCAGTCACCGCATAACCTTATACAAGAGAATTTGTTTATTTCGGAGAATCAGCCCACACACAGGTTTGAAGCAAGTCCAAAAGGAACATTTGCCACTGTGTGAAACTTGTCTCATCTTGCTGCTCTTCGATGAGAACTGGTCCACTACTTCGCCCTGACCCCCGAAGTTGCCAATATCATTTGTGGAAATCTTACTGTTTGGAAATTTACTGGTTTCCCCGAACAGGAGCTATTTGCCTGAGTTTCTTTTAGAGAAAGCTGAACTGCCTTTTTGGCACTCCTTGTCTTCCTTTTTTTTTTTTTCCCATGTATCTTCATAAGTAGATGGCTTGGAAATAGTTACCAAGAAGAATACAGCTGTGTACTCCAGTCTAATTTCCTGGAGCGTGAGCCATGTCAAAGGGCTCGGATTCTGTTTTTGACATGGACTCAGGGATGTGCTGCAGATACAGTAGCAGGTGGGCTGATTTCAGGGGAGCATCTAACCGGAAAAGCATCTAACCAGGAACCTGTGGCTGAAATTGGATGTGGGGGCTGGATGATAAGGCTACAGGTAGATGCAGTGTTGGCTGAATTATTAGATCAGATTTACATCCTCGATTCAGAAAGCTTCTTATGGTACTTAGAATTGTGCCTGGACCTGCCTGGACCTGTCCTGGTCTTTTTTTTTTTTTTTTTTTTTTTTGAGACAGTCTCGGTTGGTTGCCCAGGCTGGAGAGCAGTGGTACAATGTCGGCTCACTGCAACTTCCGCCTCCTGGGTTCAAGCAATTCTTGGGCCTTCAGCCTCCCAAGTAGCTGGGACTACATGTATGCGCCACCATGCCTGGCTAATTTTTGTACTTTTAGTAGAGATGGGGTTTTGCTCTGTTGGCCAGGCTGGTCTCGAACTCCTGATCTCAAGTAATCTGCCTGCTTTGGCCTCCTAAAGTGCTGCGATTACGAGCGTGAGCCACCACGCCTGGCTGTGGTCATTTTTGATCAGACGCTGGAGCTCTGGAGGGCAGCCCTGTGAAGTGGGCAGATCTCTCAGAGCTGGGAGAGAGAGCTTACACTTCAAAGAGTGATCAGCACCTAACAGCTCTTTTAACATGTGTCTAGCATCTAGGTTACAAAAAAATCCTGTATGTGTAGGATGGGGGTGACCTGATTTTTAAAGAAGCCCTTGTGAAGAAAGACCCATTTTGGATGACCAGAAAAAGGAGAAGGCCCTTCTTAGAGGGCTGGAGGAAGAGGTGGTTCTTTAGCAGCATGCTCTGATAGCTTTGGGTTTGTCTTCTGGGGCAGTTGACTCTCCTGAATGGGGTGATGCTGGGCTGGTACCTCAGGAGCAGAGTAAGTTGGCTCTGACACTAGCCCTCTTCCTACTAGCCGTCTCTCCTCTAGAAAACTACCCTCTCCCTGATGCAAGGCCTCTTCCATGTCTATACTGGCTTCTCCAGGCAGGAGCTAGGGCTTTTCTCATTTCTGAGAGTTTCCAACTCAGTCCCAAAGGCTGCAACTGCCTTTGATGTTGAGAAACGACAACGACAAAAACAAGCAAGAAACAAGGCAGCAACATAGGCTTTAGGAGACAGACGTATCAACAGGCTGGGCGTGGTGACTCATGCCTGTAATTCCTGCACTTTGGGAAGCCAAGATGGGAGGATCGATTAAGGCCAGGAGTTCGAGACCAGCTTGGGCAACATAGTATGACCCCCATCTCTGCAAAAATAAAAGTAGAATTAGCTGGGTGTAGTGGTGCATGCCTGTAGTTGGAGTTACTTGGGAGGCTGAGGTGGGAGCATGGAGCATCCCTTGAGCCTGGGGTGTTGAGGCTGCAGCAAATCATGATCTTACCGCTGCACTTCAGCCTGAGCAACAGCATGAGATCCTGTTGCTCAGGAAAAGAAAAAGAAAAGTTATAAACAGAAGGCTTTGTATTTCAGTTTATAACTTAAAAATAAGGAGCACTTAATTCGATTCTGCAAATGTGGAGTAATAAGAATGTGATCTTAGTTCCACATTGCATCAGGTTACAGGTGGCACAGAAAAGATACAGGTGTGAGAGCGGAATAAAACAGGAAGTTGGGGTGGAGAGGAAAGCTAGTGACAAGTAGGGTTGTAGGGAGAAGGAGAAAGCAAAGACAGGCTTGCATGGAACGAGATAAATGTGCATGAGCAGGCTTGTGAGCAGAGTTAGAAAACAGCACAATTTGAGGTGGAACCAGTTTGTAGTAAGGATCTTCTCTTAATGCTGTAATTTATGTCCAGAAATTCTGAAAAATTACATCTTCGCTTTCATTTTTTTTCCACTTTAAAAATTTTTGACAGAGTCTCACTGTGTTGTCCAGGCTGGTCTCAAATTCCTAGGCTCAAGTGATCCTCCCCAGTAGCTGAGACTATAGGTGTGAGCCACCATGCCTGGTAATACCTTCACTTTCCAAAAACTTTTGACAACCTGACATACCTACCTGTCCTTTTAGAATGAACGCTTGATACTGACTGATGGTACTGTAAGAAGCAAAGACCCTATTTATTTAATAATCTTCAAAATAAAATGCTTTTTCTCAGGACTTCAAGACCAGCCTGGCCAACATGGTGAAATCCTGTCTCTACTAAAAATACAAAAATTAGCTGGGCATGGTGGCAGGTGCCTGTTATCCCAGCTACTTTGGAGGCTGAGGCAGGAGAATCACTTGAACCTGGGAGGTGGAGGTTGCAGTGAACTGAGATTGCACCACTGCACTCTAGCCTGGGAGGGAGAGTGAGAATCTGTCTCAAAAAAAAAAAAGCTTTTTCTCCCCCAGACAAAAACCTTATTGTCTTTAGATGAGCCCAAAGAGTTAAAGAAAATTGTCTGTATTGATACACGAATATACATATATGCATACATAAAAAGAGAAAAGGAAATACTTTCATATCATCCAGCAGTTTTTTTCTGGGTGGTAATTTTATGACTATTTTTTCTTTTTTTGGTGGGGGGAAGGGTGAGTTATTTTCTATCTTTTTAAAAACAGTGAACAGTATTACTTTAATCAGAAAAGGAGTTATTAAGATATAGTGCTCTGGTTGAAACATATGGATAAACAATATTTAAATACAGTATTATTATTTACCTAAAGTGTTATTTACTTTTTATAGCTTAAGTTTGGAAATGCATGCATTTAGTGTATATTAGCCCTTCCCCTGCTTTCTTCTAGCTTTTAAAATTTGTAATTTTTACCAGAGTTACACAGGCATAGAGTTTCAAGAATCCAATATTTCTACATGACTGCAGTCTCCGACACCGTCACCGTTAGCCCCCTGCTGCCCCGGTGGCAGCCACTTTAAAATCTTAGCTGATTCTTTTGATATTTACTTCCACATTTGATAGTAACCTGTATGTTTTACTACCTTTTGGACATCATCTGTTAACTTATCACCATGTAAGATGAAGATTTGGTTCTCTTTTCCTTTCCCTTCTCATCCTTGTTTTTTTTTTTTTTTTCTTCTTTTTTTTTGAGGAAGAAAAATCCTGTCTTCTCTGAAAATCTTGGGTGTCAGGCCTTATCCGAGAGGGACAAGGTTTCCTTATTTGGAATAATATGTGCATTCTTTGGCCTTTTGTGATTTTGCCAATAAGACTTTTAAAGTCTGCTCCAAAACTCTAAGTTATTGGCTTGAACTGGGCCATGTGTTGCTATGAGCTCTGTAGACCAAATAAAACCAGGGGATTGTCAGAATCTGGATTGAATTTAAGGCATCTCCTGGAGGTTGTTTTTTGGACCAAATTACAGATTACCAATTATTTTATCCTTTGCTTTGGTCATAAAAGTAAGAGTGTAGAGAAAATATACAACCCTAGTTCATTGTTTGCTGGCCTCTGGAAAACTTGGGGCAAGGGGGCGGTCCTAGAAGGTACCTTCCTTGAGCTCTCAGTTTCAGGAAACTCTCAAAAGACGGCTTCTGTTCATATTTGGTGATGTACAGGGTTTGTGAGGCAGTGTGTGGGGGACCCAGCTGGATTTGTATAAAGTCCCAAGAAGTGCTCCTTTTCCAGAAGGGCTGCTACAATCCAATCTCAGGAACGTGGACTGTTATCTGAGTTCTGACAGTTTCACTTTGTTCCCAGGGCCACCCCCAGTCACCTCCAAATTCTTTGTATAATTCCAGAGGCCATTCCTCTGGGCTTATCCTGCTTCCTCCACGCTGGTGAATAACTCCCACCTCCTGCCCTTTGTCTCTCTATTTATGGCCCTTCTGAGTTCTGGAGAAGACTTCACTGGGACTTACGTCAGTGAGCTTAACATCTTTCTCATTAATGAGGAATGAGAGAGAAGGCAACAGGACAATGCCCCCATGGCTTCCACTGTAAGAAAGTTGAAGACTGTGAATCTTAAAGTTATTAGAGCAGTTGGAAGCCACACGGTTTTAACAGTTCTACTTGTGTACCTCTGGCAATGAGGAACTCACTCTCTAGGAGCCACTCTTTCCATTGTTGGATAGCTCTTCTCATTGGAAAGCTCTTTCCCGCTGATCTGACATTCGTGTCTGGAACTTTCATCCATTTCAGAGGATAGGAGCATTCTTGACGGTACAGTTTGTCCAACCAGTCAACACATTACTCTTCCTTTTGTTCTGACATAAGTGGTATAAAATGAGGTAATAGATGCATTTTGAAAAAAGTAATGGCACTATACAAATGCAAGAAATGTTATTGATAGGCTTTTATGGCTTAGATGAGTCTGACTTGAACTTTCAGCATCATATACTCCATTAGTCGAGAACATTGCAGTGACCTTTTTTAGGAAGCAGTTTCCTGGAGATTTAATCAGTGTAGAAAAATACCATATTCAGCCTTTATTCCACAAAAGTGTCAAATATTTACATGTCTGAATAGTCTGGGCTGGGTGTGCCGGCTCACACCTGTAATCTCAGCACTTTGGGAGGCTGAGGTATGAGGATTGCTTGAGCCCAGGAGTTCAAGACCAGCTTGGGCAAAATGTTGAGATCCCATCTCTACAAAATACTAAAAAAATTAGCTGGGCGTGGTGTTGCACCCAGAAGTTTGAGGCTGCAGTGAGCTGTGATCATGCCACTGCACTCCAGCCTGGGCGACAGGGTGTGACTCTGTCTCAAAAAAAAAAAAAAAAAAAAAAGTCTGGGCCACTACTCTTTTGGCTTAGATGCCCTTTAATTTCTTCCTTTCGCTTTCCTTTTTTTTTTTTTTTTTTGATAGAGTCTCGCTCTGTCACCCAGGCTGGAGTGCAGTGGTATGATCTTGGCTCATTGCAACCTCTGCCTCCTTGACTCAAGTGATTCTTCTACCTCAGCCTCCCGAGTAGCTGGGATTACAGGCATGTGCCACCACACCTAGCTAATTTTTGTATTTTTAGTAGAGATGGGGTTTCGCCATGTTGGCCAGGCTGCTCGAACTTCTGATCTCAGGTGATCCGCCCTCCTTGACCTCCCAAAGTGCTGCAATTACAGGCGTGAGCCACCGTGCCTGGCTGCCCTTTAATTTCTATGTGTCCCGTTTTGTTTTTCACATATCTCCCTCTATGTGATCATGTGTGTGTGTTTAGTTTTAAAATTCTGTTTTTTTGAGAGAAGAAAGATATTGAGAGCTAACTCTGATACCTTTAAAAATGAAATTCTGAAGTTGAAGATTAAATTACTTATACATTTTATTAATTGATATCTTCCAGGAGGAAAATATCGTGTTTTGTGCAAGGGAAGATCAGGCTCTTTTTGATGAAGGGATAGCAGAATGGTTAAGAACAGGCTTTCTGAGTGGTGGCGGCTCTGTAATCCCAGGGCCTACCCATCCCTCACCTCTAAGTGCCTGTATTCCTTCCCAAGTCCTCACCCACCTGTGACTAGATATGGTTAGGGAGGAGGACCAGTTTTGTAAATACCAGAACAAGTATCTTCTAACTGTATTTGAGTCTTGATAAAGATGAGTCTAACACGCAGCTGTTGGCGGGGAGCAGTGGCTCACGCCTGTAATCCCAGTTCTTTGGGAGGCTGAGGTGGGCAGATCACCTGAGGTCAGGAGTTCGAGACCAGCCTGGCCAACATGGTGAAACCCCGTCTCTACTAAAAATATAAAAATTAGCTGGGCCTGGTGGTGTGTGCCTGTAATCCGAGCTACTTGGGAGGCTGAGGCAGGAGAATCGCTTGAACCCGGGAGGTGGAGGTTGCAGTGAGCCAAGATCATGCCATTGCACTCCAGCCTGGGCGACAGAGGGAGACTCCATCTCAAAACAACAACAAAAAAACCATGCAGCTGTTACACGTTCTCCCACCTGCCCTAGGATTTCTCTTACCTTCGCCCTCAAACGCTTTCTCTTTGGAAAAATCACTTGGGTGCAGTTTGTTGAAACTGGTCAGCAAATTATTCTTCCCATAGCTCTGGCATAAGTCTCATTAGAAATGGTTTTATGAAGCAACCGTAAAAGGAGCTGGTTTTCTCAGTATTTAAGAAAACTCTTGTTTTCTAAGTACTGAGTGTATTGCCAGAGGTTCAGTTTTGTTTTTCTTACTATGATTTTGATTTATTTGAGTCTGATAGAATGGTATCAGTGACATGAGGAATAATTACAGCATCTTTTGAAATTCTATCCTGGAACCCCACCAGGAACCGACCCAGATTGGTGCCAAGGTACACATAATAGGTTTTAGGTTTTAAAAAATACTTGTTGGAAATGCTAGGCTTTTTGATACTTAAAGAGCATTGTTTTAGTGGGTGGAGTTCTTTTTTGATCCTCTAAGTTTAAACTTCTTAGTTCAGGGGTGGCCAGTGACCATCCTGTGTTGTGAGAGTTTAAGAGGCCTCTGAGAGGCAAGACCTGCATTTGTATGTGTGTGTGTGTGTGTATGTGTGTGCACATGTGCACATACACACTCACATTTGTACTTCTTCATTTTGCCAACAAGTTTTAAGCTTTTCTGGACTTTCTGCTTTTACTGAATCTTCAGAGATGCTTGCTATCTTAGGAAATTTAGTGTGATATTAAGTCTTTAAATAAAGATAAAAATAATTTGCTTTAAACCAAGAAAAAGAGACAGAGAGAGAGAGAGATTGGCAGCAATAAATCAACATGTTAACATTGGTGGACAGATTCTTGTGTTTTCTTTGAGACTTCCTTTGTTTTCTCAGCTTTCTATGATTAACATGTATTACTTTTATATTAGAGAAAATGATTTGTAAAAAAGCATGGTTGCTTTGGAATTCATTCTCAGTCTGCCGATGGGATAACAAGGTAGAGAATACAGGAGGGATGACAGATTGGAGCTTAGGGACGTCAGGAGCCAGGGCTGCCATGGGAACTGTTGTTCCCAGCCTTTTTGTCATCAGAGACGCCCTCTTTTGTTTTTATACTTATTTATTTTTCTTCTAAATACCCCTTGCTCTGAAAAATTTCATCAAACCCAACACCATGTTTATTAAGTAATAATATATTTCCCCACTCTTGATCAATTGAAGATAGACTTAACTGCCTATTAGAGTTACCCGAGTCTTAATGGAGTTGATACTGTTCCAGCTGAGAGTAAAGATGTGTGGTATTTGAATTGACTCTTATGTTAGACATTCATCTATGTCCTCCACATTCATTTCTACCTGAGTGGAATTTTCTGGCTGTGGACCCAAGGCTGAGGCTCTGCAGTTAGAGCTCTTCTGTGTTTTGGACCCAGGATCCCTGTATTCCTTCTGACACTGGAGGCAAGAAATAGGCATTTCTGTGGCTGGGAAATGTCTCCTCCAACCCTTTTTGGTCCTAATCTAAATGAGAAAGGAGAGAGCCAAATCCCCCAACTCCAGCATCCACGTATGGGAATAAGCCCACTCCCACGGAGTCCCGCAGAACGTGGGAGGAGGAGCTTCTGGCACCGTTTCCCAGCCCTGCATTCCAGTTTTCTGGTCACCTTTTCTGAACCTCCTGCTGAGGAACTGTGAAAACAAAGAATGGTAACCATACAAGGAAGCAATCCAACTCAAACATAATAAAAATTAATTTAAAATATTAGTGGATCTCTTGTTGAACACCAAAGGGAGGGAATTAAATTATTAATGCCTAGGAAAATAACTTTAAAATCCTTTCTCCTTCTCTACCACTTGGTATCCTGTACACGACGGCAGCTGCTCCTCTAGAAACTCCCTTTTACTTTTCATCTCCTCACTCTCCCCAGCCCTCCAGGAGTAGTGGGGCATAGAAAGCCTCCCATCCCTTTCATCTGGACAGGTAAGGAAGCTAGAGGGGACACTTCTCTTCTTAGAGGATGACCTCAGTTCCATTCCAAGGATAGGGTGTAGAACAAGAGTTCTTAGTTTTTATTGGAACATGGACCCCTTTGAGACTCTGATGAAAGCTTTGGACACTTTTTCCAGAAAAATTATATGATAATAACTAACATTTATGTTGTAGACATTGTGCTAAGCACGTAGGTGTATTACTCTTGATGCTCATCACAACCCTGTGAGGTGTAGGCACTGTTATCTCTGTTCTGCAGATGGGAACACTGAGCCACTGAGATGTTAAAAGATTTGTCCGGGGATACACGTATAAAAAGTGGTGGAGTCTTTGCATATAGTTTTAGTTGGCACTCAGGTTAAGATCTTCAGCTCTAGATTATGAGCCACCAACTGCAATCACTTGAAGACAGATGTCTGCACATGTAACAGGGTAGCGGGTGGATACTAACCCCCAGGGCTGGTGACCAACCTGCTTGTCAGGGTGGTAAAGGAAGGGAAAGGCTGCTCTTGGCTCCCCTTTTGCAGAGTCCTCCCCCGTCCTCTTGCACCAATTAGGTGAGTCTGTGTGTGGGTTTCTAAGTGTCTATGCTTTGCAGTGATCCCACACAGTTATCTAATTGGCATTTAATGTGAGCTGGGAAGACAGACAATCTGGGCTTCTCTCTTGGTTTTGCTACCACCAAACTGTGACTTGGGGAGTCATTCAGACCCTGTGCGCTCATCTGCAGACCAGGGAGAATGAACTCTGGACTTCACTAGGATTGGGAGGGTCTTGCTACAGTGAGAGGAAGTCACTGCCCTTAATTTGTCTTTCTGTGGCCCATAAGTGAATGGCCTGCTATAGTGTGCACGTCTTTCTGTTATTAAGATTAGGGGTCCCAGAAACTGGCCTGTGACTGCTGACCACACTTGACACCTGCAGTTTTTGGAGTTGCAGTGAATGTTTTCTTAGAGCTCCAATCCGTGATCAGTAATAATTAAGATTTTGTAATAGCTGTACTCCCTCTTCTGTCTGCCCTTCTTCCCACCCATTTGGCCATGACCCCCATGGCAGGTATCCTTAAAATCACAGAGCTGTGAAACGGCAGTGCTGGAAAGGAACTTGATCACCTATGGCCAGCCATGCCATTGTGCAGAAATGGAAATAGGCTCAGAGAGGTTCAGAAACTTGCCCAAGGCCACACAGCTAATCCATGGGAGTAGAGGCTGGGTCATATTCATCATAGTTTCTCTGTTTTAGTCCTCACTGCCTCCCAAACTTCCTCAGTGCATGGAGAGTGACAGAACGAACTATTTGTACAAGCAGAGCTATTTTAGAAGTTCTTCATGGTGCTAGGCCCACAGTTCCTCATATTCAGGTAATTGTTAACTTCTCCCAGCACCAAGATGAATCTCTGCTATAGACAGAGACCTGGGAAATACCCCTCTCTATTTACTGCGTTATCCCAGGTAATGTAGAGATGGATATAGCCAGGCAGTGTGTTGAGAAACTTTTGGAGGTAGGGTGGTGTGGTTTATTAATGGCTGTGCTGGGGTTCTGTCTGCAGCAGAGGTTTAACTTGGATATAAAGAGCATCTTTTCTGAAGCTGGGCCCAGCTGATCTGAGTGGTGACATTTAGCACTACTAGGCATTAGCTTCCAGCATCCACCACCTCTTGCCACATGCCACTGTGAGTGTTCATGGACTTTCTCCTCTTCTCTCTGCAAAAGAGAATTCTATTGTCTATTACTCAACTTTCCTAGTAACACTACCTTCTAAGGAGAAGTTTCTCTTGGTTAGTTTAGTGCCTGGGCCTTTTTCATATGGAGTCAGGGCAATGAGTAGAGGCTGAATTAGAGAACTAGGAAGTAGGGATGGTCAGAGTGTTTGTGTGTGTGTGTGTGTTTGTGTGTGTATGTGTATGTGTGTAAGCACCTACTGGCATCTGAAAGGGCCAATACTTGTAGGTGAGAAGAGAGAATGGAGGCCAAAGGAGAGGAGGAGGGAGAGGCAAGAAGTGTTTATCAGCACAGGAGATGAAAAGTAAAAGGAAGTTTCCAGAGGAGCTGTCTGTGTTTAGGATATCAAGTGGTAGAGAAGGAGAAAGGATTTTGAAGATACTTTCCTGTGCATTGGGATTTTGAAGATACTTTCCTGTGCATTAATAATTTAATTCCCTCCTTTTGGTGCTCCACAAGAGATCCCCTAACATTTTAAGTTAATTTTTATTATGTTTGAGTTGGATTGCTTGCTTGTATGGCCACCAAGTGGACACTGGGCTACATGGAGACCCAGTAATGTTCAGGCGACACTGGTCTGTTCTATCTGGGGCATAGAACAGAGGATGGTGAGGCAGTAGAATGTGAGAAGCACACTCTGGAAGGTGAGTGATGGGGGAAATGCTCTGTGGCAGGGGGCCTGGGGCTGATCTGCTGGAGTCAGCATGTGCTTGGTGTTACTTCATTCTGCACAAATCCCAGATCATTTTCCTGTGTTAAAAATAAAGAAATATGTCAGAGTTCTCAGATTCAGTGCTTATTTACTTCATACCCTATCTTCAAAAATAATTTGAGGCAGTTTGAATTTAGTGGGGAAATGTGGCAATTCATTCAGACTGTATTTTTTCCATAAATAGAAAGGAAATTTGCGTTGAGAAGGAAGAAGAGGTTGAGTTTCTAGGCCACATTTTACTGACAGAAATATTATTGGGGAAGGATATTTTAATTTTTGTTCTCCAAGAAATTGCTCTTTTGTACTGCTTTGAGGTGGAGGTGGTTTAGCACAGAGAGGATTTTTAAACCAAGGGAAGGAGCAGTGACTGTTTGGCTTAGATAAAGAGAGTGCTTTCTTCTGTCTGTGCCTCCTGGAGTCGAATCGATCTGTGTGAGCTGCCTGTCCAACATTCACGTTCAGTGAGATGACTTCTTTGAGTGGCTAAAGGCCCCAGAACAAACAGCCTGCTGGGACTTGCAGGTCTGTGCATGGAGCTTCTTCCTGTCGGCTCCTAGAAGGGCAGAGCAATGCTTCTGCGGAAGAGTAACATCCAGAAGACTGACACTCAGAATGTTCAGGCAAGAGTACCAGTCAAAGGCAGAAAAAAAGACCCGCCTGGTACTGCTGGTAAGTAAATAAGCATCGCAGTCTTATTTACTTATTATTTGTTTATTTTTTTAGAGACAGGGTCATGCAATACTGCCCAGGCTGGAGTGCAGTGGCTGTTCACAGGTGCGATCATAGCACATTGCAGCCTTGAACTCTTGGCCTCAAGCCATTCTCCTGCCTCAGCCTCCCGAGGAGCTGGGACTACAGACCCACACCACCATGCCTGGCTTCAGCAAGGTCTTTTTAGCCCAGTGGCCAAGCTGTTGGTTACCTTGAAATTGTCCATATTTTTTGACTACCTTAAGGGGCCTTGTGTGAGGGCAGAAAATATCAGCTGCCTTCTGATGTTTGAAGCAGTGCCCAGGGCAGATGGTGATTCCCTGCCTAGGTTTGAAAGATCTCAGGAAAGCAGCCATTTGCTGGGAAAAGGCCTGTGACCAGTTCCTGGTGTCTCAACAGGTGGGTCACACCTGCCTTGTTGAGGCTGGTCTTTCTGACTGGCTGGGGAGGTCCCCAGGGAGTCTTGCCGATATTGGTCACAATTTCTCAGCTGTGTCAGTGTTTCTCAAAGTGACTTCTAGACCCCAGGCATCAGGATGTTCTGAGATGCTTGTGGGAAATGTGTATACCTGGACCCATACCAGGTGGACAGAGTCTGAATCTCTGGGAGATTTGGGCTTCCCAGGTGATTCCTTTTACCCTGTAGATGGAGAACCACTGTCCTACTTGCTGCCACTGTGCAGAACTGGACGTTGTGGTTAGTAAATTTGAAGCCAGATGATCTAGACTCAAATTTTGTGTCCTTAAGGAAGGCGGGGAAGGAAGAAGGGCCGGCAGTGTGCAGGTGTTGAGTACCAGCTGGGAGAAGATGCGTGGTTAGTGCTTCCAGCTCTCTTCTTTTATGTGCGCTCAGCAGCAGCCCAGGGTGTGGATGTTATGCCTGTGTACAGGGGAGGAAACTGAACATCAGAGATTGAGAACTCGTTTAACATCATAGAGTTGGCAGGTGGAAACCAGCATGGCCAGCCTTCTTGCGTTTTTAGTTATGACTGTAATCCCCACTCTAGAATGATGAGTGTCTCCTTGAGTCTGGCTGTGCAGTAGAAATATGATATGAGCTACAAAGGTAATTTAAGACTTTCTAGTAGCCACGTTAAAAAAGTAGAAACAGACAAAATTAATTTTAACAACACTTTTTTTCTAACCCAGTATATCCAAAATATTATCATTTCCATATGTAATTGCATAAAAAAACTCTCAGATATTTTACATTCTTTTTTAAAATTCTGAGTCTTCAAAATCCAATGTGTACATGACTCTTACAGCACATCTCAAGTCACACTAACCATATTTCAAGGGCTCAGTTGCCACCTGTGGCTAGTGGCTGGAGACGTATGTCCTACCCTGCTGTCCAGGTAGCCAGGGGTCAGAGTTTTCTAGATCACTGATTTCCAGGCACCCCAGGATGGATTCATGCTGGGCAGACTGCATGGGTGTCACCTGAGGAGAGGATATTAAAATTCCTCCATCAGGCTGGAGCCCCAGGTGATCTTTTTGTGTAACCTGGTTGGAAATGGCTATGCTAAAAACATTCACTGGCAATTTACTTGGGTTGTCTGTGACTATGCCCGCCCCCTTTTCAGGGACAGTTGCATTCCAAGCACGTTCTCCGGGAGTGGGTGGGGTGGTGGGGTGGTAAGAAAGGTGGGGGAACGCACACCCTAAGGGTCTTTTCCCTGCCTTACTAAATAGAACTATAGTTTCAGTGGAGAAAAGAAATCCCGCTTATTTTTCTGGTTGTGATCTTGCATAAGGGGTGGAACCTTTCCTTTTGATGGCTGAGAGCGGGATCCTGTGTTCTCAGGAAAGGTGAGATGAAAGAACCAACATACTTAGGGGAGAATGAGATGTTGTGTACTTAAGCTGTGTTCTTTTCCAGTGGTTTGATTTTAAAGTTTATTTGCTGACATAGTAAGAAATTTGGTCCAAAAGAGAGTCTGGGAGTCTAAACCTCAAATGCTTCAGAGGTCAGGCAGGTAGCACGAGATGAAGGGTAAGAGATTGAAGACCAAACTGTTAGGAATGTTCTCCGCACTCACAAAAATGTTGTGGTCTTCCTTTTTTCTGGAAACATAAGACTCTTGACCTTTCATTTTCCTGTTTTTGATAGATAAATATTTATCTTTTGTAAGAGAAAAACCAGTGCATGCAACTGGGATCAATGGCAGCCAACACTCAGCTTTGGCGTTAGGGAGATGAATCGGAGAGCCTTGGCCATTTACAGGGCAGCAGCTACTACCCGGCTCCATCCAGTTGTTATCCTTGAGGCCCTGTGTTGCCAGATCCTGTTATTTTTAAAGAGAAGCCACATTTTGAAATTATAAAATGTTTGGCTTTATAAATGTTATTGTAATTTAAAAATCATTACAAGGCCGGGCATGGTGGCTCGTGCCTGTAATCCCAGCACTTTGGGGGCTGAAGCTGGCAGATCGCTTGAGGTCAGAAGTTCGAGACCAGCCTAGCCAACATGGTGAAAATGTATCTCTACTAAAAATACAAAAATTGGCTGGGCGTGGTGGTGGACGCCTGTAATCCCAGCTAGGGGAGGCCGAGGCAGGAGAATCACTTGAACCCAGGAGGTGGAGGTTGCAGTGAGCCAAGATTATGGCACTGTGCTCTAGCCTGGGCGACAGAGCCAGACTCCGTCTAAAAAAAAAAAAAAAAAAAAAAAAAAAAAACATTATAGACTCACAGGAAGTGGCAACAAATGGTACAGAGGGATCCTGTGTGCCCTTCACCCCACTTCCCCAGTGTTAATATTTTATGTAGGTATAGTATGACATCAAAACCAGGAAATTGACAATGCTACAGTCTTATTCAGATATCATTTGTGTTATATGTACTCATTTGTGTGTGTGCACATGTGTATGTAGTCCTGTGCAGATTTGTATAATGACCACCATAATCAAGAAAACCTTTGAGGCTGGGCGCTATGGCTCATGCCTGTAATCTCAGCACTTTGGGAGGCTGAGGCAGGAGGATCGCTTGAGCCTAGGAGCTTGAAACCAGCCTGGGCAACATAATGAGACCTCATCGCTATAAAAAAAAATAATTAAAAAGAAAATCTTTGGCTTTTGAATTGTTTGTGCAAATATAACATTGAAAACTTTGTTTAGGTCTAAAGAACATGCCATAGGCCTGGTGTGGCCCGTTGACCTCCAATTTTCAACCTCTGTTCTAGTCTAGCCCTTTCTTTCTTTCTTTTATTCAGATAAATTTCACATGACACAAAATTCATTGTTTTAACCATTTAAGTAGACAGTTTTTTTAAGTATATTCACAAAGGTTTGCAACCATCACTACTAATTCCAGAACATTTTTGTCACCCCAAAAAGAAGCTCCATTTAGCATTTTCACCCCATTCCCCTCTACCCCCTTTTCCTGACAACAAACAATCTACTTTCTGTCTCTATGGATTTATCTATTCTGGACATTTCATGTAAATGGAATCATACAGTATGTGACCATTCGTGTCTGATTGGGCCTTTTATCTTACAGAGGAAGAAACTTAGGGCCAGAGAAGGAAGGTAACATGCCCATAATTATGCTGCTGGCAACTGCCCTAGTCTGGACTTGAACCCAGAACCAGTACTCTTTGTACCATACCTTTCTGCCTGTTAGCATTCAGGTCTTCAGTTTTATGATGATGGTGATAAAACTACCACCCCAGCTATTTCTTATCAGTTGGCTTAAGTAAGCATGCGTAATAACAGAATGTTTCTCTTACTTGTACTGAGTATTAACATTATGCAAAGAGTCACTTTGGAAATGGGAATTGTCACCGAGAAAACAAGGTAGTTTAGTTCAGTGTATGTTTATTGAGTGCCTACTATGTGCCAGGCTCTGGGCCAACAGGGATGAATTGAATGGGTCCCAGCCATCAAGGGGCAGTCATTTGGGGGAAACAAAGAGATTAAAGATAATTTCCAGATGTTGAGGGCAAATATGACTGTGGGGCAGAGGGAAAGGGTATCAGTTCTAGCCTGGGGGTGGGGTGGTGGTGATGGTGAGGGATGATTTAAGGGGTGGAAGGAAGCTAACAGGTAACGAGGCAGCAGAAAGATGTTTTAAGCAGTAGAGACCTGAGCAAAGGTTTAGGCATGATGGATCCAGAGAGTTGAACCGTGAGCTCATTGGTGGTGATGGAGGGCGAAGTGGGGTATTGGAGATATGGTTCGAGGGGTGGGCTTGGGTCAGATTCTTGAGGGTCTTGACGTCATAAAAAGTCAGACACGGCTATGGATGTCTGAATTTTTCAAGCTGAGGATGGCTGAATGGAGGCAGAGTAAGAGAAGCCAAACATGGGAACTGGGTTTCCTGGGAAATACCCAGGTCTGAACAATTGGGGTGGAGTCAGGGGTATATGGTGGTGGAACCAGTATCTAAGTAGCAACAGACTTGAGAAGAATCAAGGCAAGAGAAACCAAGAGACCCATTCTAGAGGCCATGATGAAGTCCTGCCCACGCTTCATGCCATGATGAAGATGCCATGGGGCATCTTTAAAGGGCTCTCAGCCCTGTTCCCACTGGCCTGCCTCCTCCTCCTTGTTTACCCGCCCACCCACTCAGCAACGTTTTACTGAGTACTTGCTATGTGTTGTGTTGCTGGGGGTACCGCAGTAAACAAGTTGGGCAAGATTCTTACCCCCTAAAGGGAAATACAGATAAATAAGATAATTACAGATTGTGAGAGGGTCTACAAGGAAAGCAGCTTTTGCTGGTGAGAGTAAGGTTAGGGAGTCTGGGCTGGCCCCAGTGAAAAAGCATATTTGATCTGAGCTCTCAAAAGTGAGTGCTCTCTTTCCGTGGTGAGAAAAAGGGAAAGAGCTTTGCAGGCAGAGAGAACAGCAAATGCAAAGACTGGGGAAGGACCCTCTGGCATGGGTTACCCTGGGCTTTGTCGAGATTTTTTCAGGGGGTCTCAAATCAGATAGAGCAGGTTTCTGGAGATCTGGCCCTACACTGTCTTAGGGAGGGGAGGAGAGAGAACCATTAGCTTTGGGAGGAAGAATACATATCCTAGTGGAGGAAAAATTGTGAAGTCATTGTGAATCATTGAAAGTAGGCATGCTTTCTTTTTTTCCTTTTTTTTGAAGGGAGAGCTAAACTCATTTTGTTATTTTCAACTAATTTTGTTATACTTTATGAGCTTTGTGTCATTCAGAGAACTTGGAAACATTCATTCTCCCTCCTACTGAATCAGTGGAGTAGGTGGAAGAGCTTTAAAAAGCTCTTGAGGATTCATCTTCCTTTGCCAATGGATGCAGGAGGAGGACAGCTGGGCAATGGGAACACAGCCAAGAGGTGTTTGGGAAGTGGGAGCGACCTCATCATTGAGCACCCAGGAAGCTTCAGTGGGGTTCAGGTCCTAGAGATGTTGGCACCAGTTATGGCCCCAGTGGGTTTTGTTATGGAAAAGAGAGAAGTCTTTTTCAAAGTCAGAAAAGGGATTCATTTTGCATATTAGAACTTCATCTTAAATAAAATAATGCAGTGTGATTTAAAAAAACACTGCCCATGGTGGGGCACGGTGGCTCACGCTTGTAATCCCAGCACTTTGGGAGGCCGAGGCAGGCGGATCACGAGGTCAAGAGTTCGAGACCAGCCTGGCCAACATGGTGAAACCCCGTCTCTACTAAAAATACAAAAATTAGCCGGGCATGGTGGTGCATGCTTGTAGTCCCAGCTACTTAGGAGGCTGAGGCAGGAGGATCGCTTGAACCTGGAAGGCGGAGGTTGCTCTGAGCCAAGATCATGCCATTGCACTCCAGCCTGGGCGACAGAGTGAGACTCTGTTTCAAAAAAAACAAAAACAAAAAAACACTGCCCAAACATGAAATAGATAACTTCTGATTTGTTTCCTTCCCAAACTGGTCAGCCTCAGGGCCAGTTGGGCATTTTCTCCCCTGGACTGCCTGTGTTTGTTGATGGAAGAGTTGGAATTTGTGGAGGGAGAAGGAGAAGAGAGTATGTCGTGAGCTCGGAAAGCAGCTTGGGCCTTGGATCTGGAACAAGGAGAGAGGGACCAAGTCTGAGCTGAGTGGCATGAAATTTGAGGTGTATTTTGAAGGAAACCAGAGGGCTCCAAGGTACTATATTGGGATACAGTGAGCCATCAAACAAAG
Source organism: Homo sapiens (assembly GCF_000001405.40). NCBI lineage: Eukaryota > Metazoa > Chordata > Mammalia > Primates > Hominidae > Homo > Homo sapiens. Next base: position 95,495,616 of record NC_000010.11, on the reverse strand, counting down.
ACCCCTTAAAATTTTAAAACAACAGCAGTAACAAAGCAAAGCAGAAATGATTATATGGATCCCTGTCCATATATAGGTTAGTGGGACAACAATGTGAAAATATAAGTGATTCATGCTAGGAAGGAGAGATACATGGGGCTTTGAGAACTTGTAACAGGAGAGCCCAGAGTGGTCCAGAGTGGGTCGGGTGGCCTGGATTGATGTTTGGTAGGAATGAGGGTGGCAGAGGTGACTTTCACAATGGTTGGTATTGATCTGTATTCTTGGGATGGGGGATGAATTAGGGAGTGATGGTTTGAGGTCTTTGGCAGGGCCTGGGACAACTCTTGTGAAGTCTTTTGGGGGGTTGGGACAGAGAAATGTCTTGTTTTAGGCCAGAATATAACAGTACTGTAGGGAAAATTAGTGAATCTTTTAAAAATTGAGGACCACCACCGGGTGCGGTGGCTCATGCCTGTAATCCCAGCACTTGGGGAGGCCGAGGCGGGTGGATTACGAGATCAGGAGATTGAGACCATCCTGGCTAACATGGTGAAACCCCGTCTCTACCAAAAATATAAAAAATTGGCTGGGCATGGCGACAGGCGCCTGTAGTCCCAGCTACTCAGGAGGCTGAGGCAGGAGAATGGCGTGAACCTGGGAGGTGGAGCTTGCAGTGAGCCGAGATCATGCCACTGCACTCCAGCCTGGGTGACAGAGCAAGACTCCTTCTCAAAATAAATAAATAAACAAATAAATAAATAAATAAATAAATAAATAAAAATAAAAATTGAGGACCACCAAGAGGGGGCAAATTATGATCTTGAGCTTTTCCTAAACTTCCTCCTCCACCATGCTCTTCCAAGTTTGCATTATGGCTCACATGGAGGATCCTTAGGTTGATGGGGACACCTGCCTGTTTCCTTGTTCCTTGGAAGGATAGTATGGATTGCTGCTGGGCCTTGCAATCAGAAAGGCTGACCTTAGTCAGCTGTGGGTTTCTCTGGTGCTGGCTGCCTGAAGGTCACCTAGTGGCACCTTGTAATATTGGGGGAAGAGATTTCTGCAGGCTGGTGCATTCAGGGAGCCGGTTTACTCCGATCCGTCTGTCATCTTTGCGGTACACGGCATTTACTTTGCCAGTCTTAGCTTGAGATTGCTCAGGTCGTTACATGACCACAAAGTGGAGATCTGGAAAGAGAGGTGCTCAGCCAGGCTTGGCAGGTTTGCAGGCGCTGCATTGACCGGTAGAGTCCTGCGCTTTGGTGGGCAGGAAGGACCTGATCAGAGTGCTCTGTGCCTTGGAGCTATTCCTCGAAGGCCACCTGAATGACTGGATGCTCCCACATCCTTTCTTCTGCCAGAGCAGTGAACCCACACAGGTGTATGAAGGCTCAGATCTGCTGCTGAGATTGGACACCCCCAATCGTTTACCAAGAGGCACTGACATTGGGCCATGGTATACAAGGGATGGGGGCAAAGAGGAAGGCCACTTCACTTACCCATTTGCTATTCTGGCTGCTGGCATTCCTTTTTTTTTTTTTTTTTTTTTTTTTTACATTTATTTAAAAGAAGTTGTGGTTGTCATAGTGTGATGCAGAGAGTGGGTAAACATACCAGGGATGTGCTACTCCCCTAAAGATCTGGATCCTTGGCTCTTTCCTGGAGGATGCTGAATTCATGTCCTTGAAGAGGTTTTGGAGCTTCTGAGACCTCTGGGTGAAATACACTCTTTTCATATTGGACATCGCAATCACCTGTGAGGAGGTTCTGGACAGTGCTTGGACCTCTAAACCATAGATTTTGATTTAATGGCTGTGGTACATAGGGGGTTATTTTGTTGCTGTAGTTCTGCAGGTGTTTCTAATTTTCAGCCATACTCAGGAACCTGCCCACTAGTTACTGATTCAGGGAAGCTCTTCCGATTCTTCAGGTGAATTCTGCCTGTTTGTTTCCTCATACGGGCCTTGAACCGGAACCCTACCCTTGACCACGTGTTTGGTCTTTACTCCTCTGTGTGCTGCTTTCCAGCCTGTGTTTTGGAGTGCTTTTCCCCGGCTTTGCCTCAGCCTAGATCAGGGCTGGTGACTCACTTCTTTCTTATCTATGAAGAAAAGGAGAACTCCATGTGGGGATTTTGATGGGCAGATATTCTGGAACATTTTTCACAAGGCTTCCTGCTTGAGGCTCAAATGCATAGTAGCTTCTTGCTGCGGAAATCCAGGTCCTGGGGTGGAGATAGACAGGGCAGCCTTGTGACTGGTATGAGAAAAACATCTTTATTTACTGTCTTTTGTCCATCATGAAAGGCTTAGTATTTCTTTATTTCTTTTTTCTTTTTTTTTTTTGAGACGGAGTCTCACTCTGTCGCCCAGGCTGGAGTGCAGCGGCGTGATCTTGGCTCACTGCAAAGTCTGCTTCCCTGGTTCAAGCGATTGTCCTGCCTCAGCCTCCTGAGTAGCTGGGATTACAGGTGCGTGCCACCATGCTTAGCTAATTTTTTATTTTTAGTAGAGATGGGGTTTCACCATGTTGGTCAGGCGGGTCTCAAACTCCTGAACTCATGATCCACCCATCTCGGCCTCCCAAAGTGCTGGGATTATAGGTGTGAGCCACTGCGCCTGAAGGCTTAGTATTTCTACCACTGTGTTTCTTAGGCCCTGCAGACTCTGGGACAGCAGACTCCAGGGAGTCGTAGGTAGGCATTGCCAGGGAGCAGGGCTGAATTAGTGACATTTTTGATATGGACACTTGTCAAGATAAACTTCTGTAAGTGCATATGTAGGTCTGTGGATCAAGTCCAGCAGATGTTGGGTCACGTGGCATCAGGCAGGGGCTTTTAAGACCCAGAGCTAATAGGAGATCTGGACAAGACCAAATTGTAGGGGCTCTTCTCATCTCCTTGCTTTTGCCTCCATTGTCGTCCATTTCTCACTGTGCCTGGTCCACTCCCATCCAACCTTTAGGATTTCCTGAGGCCTCTGTCCATGCTAGGAAGTATCTTTTCACCTCCACTGCATCAGGTGCCCCTGCTCAGTGCTCCCATAACACAGGTGCATACTCAGATCACTACACTTACCGTAGAGGGTTTAGCTCAGGGGTAGAGCATTTGACTGCAGATCACTACAATTACCCATTATTTTATAATTCATTTTGAGTGTCTGGATCTATCTTTTATTCAGATCAACTTGAGGGTCTTGTTCACTTTTGTATCTCCATCACCTTGCATACTTCCTGGAGTGTAATAGGGCTCAATAAATATTTGTTAAGTGAATGAATCAATAAATTCTTTGTGGGAGTGATATAAATAAGTACTATCAAGATCTTATTGTTGAACATTGCTTACTTATTACAGTGCTGTTACCTTGTACATAAACTTATTTACAGTCTTGTATTGAAGATGCATGTTAGGGGAGATTTTTCTAGCATAAAGAGTACTCAAGACCGTTTAGGACACTGAGCACTTTTGATGTATGGCAAGCATTTTAGTGGAAAGTGGGGTGCTTCAACTGTATTTCCTTGACTTTAATACTTCTCTGAAAGTATTATTTTTGATAATTATCTTTAATTAGTTAATTGTGTGTGTGTACTTGTTTATTGTATTAATTTTTTTGCTTAATAGTATAAGACTAGTATGTAGTCCAGCATAGTGTACGAGTCCTGGATTAGGCAATCGAGAGACCTAGATTGACCTCTGCATCTAACTATGGGAGTGGGCAAGTCAGTTTCCTGCTTACATTTAATTCATGTAAAGTGGGAGTGTTGTACTTCTTTGGGGGTTGCAAATGTCTACAGGAGTGAGGCTACCAACTTGAGTTATTATATGGGCTCTACCATTTTTTTTTTCTTGGAACTAGGCCCCTTTTGTTTTCCCACTTGTGTTAGAATTATAAGTAGAAGAAAATATTTCTGTACCGCAAGAAAAAAATAATGCAAGGGCAATGACTAATGACAACCCCAGTTCTTCTCTGTGTGGAGGAGACAATAGGGAGTGGTGGGGACTGTGGTATATTGGAGCGGCCAAGCCTGCCTATGAAGGGTGACTGCTTTTAATGCTTAGCACCACCTGATCATTTTAAGACATAAATGTGGGCCATGTTGACAGGTCTGATTTTTTTTTCTTTCTTTAAGAGAAGCCAGAAATCTGGGTTTTTGTGTGATAGCTCTGATTTTTATGTTTGGCTCAGATTTTCTAAACATATCCATAGATGAAATGTAACACTTCCACAGGTTGGATGTCACCCCTTGTGCTTTCAGTTTGTGATCTCCATTAAAGATGATCTCTAAAGCTGCCTTCTGCCCAAGATCCTGTGATTCTAATGGGGACCATTTCAGCTGGTGAATTAAAGATCCTTGTTCTACTTTGGGAAGTCAGAGTGGGGAAGGAAATCGGGCTACAAGAGATAGGGGTTTATGCCTAAATTGCCTGGCAAATGGTGTTTAAATGAGTCCTGTTGGGGAGAGGCCACAGGGTGCCTGTGATTCACACCAGGTGTTTTGTACATTTGTCATTGCAGGAGTTGGCATCCTTTGGAAGAGTTCGTGAAAGCTTTCTGCCCAGAGCTCCTGGACCAATGCATCTTCCCACCACCTTAAACCACTGGTGAATATATGTGTTTTTTTCCTTCTTCTCAGTGAAGGGAAATGCTTTGTTAACTGTAGAATGCGATTTGCAGAGAACTATGCTGTCCTTTCTATTATAGAAGGAAGTATACTGGGCTGGGCCTAGGCATATCTGGGTTTTGGTACTTACTTGATTCTGCCATTTTTACTGTGGGATTGTAGGTGAATTCTTTGACCTCCCAGGCCCCAGACAGAGAAACATATCCTGCTGTTTACAGGATATGTTTGCTTTGCAGACTAAAAGAGATAATCCATGCAAGAAGTAATGTATGCACGAATGCTTATATTTTCCCAGGGAGAATAAAGTCCTGGGCAAATAGAAGGTAATACTGTTTGGCTCTGAGATGTAGAGCAAGGCAGTTCTCCCCCTATCTGCTACATTTATTAACTTTATTAACACACTTTTTCAAGTTGGAATTCCAGATATAAGTGTTACAGTGTAGCTGCCATAGTCAGCCCAATTCAACTGACCACCAGTTAGGGGCTTCCTGCCTTGACTTTTGTGATGTTCACAGACACCTTCATCTGCCAGTCTCATAGGGGTTTTCAAGCAGGGCACTTCTGAGCCAACAGATACATTAAAGTGTGAAACTGATATGTTGGAAATAATGGGTTTTAAATACTTATTTTCTGAGACTTTCAGAGTGGTTCTTCAAGAGATTTCCATTCTCTCTTTTTTTTTTCCCTTCCTACCACTATAGCTACCATTTTCTTGAAAGATGAATTAACGACATTTCACAATTACCTTCATTTTTATTTGAGATCAGAGAATTTCACAGTTAACAAATGTTCTTCCTTTTTTTGAAAGAAACTTAATTACTCATCACAGCAGGTACATGTCTTGCCTCTATGACAGTTGAAAGAGGCAAAAATATGTCCTTAATAACAGTGTGTTCCAGTGCTGAGGTGAGAGTGCCTCCAGGTATGACAGCTAGTGGATGTTGGAGGTCTTAGGTGAGATATTGAGGGAAAGGACCACCATGGGCCAGGGACGCTGAACAACCCATGCATCTTTATTTGAGCTACTCTTTGTAGAGAAAAGCTGGCCTGTTTAACACTACCTGGTCAGCTCCTATGATGTGGATCAGGTGCTCCTGTGACCTACTGAGACAGATCCCAGTGGGATGGCCACTGGTGAGTTTGCAGGATGCTGGGGGTTGGAATAGGAAGGAAGGGCAGTCAGTTAGGTAAGCAGGCCCAGGATTAGGGAACCAGATCAGCCACAGGAGGCTGGCTGTCTAGACTCCCCTGTCCAAGGGGACACAGTGACATTCTGAGTCCCAGAACCTGAATCCCATCTGGTAGGCAGGAAGGGCTCTGTAGTGGAAGTCCTCAGGGAAGCAGATGGCATCAGGTAGCAGGACACTTATGTATTCAACAAATATGTATTAATGCCTGCTCTGTGCCAAGGCACTGTTCTGGGGATTCAGTGGTCGTAAGATAGACTGTGCCTATGCCTCCCTGGATCTTAGATTTGAGTGGGAATGATACATAAGAATGTGAGCTCCATGAGGACAGGGGTCTTTGCTTGTCTTGTCTTGTTCACTGTTGTATCCTCAGCTCTTAGAAGAGCACCTCACACCTGATGGGTGTTCACTAAGTATTGTGAGCAATACTTATGAAGGAAGCAAACAAATAACTAAATAGACAATATAATTTCAGGTGGTAATGAGTGGTATGAAAACAGTAAAACAAGGTGAAGGGCTGGCGGGGCTCTTTTTGAAAGAATGGTCTAAAAAGGCTTCTATGTATGTGAGAGAGAAAAAGAAGGAGATTGGTTTTGTGCAGAGACCTGAGTGGAGTAAAGGAACCAGGGGAGGAGAAGTGTTCAGGCAGAGGGAATAGCAAGTGAAAAGAAAGGCCTTTGACGTAGGATAAGCTTGGCTTAGTAGAGGAGCAGTTTGGCTGGACTTGGGCTGGGGGGTGTTCATAGGGAGGGAGAGTGATGTGAAATAAGAGCAGTAGGTGAGAGCCAGACCCTGTAGGCCATGGTAAGGAGTTTGATTTTTACTCTGAGAGTGATTGGATTCCATAGTCCATGTGATCTTCTTTGTGCTTTAACATTTTTCCTCTGGATCCTGAGTGCAGAATAGATGCTAGGGGCAAGAGTAGAATCTGTATAACCTATCGGAGGTCCTTCCAGTGGTCCAGGCAGGAGATTAGGGTGTGGCTTGGATTAGAGTAGTGATGATTGAATGATACGAAGAAGCGGTCAGGCTCAGGATACATTTTGAAGGTAGAGCCTTCTAGGTTGCATGTGGCATGTGAGTAAAAACAAGAGTCAGGATTAGTCCAATGTTTTTGGCTAGGTGAATGACGTTGCCGTTCACTGAGATAAGGAGCAAAGAGGGACCCTAAGGGTTCTGTTGGGCCGTCTTAGGTTTGAGATGCTCATTCAATATTCTCATAAAGATGTAGAGTTGGCTGGGGCTGGAAATGGTATCTCTCATAGTCATTGGCATGTAGATGATATTTAAAGCCATGAGACTGAATGAGATCATCTAGGGAGAGAAAGGAAGAGATGCGTAGGATTTTTGACAGAGGAAAGAGGGAAGACGAAGGCAAAGGGTATATTTTCCATATAAAGTCCCCACTAAGAAGTAAATAAAGACATGCTAATGAATATGGTTTCCATTTTATGCAAATATGAATTATACAAATGAGATAATATGATATAAAAGTAGTCATAAAGTCTCACCTTATGTAAAAAGTTTGAAGTGCTGTGACTTCCCCAAATCAAGAAAATTAGTTTCAAGATTGCATAATTATAAATCTGGTCAGCTGAGTGAATTATTAGCAAGCAGGAACATCCAGCAGCCTTTGCCAATAGCCTGTAAGCTACATTGCTCTTAGGCACTGGAACTTCTACAAGCCATTTCAATGACTAAATTTAATTTACTGTTATTACATTTCAGGTATTTTTCTCATTCAATAGTTATATCATCCAAAAGTTCATTGAGGGTTCACTAAGTGAAAACATACCTGAAAATCAGTAATTTTGCAATGAAAAGTTAGACATCATAAAATTTTCTGAAGAAGGCCAAACAGGCACCATGATTTACAGGGCTAGAAGTTAGAAGATATTTATGATTATCTTCAAAATATCAAGGATAAATGCTACAAGATAACAAATATACTGTGATGGTTGTGGTAGATAGTTGCATTCCACCTGTACCCCTCAACTGCCATTGACTGATACGAGAAAATCAGTTCTGACTCATGCACATCTTCATCTATTTGTGGGCTTCTGGCATAAAATGCAGCTGTCCCATATTTGCTTTGTCTGTTTCCCAGACAAATCGTCTCATTGAGCTTCTTCCATCTCCTCGTTGGGCGCCTTAGTTTTCCCATTTTGAGGCTCCTAGTGAGTTCCTTTAGTCTTGCAGTCTCCAGCTGCCATAGACATTTTTGCCTCTTCCCACCATCACTGGCTCCAAAGCCTATTTGCCTCCTCCTCCGACTGCCTATGTGAGCCTTCCTCCGTCTGACTGCCTTTGTGAGCCTTTCAGTTTAGGAACCCCCCAATCCCCCTGCCCTCAAAGCTTTTGAATATCCTCACAATTTCCTTCTTTGAAAACATTTTCACTCCTTCCCTCAACCCCAACCCCATGTGGTCTTCTCAGGCCTTTTGTGGAAATGATGATGAGAGAGGGCAGGGTGATCAGCAGCATTCTAGAATGGGGTCTGGCCCTCCCGTGGGCATGGGCAGTGCTGACTTGCTTCTACATGTATTTCAAGACTCCCCAGCTTGAGTGAAAACACTCTGAGTGGTACTTCTGGAACATGTAATCTCTAGAAAATGAACATTAATTGTGTAGTGTTCTGTCTATGACCAACGGTTTATGGCAAATGAGGGTTTCAGTGGAATGGTATTTATAATGAATGGCATCAACCCTGGTTTTCATTTGTTGTCTTTTCTCACAGAGTGGAACTTAAATAAAATTAAAAAGAATGAAACTTACTGGCAATCATAGGGGGAGGATTTTTCCTTCTGATTCCTCCTTCAGTAAGTGATTTCAGGAATAAAAAAGGTATGGGATCTTCCTATGCCCCTGGAGACTTAGAGTGGTGGGACATTAAAAAACTGGTGGTATCCTTCGTAAGTTAAACACACACACAGACACACACACAAACAAAAAAACCGCTGAGGCTGTAGAATAGTCTTCAGTGCTTGTATATTTGTAGACCATCTCAGGAGGAGAGGCCTGAGATGGGTAGCTACTTAAAATTTTTTTGTGTGTTATGTTTATATATTATATTTAAAAAGGATAATAATAGTATCCCTTTTATTCTTTATAAATGATCTAGAAACATTGAAAGTTTCCTCACCAGTTGGTTTATAACTCCTCTTGCTCAATATGTCTTTTGATTGAGGGCATTGCCTGTTCACAGTGCCTTTAATTGGTCTGAGGCTTCACATTCATTAACGGCTTGGGACTAGAGTACTTTGACTTGAGTTTCAAATTTTGCATGTATGGGGATATGTCAGGCCAATTTCTTTCTTCCATCCTTTCCCTTATTTCTAAAAAGGATTTAAAGCTGTTTGTGCTCAATATTTTCTTTTTTCAGCAGCTTTAGACAAATATGGATTTGAAATGAGGTGGTCGCCATGAGTTGAGCCACAGATTATGGCCATTTCAACTGAACATCTCACTGCTGCCCTTTAGAACAAGGTCTTCTTGCATTGTGGAACAGAACAGGATTTGGAATCCTTTGTGATTGATAGTTTCTAACCGCGGAGTTCAGACAAATTAAAAAGCAATCCAAACCCATTTTCTTTATCTTAAGAATTCCAGCTACCCTAGGAAAATGCTCAAAATAGAATTTGTATAAGTTGCCACCTCTCTGAAAGAGTAGGGTGGCAACTGAATTCTAATTCGGTGTCCAGAACCAATGATGCCAGTCACCACACTGCTGTTTGGAGTGTGTGCTATTGGGGGCAGCTTCTCAGGGGTCATTGTCTAGAAGTATCTCCCTGGGCTGCCATATTGCTTTATATCACCAGAGGTTCATAAGGCCACTTTCTGGCCAAAGTTATTGTGACCTACAATGACATGATATCCATTTCACACAACAGCGACATCTCTTAGGTGTTGGTGTTTCTCCAAGAGATTTACACATTTGCATTTGTACTTTTTAAACAAACAGGAAGTTGTAGCACATTTGCCAGCCACATGTAAAAACAAGATACTTTCTCTTTTTCCATCTAGTGACTACAAATAGAGAGTGGAATACATTTTTTGTCTTTCCTTTTTTTTTCTTTTTTTTTGCCCTGGTTTGGAGAAGTAAACATTAAATTGTGTTGGGGTCGTCACTAAAACAAGGAGATCAGCATCATCTCCGGTGATTACTGCTCGTCATGGGAAGAAATCATTCTGATTGTTCCACTGACTAATTTAGACAAGGCACCATTTGATGCCTACTTCACAGCAGTGCCCTCATCCTGCTGTCTCCTTATCAACATAGAGATGACTCACTCCATGTTTTTCTCACTCAGAGAGAATTTCTCTAGTCTACTGATTATGGCAGTGATTAAATAAAAAATGATTCCTGCAGAGGTGTGCTTGAAAAAAATGATTGTATTATTTGTGCTTGTTGAACTTTGGATAATTCAGCATTCACTATTATAATCAGTAAGATATTGGTTTTTAGGCTTTTTGGGTAAAGGGTCAGGAACCCCTTTAAGGTACATATGCACGTACACAATTTCCATGTATAACACTTCTACATTTTTAGGAGATGACATTCCCCTGCCCAGTTACCATGCTTAGTCACACATCCCATGCTAAATGTGCTTCTGGATAGCTCTGTGTGGCAGGTAGGTGCCTGCTGTAAAAGATGGCTTTTCTGATTAGATCTAGGTGAAAGACTGGGGAAGATAGCTATGTTCAAGGCAGCCTAACTTCAATAAAATTTACAACTTCCAGAATTGTCCCAACATGGACTCAAAAGTTGGAAATAGTCTCTTATATGAGTTGCTAATCCTTTTAATTTAAAAAGGAAGCAGAAGCACCTTTACACTTTTTGTTTCCTTTCTATTTGAGACAGGGTCTCGCACTGTTGTCCCGGCTGGAGTGCAGTGGTGCGATTATGGCTCATTGCAGCCTCGACCTCCCAGGCTCAAACAGTCTTCCCAATCAGCCCCGTTAGTAACTGGGACTGCAGGTGTGCGCCACCATGCCCAGCTAATTTTTGTATTTTTTTGTACAGACAGGATTTCACCATGTTGGCTAGGCTGGTCTTGAACTCCTAGGCTCAAGCTGTGCACCCACCTCTGCCTCCCAAAGTGCTGGGATTACAGGTGTGAGCCACCACGCCCAGCCCCTTTTTGTTTTCTAACAGCTAATTTCATTTTCCAGCAGATTTCATGTTTCTGGACATTGTATTTATTTGTTCCCTGAATTTATCATATTTATAGCATTTTGTCTTCTGTGGCCAGATTGCAAGCTAGCTGGCCACAAAACACCAGTGTTTTAAAAGTTTTTAAAGTAGTGGCCAGAGTTTTAAAAATCAGAAAATCTTACATAATTTGATTTCTAACTACTCATGAAAAACTAGAATATCTAGCAGTACTGGGCTCTATTCTTGCATGGGACAGTGGGCTGGAATGGAACAGAGGTTGCCCCCTCAGGAGGGAGTCCAATTTGCTGTGGTCCCCACATCACCTGTTTGCTACCTGTTTGATCCTCTCAGGCTTTTGGTTTTGTCACCCCTGACTTACTGTTCGTTTAAAATCTTATCCTAAAAAATCAAGAGATCTTTAGGTTCAACAAAACAACCTTTTTTTTTGTTGAAATGGAGTCTCACTCTGTTGCCCAGGCTGGAGTGCAGTGGTGTGATCTCGGCTCACTGCAACCTCCGCCTCCCAGGTTCAAGCGATTCTTATGCTTCAGCCTCCCCAGTAGCTGGGACCACAGGTTGCACCACCATGCCCAGCTAATTTTTGTATTTTTAGTAGAGATGGGGTTTCGTCATGTTGGCCAGGCTGGTCTCGAACTGGTCTCAACCTCAAGCTATCCGCCCACCTCAGCTTCCCAAGGTGCTGGGATTACAGGTGTGAGCCACCACGCCCAGCCTGATACCTCTCTTTTTAAATAAGGAAACTAAAATTTAAATGATAGGGAAAAAAATGTTGGGACAGTAGGGTGAAACAAATATTTTTTTCTTTAAATAAATTTGTGTGTTTTATGGCTGGGCCTGGTGGCTGATGCCTGTAATCCCAGCACTTTGGGAGGCCGAGGTGGGCGGATCACCTGAGATGAGGAGTTCAAGACCAGCCTGGCCAACATAGTGAAATCCCGTCTCTACTAAAAATACAAAAAAATTAGCCAGGCATGGTGGCGGGCACCCATAATCCCAGCTATTCAGGAGGCTGAGGCAGGAGAATTGCTTGAACCTGGGAGGCAAAGTTTGCAGTGAGCCGAGATGGCGCCATTGCATTGCACTCCAGCCTGGGCAGCAAGAGCAAAACTACATCTAAAAAAAAAAAAGAAAGAATGGAATTTGTGTGTTTTTAACTAAGAGGAAGGAAAGAAAGCAACAATGTAATTTTTAAAAAGTATTCTTTACAAATATCAAGTCATTATATTAGTTTTGAAACATATAATGTCCTTTGTATAATGTGATTTACTCACAAAAATACCATGTTGGGAACATTTATACAAATTTACTAATTACATTTGCTCTTAAATATTTTCATTTTATTTTTCAAATAGAAGTGAACTACTGAACTCAAAGGAGTTGAATGTTTCTTAGGTTTTTTTCCTTTTAATAGACAAAAATATAAAACTGGACAACAGAAGTCACCAGTGTTTTAATGAAACAAAGAATTAGTTTTTGGGTCTGGTACCTTCTAAAGCATCTGTAGATTTTAGAAAAGGAATTTCACACCACCACCACCACCAAGAAAGCCCAACCAACCTAAAACTTGAATAACTGAACTTAATCCGAGTCATTCCTATTTTATGAGCCATCATGATCCACAGTTTCTGTTTCTTCTCATGTCGTCGTTTCCTTTCTGAAATCATTCTTGTAGACTGCTGAAGACTAAATGCTAGCCCAGATGGAGACTGAATTTCAACCTTTTTCATTTTTGGCTTCTTGGTTTTGGGGTGAGAGTTCATCAGACTGTTGGTATACGTGACTTGCCACCAACTCTACAGCAACCTGCTGTCTCTGAGCTTTAGTTGTTTCTGAGATAAATGAGATCATGTCTGGGCCTTCCTCAAGCTCTGACATTCTAGAATTCCACTATTCTGTCACATACTGCACATACTCAGTGCTGGGTAAACCTGGAGTACTGGCCATGTAACAACTTCTGTGGGGTTCAAAGGGCAGAGTCTCAGTAGAGATGGGTTCCTAATGTCATCGTTTATTTCTCATGGCTGCCAGTAATAAACACGAAAGAAGAACTAAATATAGTGAGTTATGTACTCACCAGCTCATGGTATTATCCTGAACTTGCCGCACTGAGAGGAAATTCTGTAGCTCTGTTTAGTAGATGGTACAGAGTAAACCCCAGGCAGAGAGTTTTCATCTTCTTGTCATCCCGCAGAATATTTCTGATGACTAGAGCTCTCAGGTCTGTAAGCCTACCCGTCTTCACCGGTGCTCATGAGACTTGGACTACCCTAATACTTGGATTTTACAATCCTGGGTTATATTGTTTCTTAATTTTTTTTTGTGGTGGGTCCAAAGCCAGTTGAACACCATCTCTTGGCTCTGATGAGTCAAAATTGTGACCAGGACAAAAATTAAATGGCACAGAGGCTTTAGCAGAGAAAACAAAACATTTTGTAGAACATGCTCAGCACAGGATGGTGTAATGGAGGCTGCAGGGGGTGTTTTGCTGTGGGCCTGTGTTAGCAGTCATTGGCTAAGAGCTTATAATGGCACTTAGAGCATGGTACAAATGTATATACACACCCACAAAGTATAGTGTACTATATGTGCAATATACTAAACCTGTTGTGCTTGTATTTTATACTAAATATATTGTTTTAGGAAGTTATTTCCAAAATAGCCAAAATACATCATTAGAATGATTCAGCACTGCTCAGGTTGGCATTAAGTGGGCTGTGTGTGTAGGAGCAAAGGAGGGACCAGAGTTTTGAAAACTCTGGTTTTAGAAAGGATCTTCTTGGCTGAATTCTAGACTGTGTTCCTGGTTCCTAAGCCTGATAATACTGTGTATTTTGCAGCTCTTTAGATTGCCTCAAATTCATTGATTTGTTTATTCATTTATTCAACCAACACATATGGAGTAGCTCTAATATTTACACAGGGCCTTTTGGCATGCGGAGTACATTCATATACCTTATCCCACCTAAGTGTGCTTGTTTCAGAGCCCAGTCACATGCATGGGCAACAGCCTGCATTGATGCATTGATTGATGAATGCAATCTCTATTTCTTCATAGAGTGTTTCTCTTTGCTTTCTGTTGTGCTTGTAAGCAGAGATATACGTGGTTTTGTCTGCACCATGTAGAAAGGAACTTAGGACAGGTGGGCAGGAGGGTTGCTATGGGAGTTGTGCTGGACAGTCATTCCCAGGAACAGAGGAGGTAGGAATCATCGACTAAGCATGAGATTGGGGTGGGTGGGAGGGATGTGATTGTGGCTTTGAGGAAGATGGAAACTATTTGGAACAGCTGACATGGGTTGGGCATTGGGGGCTGAGCAAGAGCTGAAAGCAAGGCCTGCTGGGTGACTGAGTGGAAGCTTCTGTGTCAGCAGGTGTGGCCTGGATGTGTAGGGCGGCAGGTGGAGCTAGATGAGACTCAGGGACAAAAGGAGAGGGCTGGGGGCAGGGGTGGGATGGTTGCTTGGCTGTTGACATAAGGGGACTTGGAGGAGCTGTTTCTGACCCTGATGTGGCCATATAGGGAGTTGTTGAGGTGAACAGCAGGGGAGGTACAGGGGCCCCGGGGGTGCTTGGCAGTAGCTTTTCTTAGTTTGGCTTATAAGGCCTTTGATCTCTTAGCACTCCTCCCACCCCACATGCCCTACTGGGCCATTCCTGAGTGCATACTATCATGTGTACATACTATTCCTTTTTTTCTTTCCTTTGGCCTAATTACCTCCTACCTCAAGTGTTAGCCCAGGAATCACTCCCGGGCAACTGTTTCTGATTGCTGTCTGCCCTCTCCTCTGCTGGAACCCTTCACCCTGTGCATGCATCTCTCCCTTTGTACTGTACAGACTCATTTGTAAGTCTCTCGCATATGTGGATTGGAAGGTTCCTTGGGTGCAAGATTGTGCCTCGTACCCAGCGGAGGACCTGGCATGCAGAATGTGTTCATGAAATGCTTGCTGAGTGGATGCATAACTCTTTTGTTGCATCATTAGTAGCATAACAGAATGATAGAGCTGAAAGACACCTACAAGATCAGCTAGTCTAAGTCATTTGTTTCATAGTTCACAGAGAATTGAAACTCAGAGGGGTTGAATGCCTGGCCTGAAGTCACACAGCTTGTCCTAGGCTGAGCCAGGACTCAAGTTCACCTCCTCTGACTCCAAATGCCATGCTCTTTCCACCACACCACAGTGTTCTCCAAATGTCTTTTATGTGTGTGAAGACAGCAGCCCTCTGCGTCTGCTTAGTGCCTGGATACAGCCTAATATCACTATTCGTACTGTTATCTAACTTTTCTCATCGGGAGGAAAACTATGTTCTGACCACGCGGGGAGCTTTTCCTCTGCGTGCATGGAGCCAGGTTTACAACAGGCCTTACCTCACTGCTTCCCCTTCCCTTTCCGGTTTGTCCTAGTTTATCTTTGGGCAGGGTAAGCATCAGCAACTGTTTCTAAGTAAATAGAGGAATTGCAGATTCAGGATTTGTGGTTTCAAGTATTCAGTGTCTTTTGCTTCAGCCCGTCCCCTCCTGGCTGCCATCACTGCCTCCCCTGTCTCCACATTGCCCCGATTTAGCATGTGTTGAAGACTGGTAGTGCACGATGGAGGTTTCTTTCTTGGGGCAAGCAGAAGAACCAACAGAGCATTGAAAAGGGAATCTTTGAGAGAGAGAGAGAGAGAGAGAGAGAGAGAGAGAGAGAGAGTGGGCATGTCTCCGAACCATTTTGTGTCAGTTAAAAAAAACAAACCAAAGTATATCTGCTGGTTTCTGGACCCATCCCTGGAAGATGGCATACAAGACGGCCATCTAGAAATGCTTGTTTGTACACCTCCCTTCTCCAAAGTGCGTCTCCGAGCTTTTGAGCAACACTGATGTTTAGTATGTTCTGTTTAGGGTTAAATTTGCAGCGTGACTGAGGCTGGGGTGTGGCTAGTTCCCTTACAGCCTGTCCATGGATGACGCAGTTTTGTGAGGTTGGTTCCAGATCGCCACGGATCATCTGACCTCTCTCCCCATCACCCTGGTCTGAAGTACCTCAGGGTCAGTTCCAGGACTGAATGCTGGGAGTGGGGCTGATTGGTTTGAACCTTTGGTCTCCTCTGTTAATTAACTAAACAGTGCATGGCTAAAAATGTCGCTTTGGGGAAAAGGGCTCTGAAGAACAGTCTTTAAATCCTTCACCACTTTAAGGAGCTCTGCAATATTGTTTCCCTTAGCGCTTGTATATTCCCCTCACCTTTTTTTTTTTTTTTTTTTTTAAAGTAAGAAGATGATGTACGATCTTCCCTTTAGCTTG
The DNA here is from genome assembly GCF_000001405.40 of Homo sapiens. Taxonomy (NCBI): domain Eukaryota; kingdom Metazoa; phylum Chordata; class Mammalia; order Primates; family Hominidae; genus Homo; species Homo sapiens. The sequence continues at coordinate 95,479,363 of NC_000010.11, read as the reverse complement.
GAAATCCTATGGCTTGGAACAAGCCCGGTGTCTTCAGTCTTAGAGATTTCTGAAGCCACTTTGGACCTTCTTCGCTTCTAGCCACATGGGAGCCTGTGTCTGATCCTCCCTGGGCTGGTCTTGAGTTCCAGGCATTGAGCTGGAAGTACATCAGCCAAGGATTTGGCTGTGTCAGGAAGTATTTTGATTTGCTATATTCTCTGCTTGGCATCTACTCATTTCCTTCAGGGACGTCCCCTTCCTTGGAAAAAATAGCTCCAAAGATGCTTGTCTCACTGATGAGCTAAGAAGGAGTTCCAACCAGGCGTTTCCATTCAGGGATCTTGGCTTGGCAGTCACAGGTCACTGAGTGAGAAGGGTGTCACCACACTTAAAATATTCTTAACATCCCCCTTCCCCTCCTGCCAGCAGTGGTCTTTATGCTGGCTAGTTTTGAGAATGACAGTCTGGAGACTGATCCAGCTTGGACTAGCAGGCCTTAACAAGCATGTATTTCTAAGGTGTCAGCCATCACACTGCTTGGCTGTGACCTTTAGGGGATATCCTAAGTGGCAGCCTTCCTTGCACCCTAACCTCAAGCTCTCCTCTCCTCCAGATGTGCATAATTTTCCTGTGTGGTGCCAGGGAACTGTGGTTATAAATGAGAGAGAAGGGGCTCTGTGGGGGTCCCAGAACTGTGTTGGGATCCTGTCTGTGAAGTTACGCTCATCTGAGCTACTGGTCTAATTCTATTTTTAAAAAGGGAAATTAATTGATACCTTTTGACAGTGAGCCTGTGTCAGTTTTTGGAGTGACACCAAAATAGAGTCATCACTTTCTTTTCATAGGTATTCATCTATTTAATATTCCAGGCTAGAATTCTTCAGGATGTTGATCCCAAGCTTCTTAGTGTATACTTCTAGACCCTTCTTAGTGTTAATTATTTAGTTCCTCAATTTCATCACCTTTCCTTTTCTCAGAGGTTTCTGAAGGATTACTGATAGTGATTCATCAGTGACAGTTCAGATTCTTTTAGCTGTCTATGGATGTGGTTCACCTGAGCCTGAAAACCCAAAAAGGAGTAGCTCTCACTTAAAGGGGCTGCGACTCTCCTAGCTCCACACCTGTCTTCTGCCTCAGTCACCTCTTACCAGAGTCTCCCTTTCCAGTAAGATCATTCTCATAGTTGGTGGAGGTGGAAACAACACGAGGAAGAGTGGCTTCTCTTATAATATGACGAGGGCTTCTTCAAGCAGGTCTGTTATCATACGCTTTGTTTTCTTCTTGGTCTGATCATAGATTTTTAAAAAAGAACCTCCAAAACAAAAAACCTAATGGTTATTTCAATTTCTTATGTTTTAACTCTTCCCAGACCTTAGAACAAGCTTGTCCAACCCAAGGCCTGCAGGCTGTATGTGGCCCAGGACAGCTTTGAATGTGGCCCAGCACAAATCTGTAAACTTTCTTAAAACAATATGGGATGTGTGTGTGTGTGTGTGTGTGTGTGTGTGTGTGTTGTTTTGTTTTAGCTCATCAGCTATCACTAGCATTAGTGTATTTTATGTGTGGCCCAAAACAATTCTTCTTCTTCCAATATGGCCCAGGGAAGCCAAAAGATTGGACACCCCTGCCTTAGCCTTTTGGACTTTCCTCTGACCATAAATGCTGCTGTCCTTTGTTCAGCTTTGACTCCATTCCTTCTTCCTGTGGCCTAGACATGCAAATAGGGCATTCCAATGTTAGGAGTGCTTTGCAGCCCCTTAAAAGATTTTCTAGTGCTTTCCTGGCTCCCAAATTTCCCCACCCTCTTTGGACCACAGAGTTTTTCTCCAAGCTCAGATAACCTCTGACTCCTCATTTGCCCTTCCAAAAACTTTGCTTCTCCCCATGGTGTTCTCTCTAATTTTAAGCTGTGACTGGCTTTCTGGGCTCCCAGGCATAACCATACAGGGCTGTGTTAGTGACTCAGATCAGGATTCAGCTGTGCTGACCACCCAGAACTTATTCCCACTCCTACTCCCCAAGAGACCAGCTCTTCAGGACTCCCACCCAGGGCAGGGCTGGGTGGGTCCACCAATGCCTCTGCCAGGGTTGAGTTCTCCAGGACCATCTGGGCCTCTCCCTGAGCTGAGGTACAAGACCGAGGCTGCCCAGCCCCTAGGTCAGAGACGAAAGGAAGGAACAGGCTAGGGGTGGGCTGGCAGAGAGTTCAGGCTCCCTGAGCTGGGAGTATTTGGGGAAGGGAAAAGAGGAGGAGGTCGGAAAGTTTGTGATGACTCTGAAGACTCTCAGGTTTGTCCCGGGGGGACTCAGGCCGCCAAACTGTTCACTTTTCTGCAGCTCGGTGTTGGGAGTGTGCTCTCTTTTGGAGTCACCCATCCTATTTTGGGATGACTGAGTCAAAGGAGTAGCTCTATCTTGGTGCCTGGAAGTGCCTCACATTTCCTCATTTTAGACTTGCCATTCTTTTCTTAAGGTGCTTTTCTTAAGGTGCTTAAGAAAAGCACCTTAATTCCATTATTAAAGATTCAGGATCATTAAGACTCAGGCTGGATTGAAATTTATCTCTTTACTGTCTATGGAAAAAGATTTAAGGAGAAAAATCACTGTGAGGGATGTCGATTTAGGAAAGCTTTCTAAAGAACCCACTTTAGGAATGTGCATTTGCATACAAACAATGAAAGTGCTAATTAAAATGATTCTCACATCATCATTTTAGCAGTGCAGGGACTGCTGCTTGGCAACACTTATGAAGTGGAAATGAGTGTACTTTGAAAATAATAAAATATTGTTCCATCCATTGAATCCACTAAGACATTAGGTCCTTTTATTTGCAAGGCACTGTGCTAGAACCACTGTGTGTGTTTGTATTGGTCAAGAGTATAAAACCTAGTCCTTGCTCTCTAGGGTGACCAACTGAGGGGTTTCCCTGGGATAAAAGACTATCAGGAAAGCCCGGGAAGAACCAGGTTGAATTGGGCCAAACCTACCTCGGGAGTTGAAAGGCTGGTAGGACTGAACAATGTTCCTCAAATATTTCACCTGTTGAGATAGGCCACACCTGTTCACATTGTTTTAGAAACAGCATTTTGCCCTGTAGGACGTTTTTGCCCTGGAAATTGAGTAGTCTAATTCCCTTTTAAAGCAAGAGCCCAACATTTAAAATATTTCTGTCATCATTGTCGTTATTGGCATCAGCTATCACTGGGCACCTGCTGTTTGAGGCTGGGACTTTGCCCTGGAGAGTGGGGGTGGGGCTGATCTGGCCTGGAGATGATGTGAAAACCTTTTAGCTCCTGGGCGAATAACTGCCACCTTATCTTTTTTTAAAAAAAGAATAGTGTTTTAGAACACGGAGCCTGGAGCGCAGTAGATGCAGAGTCAATATTTGTGGATTGAAGTTTATTAACTTTGTGGTTGAGAGTTCAGGGTCTGCAGTCACATAGACTTAAGTTTCAAATCCTGGCTCTGCCATTTGCCTGCTCGATGATCTTGGCTTGTGACTTACCTCTCTGAGCCTCATTTTCTTCATTTGTGAAATTGAGATAAACATAAATTTAGTTATTATATAATATTAATGTTCATATGATAATTATGACAGGCTGCATATTGTGGTATATAGTACCACAAACTCGAGTCAGGCTGCTAAAGTTCAAATCCCCCTTCCTAGTATCATAACTTCCAGCAAGTTATTGAACCTCTCTGGGCCTTAATTTTCTTATCTACAAAACAAGGATAATAATAGTACCTTTACAGAGGGTTGTTAGATGTGAGAATTGTCAAGCACCTCATCCCAGCCATAAGAAAACATTATATACATGTTTGCTAAACCTTAAAGACTGTGAAACTATTATTAATTATTTCATTTTGGTTCTTATAGAAATCCTGTGAGGTTAGATACAGGGCAAGTATTACTCCCCACTGCCTCATTCCCTATTTGTTGTTATTGCTTGTTTCGTATTTGAGGGGGAAAAATGGAGTTCTGAAAGGTTAAAGTGGTTGGCTGAAGGGAACCTGGCTAGTAAATGTTATAACTGAAACTAGAACCCATGGTACTTGCTATAAAAGATACAGGTGTGCCTATACACATTTATCGAGGGCATGAAGATATTAAGGCTTTACTGTAATAAATCTGAAGACAAGTGACTAGGGTATCTCCCTCTTCTGCACCACCACCCCCACCACCATGTGCCAGATCTGCTGGCATACTGCTAACTGATGTTCTTTGTGAATGATGGCATTGAGCTTGTGCCCTCTCATTGGGTCTCTGGGGCTTACTGAGGCAGCCAGTTTAAACCTCTTACAGATTCTAACTGCATTAAAGTTAGTGTTACCTGCTCTCTGGCTGGACTTCCTTTGGAGACCAGAAGATTCTACTATATTCCAATACCTGATTTCAGAACCCCTTAGGGGAGCCATGTCATTTGCGGGAAGCTCAGGCTTAAATAGGAATGCTCCCCTCCCCCTACCTTTCTGTTTGCAATAGAAACTCTTTATTGCTCTTGAGAAACTTAATTAGGAGAACCATATATCAGGGAGTGTAAACATAGCTTTAAAACACTTGCCAATCTCTTGTCACCTAGGCAGTTATCTTTAGATTAAAACGTTCTCATGTTTGTTCACAAACATGGGCACTTTAAAACATGCTGCCACATGAGGGGTTAAAACATAAATATTATCCTATATGAGCAAAGAAAGGTGCTTTAGTACTTAAGTCCTATTTTTGAGCTGTGGAATTCAATTCCTTCCTGTTGCCAGCTGAACCTGGGGCTCTGATGTATTAGATGAAAATATATTCCTATCTTCAAACGTGGACAACAGGACATTCTGTCCTCCAAATTTCAGTGTTTGAATTGGGTGTTACAGGAAACTTGGCACCCTCTCTTTTCAAAATAATAAACAGACATGATGTGGCTTCATGTTTCATCTGATGGGGCTTAGATGCTATTGCCTCATAAAGGCTGATTCACAGACAAATGGAGACTAATTATAGTAGCTTAAAAATAATATCGCTGTTTAAATTTGGCAAGGCAAGATGCCTCGCATGCTTTGTAGGACACGAGAGACTCCGTTTCTTTGGTGGCATGGAGGTGACATACCCATTTCTATTTCAGCCACACAGTGGTGGTGCTGGTTCATTACCTGCCATGTTTATTTTTTTTAAGGATTTCTTATGATCTCTCACATATACCCATGCACAAACATTGAACTCTCTCTTCCTATAATCTTTACAGGGAGTTCTTTCCTGCTATCTGTCCACTGCATTTTTAAGAAACAAATGTCTGGGCTGAGGAAAGTGAATGGCTTTTTGTTTTTTTTTCTAAGCATTTCAGAATCTCTACTGTGAAAAATTGCAGGAAGTTATTCACTTCTCTCTAAGGAATGGATAGAGGATGTCTGTCATAAGAGACCATTCTGATTACTTTTATTCTATCCATCTTCCCCAAAACTGTGCATTAGGTTGGAAAACAGTTTTAATTTGTTTTTGAATTTGCTTTAAATAAGTAGGTGATATACAAAATTGACCATGTGCAAAATTTAAAAATTAGTAAAAATGTTTTCAGTGAAAAGTAAATCTTCTACCTCTCTCATATCTAGGATCTAGGTACCTCTCTTTGGAAGAAATCCTGAGCACCATTTTATTCTATACTATTCTGGAGATTTTCTAGATATTTATAAATATGTATGTGTGTGTGTATATATATATTATATGTAGTTCATACAAATGGCACATATTATCTACAATTTTTTTTTTTTGAGACAGAGTCTCACTCTGTCGCCCAAGGTGGAATACAATGGTGTGATTTTGGCTCACTGCGACCTCCACCTCCCAGGTTCAAGCGATTCTCCTGCCTCAGCCTCCCGAGTAGCTGGGATTACAGGTGCCTGCCACCACGCCCAGCTAATTTTTGTATTTAATAGAAACAGGGTTTCACCATATTGGTCAGGCTGGTCTTGAACTCCTGACCTCAGGTGATCCACCCACCTTGGCCTCCCAAAGTGCTGGGATTACAGGCGTGAGCCACCGTGCCCGGTGATCTACAATATTTTGAACCATTTTTATTTAACTGTAATCTTGGAGATCATTCCACATCACACATTGAGATACCTCATTCTCTTTAACAGCTGTCTAGTTTTCCATTGAGTAGAAGTGCCATAATACATAAACAATTGCCTATGAACGGTAGTTAGGCTGTCTTAATCTTTTGTCCATAAAATCATTATATAATGAATAATTTTGTACATCTACTGTAGGATAGGTGGTCTGTCTCAGTGGTTACAAGCAGGGCTCTGGAGCCCAAGGGCCTGAGTTTAAACCCTAGTTTCTTCGTTTACTTTTTTTTTTTTTTTTTTGAGATGGAATCTTTCTCTGTCACCCAGGCTGGAGTGCAGTGGCGCAATCTCAGCTCACTGCAACCTCCGCCTCCCAGGTTCAAGCAATTCTCCGCCTCAGCCTCCTGATTAGCTGGGATTATAGGCACACGCCACAATGCCCGGCTAATTTTTTTTGTATGTTTAGTAGAGATAGGGATTCACCATATTGGCCAGGCTGGTCTTGAACTTCTGACCTCAAGTGATCCGCCCACCTTGGCCTGCCAGAGTGCTGGGATTACAGGCGTGAGCCACCGTGCCCGGCTCTTCATTTACTATTGAGGTATATATGGTCTTGGCCAGTTACTTTATCTGTCTGTGTCTAAGTGTCCTCATTTGTAAGATAGTATTTATCTTGTCGGTAGGATGTAACGGTTAAAATCACTAGTCTATCTAAGCTTATAGACCTGTGCTGGACATGTAGACAGGCCTGTTTGTATTTACTAGTGTTGTTTCATATGATCTGGAAACACATGAATCCTAAGCTATTCTTATCTCTGCCTGTTTCTGAACCATCTCAGTAGCTTTCAGAAGCCATACCACAGTTGTTGGGTCTGTGGGTTACATCGGTCTCCTTGATTTATTCAGATGTCACATTTGTCCTCCTGTCCTTCATCATTCCCTTGTTACTTTTGTGTAACATCCTGGAGAATAAGGAAGATGGTTTTTCAGGCCACTGTACTCATGGGTTCAAACCCCTTTAGAGGCATAAAATGTATTGTCAGTGGTGATAATTTTAAACAAATGGTCTGACTCCCCTCCCAACCCCAACCGCTGCCGCTCCATTCATAGTTAATTTAGAATCTTACAATACTTAAATATTTACATTTAGGCAAATATATAGCTCATGTGTATGTATGTCTCGATATTTAGTGAATTATTTCATCATGTTTTAAGTTATAAGTTGAATCTTTGGAAAAGACTGCAAAGTGTCCTCACCCTGTTTTAGTCGACTTTGGAGGTGGATGTTCCAGGGCCTTACATCACCTTAAAAGACTACCAGTTGGATTTAGACAAACCAGAGCTAAAATTGCCACATCGGGGTTTGTTAGCTGTCTGACCATGGGCAAGTCACTTAAGCTTCCAAAGCTTTGGTTCTCCATTTACAAATTGTTCCACCTCATGGAGCTTTATGAGGATAACAGGAGAGAGTAGGTGAAGGACTCAGCAGTATGCAGCACAGGGCAGGTGCTCAAGGGCCATCTGTTCTTCCCTTCCCTCTCCTGCCTTCCACTTCCTCCTGTCACTGCCTCACGGTCCCCTAGAAGTACCCTCCTTCACCCTTTCTTTTTGACACAGGATCTTGCTCTGTCACCCAGGCTGGAGTGCAGTGGTGTGATCAGAGCTCACTGCAGCCTCACCCTCCTAGGCTCAGCTGATCTTCCTGCTCAGCCTCCCAAGTAGCTTGGACTACAGGCGTGTACCACCATGCCCAGCTAATTTTTATTTTTATTTTTCGTAGAGATGGGGTCTCACTATGTTTCCCAGGCTGGTCTCAAACTCCTGGGCTCAAGCAATCCTCCCACCTGGGCCTCCCAAAGTGCTGGGATTACAGGTGTGAGCCACTGCTCCTGACCCCTCCTCCACCCTAACCTCAGCGTTCCTCCTCTCCACTCTCCTCCTGACTCATGCCCTATGATTTACCAGTGCGCTTTTTCTGCCTTTACTGGGAGGGCAGTTTACAGCTCAATTGTTGTCAATAGCATCCTACCTTAAATGTTAACCAAATGTTCAATGAATAAATGCCTGTACATGAGTGAATTAGAGGCAGGCTTATCATCTCCCTACTCCAAAGAAGTCATTACTATTTCTCTGACAGCAGTAACTAGCAACAGCTTTGCAAAATCAGAATTGGGGGCACAGTGGTGAATGGTAGCCCCTGAAGTGATAATAGAGCATGGTATTTTCAACCTTGATTATTCCTTTGAAGCATTTTGCCATGGCCCACTCACAAAATCCTTTCCCCAGATTTTTTTTTTTTTCCAAGACAGAGTCTTGCTCTGTCGCCCAGGCTGGAGTGCAATGGCGTGATCTTGGCTCACTGCAACCTCTGCCTCCTGGGTTCAAGCAATTCTCCTGCCTCAGCCTCCCGAGTAGCTGGGATTGCAGGCACCTGCCACCACGCCCAGCTAATTTTTTGTATTTTTAGCAGAGGCAGGGTTTCGCCATGTTGGCCAGGCTGGTCTTAAACTCCTGAATTCAGGTGATCCGCCCACCTCAGTCTCCCAAAGTGCTGGGATTACAGGTGTGAGCCACCGTGCCCCGCCCTTTCCCCAGATTCTATTGCTTGTTGTTTGGGAATGCAGCAGGACATAGAGGCGATGTCAAGAAACTGTTTCATCTCATCGAAGCTCTATTAGAAAGGCACTTGCATGAGAACTATTTTGACTACTTTGCTCCCCACTTTCCAAGGAAAGCATGAACTGTTGACTTGCAGATTTAGTGGTCCTTGGTTTAGGTTGTTGGGGATGGACTACAAGGCAGTGGGGGTGGTGACCTGAGGAAGTAAAGCTGCAGATGGAAAGGGAGCAGGAAGACCTTTGCTAACTCCTCCAAATCACTTATTTGTAGAGGAACTACTCTATTTTGCATTAAGTGTTTTGCTGTGAATTTTTGAGATAGCAGTCACACCCATATTTAAATGTAAGAATTAGAGTGTTTTCCAAAGACATACAGGCCAGGTCTCTTCCAGCTCCAAAAGCTATGATTTTACAAACACAAATATTGGGATAATAGGAACCATTGTTTCCACTTGGAATGCTCTTCCCGTGGAAAGCATTCATCTCTTTCTTATACAGACCTTTCTATCCTTCAAGGTCTAGCTCAGTTCTGTCTAACTTTTGTAATTCTTTGACTCTGGAATTTTTGGCAGTTAGTTAGATATGGCATTGTATGTTGAAGTGTAGTTCCTTAAACCTTTTGTCATTTAGGTGTTTTCACGTGTTTATGCCTCGGCCACCCACTAGGTCTTTACTCTTTAGGGCAAGGTGCCACCCATCTCCTGTACCCCTACAGATGGATGTAGTTCAGTGGTTCTCGACAGGTGCCTTGTAGCAGCAGGATCACCTGGGAACTAGTTACAAATGCGCTCATACCCACTGAAGTAGATAGAAAGTCTGGGGCCAGAGCTCAGCAGTCTGCCCTTTGACAAGCCCTGCTCGTGGCTGTGCTGTATGCTGACTTTTGAGAACCTTTAGTGTAGTGATAAGAGCAGGGGACTGAGGGTCTAAGAGACCTGGGTTTGAAGCCAGCTTCACCATTTACTCTCTGACTTTGGGAAAGTGAATTTGTCTGTCTTCTCTCCCCTTCTAGGGGTATTTTATGAACATTTATGATGCAGGATGTTAATGGGTACCCTAAGGGTTGGGGTGGGTGAGGGGCTCTGTGGCCAAATAAGTTGATGAAATGCTGCTTTGGCTAATTTAAATAGGATTCTTTTGGGCAAGACTTTTCAGATGCCTAAATATGTCATTGAAAGTCTCTGAGAGTCTCCGTGGATGTTGCAAACTTGCGAGACCCTGGAACACATTTTCTGCTGCATTCCTGCTAACTTTTCCGGGAACACACAGTGTTTTGTGGAACACATTTTGGGAAATGTTGGCTTAGCTAATCTAAGGGTGCTTTGAGCCTGGAGATTTTATGACCTTGTAAATCAGTGAGACATTTAGAAACTTCAAATACAGATTTAGTCAGACATGGTGCCAGAATCTATAATTTGGGTAAACCAGGCTTATAGAGACCAAGTTCAACATTGAGATGATATGGAAGTAATTAAACATTAGAGAGTAAAGGGTTATATTTTTAAAAGAAGTGAGTTTTTGTTAGGTAGAAAATGGCATATTAGGGGCAAGGTGGGGAAGATAAGGAAAGGAAAATGTCATTTACTGAGCGTTTTGGAGGCCTGGCAGAAAACATATGGCACATTTAAATCAGGTAATTTAAGGCGATTTTAATGAAGGAACTATTTATAAGGGGTGTGGGCAGAGCTTTGGAAAAGCATCGGCAATGACGAAGGACTTGATTCCTCTGTGTACCTAAGGTTTTACACGTATCACATTGTCATTGTCATAGCCCCAAAGCTGGTCTTATTATTTCATTCCTTGCAGAAGAGGAGTGAAGCCCAAAGAGGCAAAGCAAAATGCCCTTAGATAGGACCTGAAATGGAGGAGGCAGAACTCCACTCTGCCCTGTCCGGCCCCCAGCCTGCACCTCCTGGTTCACATTTCTTTAGGCTGAGCCTCCTTATTTCCTTCAGTCCTTCTCTATGTAATGAGGCTGAAAACATTGCTTTGTAGAAGCTCATATTTGGAGCTAGATGCGTTGCACTGAGCAATCAGTAGACAAGAGAAAATAGCACCTTAGGCAAATAAATACATTAATAATAAAAGAGTGCAGGTTCCATAAGTGGGAAAGAAAGAAAGATCATAAACACAAATTTTCATGTCTGGGTGAGTTGGGGCTGTGGAAATCTGTCATCCATTCTTTCCTAGGATCCATCCATCCTAGAAAATCTTTCTGGAGGAAGTGGGAACCATGTAAAGGACATGATGTGGCAGCTTAGCTTGTAGGGGCTGGGAAGAGGGAGAGGGAAAATTTTTCAGACAAGGGGGCACTGCTTGGGGAAGGCCTAGCAGTGAGAGTGGAAGGCAAGGGTGCTCCTTGCGTGGGTACCTTAACAAAATGGCAGTGTGGGCGGTTTGGAGAAAGGGTCACCATGGGATCTGAGGGGGCTGCTGAACTACCAGTTTTTATATCTGGGCCGTGCTGTTCCAGTGAAGTCTCTTTAGCCTAACACCTTTGTTAGAAGATGGTAAAGGGCTGGGCACGGTGGCTCACGCCTATAATACCAGCACTTTATGAGGCCGAGGCGGGTGGATCAGTTGAGGTTGGGAGTTCGCGACCAGCCAGAACAATATGGAGAAACCACATCTCTACTAAAAATACAAAATTAGCTGGGCCTGGTGGTGCATGCCTGTAATCCCAGCTACTCGGGAGGCCGAGGCAGGAGAATCGCTTGAACCAAGGAGGCGGAGGTTGTGGTGAGATGAGATCATGCCATTGCACTCCAGCCTGGGCAACAAGAGTGAAACTCTGCCTCAAAAAAAAAAAAAAAAAAAAAAAAAAAAGAAGATGGTAAAGGTTGAATTTTCTAAGAATTGATTTTGCTTCCTTTGGGAAGTTTCAGAGTATATGAATGCTCAGTTTCTCTTAAGCCCAAAGATAATTTAGAAGTCATGTTTCTGTGGAGGTTTCTTTCCCCATTGTGAGTTTAAATTTGGGGCGGCTTTTAATGCTCAATTAGAATACTTCTTATGGTTAAGTACTTTCTATTCCAAAAAACAAAAACACCTCTCAAATCCTCTGCACAAGACCTGCCTTTGAAAACATCTGGTAAAAATAACAAGTCACTTGGAAAACTGTGATTCTCAAATGGACCCCCGCCTCTTGGTTAGTGGGAAGTCACTGGGGTAAACCTTTATTTCCTGTTGCTTCCACACAGCCGGCCCTTCACGGAAATATTTCACATGTTTCCTCAGGCAGCAGGGAACCTTGAAGGGCAGACAGAGGGCTGGGGCCCCAGATAGGAACACAGTTGCTGTCTTTGCTCAATAGCGCCTCAGGGTGTGTGGAGAGCCAGCCTCTGCCTTTGAAGCTGGGCCGGCTCCCTGCCCCTAACTGCTGAAAACCCCAGCTCTCCCCAAGCCATGAGCAAGGCCCAAACTTGCCACACCTCTGGCTCTTTTTGCAAGAGAGATGTTTTAAAATAGTCTTAAATGTCAGACATATTTTTTTTCACAACATGCCTCAGACATCTCATAAATTATTCTGCAGTAAAACTTTAATAGGAATGCTTAGAAAATGAAGAGTTCTAGTCAATGGAGTTTTTGGTAACTTATACAACCGTTAACCCCAAATCACCCTACTTTTTCTACCCCAGAACTCATTGAAGAAAATAATTTAAAAATAGAGATGATTTTTCTGAACCCATGTTAGAGGCTGTCTTTGATGACTGAGGTCTTATGTTTCTTCATAATGCCATATGTTAGTTTGAACAACGTGATATTCCAATATTTGACTATTTTTTACTTTAAAAAGTTAATTTGAGATGGTTCAGTCTGATAATATGTAGGAAGTATAGGAGTTGGAGTTCAGTGTTTTCTGACCAGAATACACCGATAAAGTTGATTATTTTTTCTTAGAAAAAAAAAAAAAAAAGAAATCTGCGATATCCACCTTTCTTGCCATTTGCTTCCTTCTCTTGAATATGGGTAATTAAAGATTCTGGTTGCAGAATTTGCATGGTTGCTCAAGCTGTGTCTGCTGTCACATTGGCTCCACATTGGGGCTCTTACAAATATGTGTCACATCTATAGCTGTAGATCTAACGAGCTCTCTTTCGTGTGCACATGCTTCTGTACATGAGCCTGTGAGCCCTCCTTCCTTTTGTGGTTTTTCAGTGTTGTGGCTTAGATTTATTTCTATTTATAATGCTTACTGTCTTGATTTATTCAGTTACTAGTTCCTGAAAAGTTGGAATTTGGGAAGTTTTTTCTTTTTCTTTTTTTTTTTTTGGAGATGGAGTCTTGCTCTGTCGCCAGGCTGGAGTACAGTGGCGTGATCTTGGCTCACTGCAACCTCCACCTCCCGGGTTCAAGTGATTCTCCTGCCCCAGCCTCCTGAGTAGCTGGGATTACAGGCGCCTGCCACTACAGCCAGCTAATTTTTTGTATTTTTAGTAGAGACGGGGTTTCACCATGTTGGCCAGGCTGGTCTCGAACTCCTGACGTCGTGATTAGCCCACCTCGGCCTCCCAGTGTGCTGGGATTACAGGCGTGAGCCGCTGTGCCCGGCCAGAATTTTTTTTTTTTTCGAGTCTTGCACTGTTGCCCAGGCTGGAGTGCAGTAGCGTGATCTTGGCTCACTGCAACCTCCGCCTCTCGTGTTTAAGCGATTCTCCTGCCTCAGCCTCCCAAGTAGCTGGGATTACAGGCACCCACCAGCATGTCCAGCTAATTTTTTTGTATTTTTAGTAGATATGGGGTTTCACTATGTTCGTCAGGCTGATCTCAAACTCCTGACCTCGTGATCCGCCTGCCTCGGCCTCCCAAAGTGCTGGGATTACAGGCGTGAGCCACCACGCCCAGCCCAGAATTTTTAATTATTGGGACAGAGATAGATAATTTGAGCTGGGGCTGTCCTAACAAGTCTGGAATATGTGCTACATCACAGAATCATGATCATCAATGCCCAAAGTGGTGCTGCATAGATGCCTTTTTGCCCATAGGAAGATTCAATGATATTTAGATGCTAGCATACTTCGTTTCATGATATTTCTCATTCTTTAAAAATTGGACTTGCTAATTTACCAGTATATTTCATTATCTAGAACATTCCATTAACTCTATATTTGGCAAGTGTTTGAATTGAGAAGAAATTTCAAAAGTGAGGGTATATTTCCTAGTATCTTTTTTTTTTTTTTTTTTTGAGATGGAATCTCACTCTGTCGCCCAGGCTGGAGTGCAGTTGCGTGATCTCAGTTCACTGCAAGCTCTGCCTCCCGGGTTCACGCCATTCTCCTGCCTCAGCTTCCCGAGTAGCTGGGACTACAGGCACTCGCCACCACATCCGGCTAATTTTTTGTATTTTTAGTAGAGACGGGGTTTCACCGTGTTAGCCAGGATGGTCTCGATCTCCTGACCTCGTGATCCGCCCTCCTCGGCCTCCCACAGTGCTAGGATTATAGGCATGAGCCACCACGCCTGGCCTCTTTTGCCTTTTTATGTGAAATCAAAGCAACAAAATTGTCTCTTGCCCCTTTACTTCATCCAAGGCACCGTGTTAAAATTCAGAAGGTGTATTTGCAGTGACTAAAGAATTTTGCTTCTCTTTAAATGTGACACTAGCATGACGTTCTCCTTACCATTTGGTCTGTAGGAAGGCAAAGCTAGCTATCTGTGACTTGACTCAGGACAGCATCCTTTGGGGGAAACGGTGCTGTGTTGAAAGGTAGAGCCCTTGTTTCATTCCTGTCCAGGTCCCAAGCTCACTCTGACTTTGTGGGTAGATCTGAGTTTGTGGGTAGACTTTTTCCTTTTCCACCTGGACTGCTTCCTCTTCTATACAGTGAAGATGTCAAACTAGATCATTTCTAAGGTCTTTCACAACACAGTAAACCCAACAGTGTTTTTTATTGACTACTTTCCACTTCACAGGGTCCTGAGATAGTTCCAACTGTTAAGAGAGCATTTCACACCTGGGTGTTTTCAGAGGTCCCTCATAGATAAGTAAACCAAGAAAACATGTTTGTTGGCCATTCTGCAAGAGCAGAGAGAATGCCAGAGTGTGCAGAGTATTCAGCCCTTCCTTCAGAGAGTTATGCGTGGCTTGGAGAAGAATAAATGATACGGGACCTGTCACATGTGTGGGACAAAGAGTGGGCTAGACAGCGAGCACCCTGAGTGACAGCTGTTGTTTATCAAACACTTGCACCATCCCCGACTCTGCCAGGTGCTTTTAATTGCTTTACCTATAATATCCTAATCAAGCCTTGTAGTAACCACATGAGAGGAGTGCCCTGTTTACCCTGTTTTACAGATGAAGACACCAAGATAATTTGCCCAAGTTTCCATAGCCAGTAAGTGGTGGAGCTGGTACCTGAATTTGAGCCTTTTTTTTTTTTCTTTTTTTTTTTTTAAGACAGAGTCTCGCTCTGTCTCCCAGGCTGGAGTGCAGTGGCGCCATCTCTGCTCACTTCATCCTCCGCTTCCCGGGTTCGAGTGATTCCCATTCCTCAGTTTCCCAAGTAGCTGAGATTACAGGCACGTGCCACCTTGCCTGGCTAATTTTTGTATTTTTAGTAGAGGTGGGGTTTTGCCATGTTGGCCAGGCTTGTCTTGACCTCTAGTGATCCTCCCACCTCGGCCTCCCAAAGTGCTGGGATTACAGGCGTGATCCACTGCCCCTGCCTGAGCCTACATTCTTAATTGCCTTGCCTCTAAGAAAAAAGATGAAGGCACAGACAGAGAGAAGAAACAGGACTCTCTTGTTAAAGGAAAGCATGGAATTGCCAGGGGTTAACAATGGCAGGAGAACGGGACATTTGTGACCATGGGCTACTTAGGTGGACCCATTTCCTGATGGTTCTCTCACCTTGGTTACCTGTCACTGCCTTGTGGGCCCTGGGGGACACTGCCTCTCTATTAAGACTCTGGCTCAAGCTTGGCCAGAAAAACCTCCTGCCACCCCTCCTCCAGCACTCTGCCAGTGCTAAAAAGAGCCTTGTGTTTACTGGAACTTGGGATATCTTTTCCACTTGAGTTGACCAGAGCCAAGTCAAGGTAGTAAACAGCTGGACTGAAACAGCCATTTGGGATTGGAGGGTGACCCCAATAGTATAACTATACAAAGGCTTTAAAAATCCCTTTCCAAATTTTCCAAAACTTGGTTTTACTTTAAACTGGTATTTTCCTTTTAATGCCTCCATTTGCAGAACCAAAAATTCTCAGTTTTGGAATTTGTGCTGTGAAAGGGTCAGAGTGAACAATGTGAAGCATCCTCATT
Organism: Homo sapiens; assembly: GCF_000001405.40. Classification (NCBI taxonomy): domain Eukaryota; kingdom Metazoa; phylum Chordata; class Mammalia; order Primates; family Hominidae; genus Homo; species Homo sapiens. The sequence goes on along the minus strand of NC_000010.11, from coordinate 95,463,451 downwards.
AGCTCTGTTTATTTCTTGGATGGAAGGGATCACTTGTATCTGCTCATGGGGCTCAGGACAAACTTCTGTTCACTGTCACTCTCTCAGCAGCCATCATCAGTGGGACACTGGCCAGGCATCACATGGCTTAAAAAAAAAATCAGTGTCTTGCTTTTAAGCACCCTCTGTGCGTTGGATTATAAGACCACTGCCTCCTTGAGGGGCAGTGATGATATTCATCTCCATAGCCTGGCACTGAGCACAGCATGTGGTACCAAGGAGACACTCCATGAGCACTTGGCATATTTGTTGAGCACATTCTTTTAATCACCATGCAAACAAATGCAATGGAAAGATGTTTTTAAAATGAGGTGAGTACAAGGAAGGGAAATGCATTGCAAGGCACAGCTTTGTAGTATGAGGCATGATAGTTCTTAAGAGCCCTGGGATTTAGGGTGGGATAGATTGGGTTATACATCACAATTCCACCACTTAATGGTAGGGTGACCCTAGAGAAGACACTGGATCATTGCCTCCTTTCTAAATTGGTAACAGTGCCTACATGATAAGGCTACTAGGATTAAATGAGATATTGTATGTAATGTGCTAAGCATGAGGGGAGGCTCTTGATGATAACAATAGGGTTTTTTTTCCCTAGCAATAAATACATCAAATTTAGCTGCCCTTCAAAAGAAGTGGGAAGGAGAACTTGTGTATATGCCCCCTCCCTGACCAAAGAAAAAAAGTTTGCATGTTGCACAGTGGTATAATACTGAATGTTTTGCAATTACCTGGATCAGAGGCAAGTTCAGCAGGATATGAGTGGTCGTTGTGGAAATGTAGTTCAACAGATTTCTGAAGTCTGGAAAACTCTTTATATAGAAAACATGCAGAATTAGAACCATATTTCAAAGCTTTTATAGCAAGAAGAAAAATACTTATGAGACAATACTATACATATACTGTGAACGTAACCAGATAATATAAAGAAAGATTACAGGGAAATTCAGCAAATAATGAGATTGTGTTAGGGTGGTGACATTATAGATCTTTTTATTTCATTTTCAGATGTTTAGTTGTGTGCTTATATTTCTTTTGTAGTTTAAAAAACGCTTTCAAAAATAAAACCTATTCAAAAAAAGCTTCACTCTTGAAATGAGTTGAAAAAGAGTCTTCTTACAAAAAGTTTGATACTTGAATGGCTGCCTTTGAATTTTTTAGTTTTAATTGCTTTTCCAATTGTTTTCTTTAAGAAACTTTTTCTGTTGCTGAATAATCATAAAGACTATACTTAGTGAAAACACATCGAGAAGTTGGAATTTAAGAGTTTGATGCAAAATGGAAATTTTCCTTTGAAAATAATGTGATAGGATAAAGTATTAATGGACTATTAGAGATCAAAGCCTGTCTAATTAAAAAGTAAACACTTGCTCTTTAGATGGCATCACAGATGTGTCAAATATATCCATTTTTTAAGTTATAGTCATTTTATGGATTATGATATGAAATAGTCTTAAAGGTAGGGTGCATTTCAATTCTTTGCTTTCCTAAACATCCAGGCTTAGAAATATTTAAGTTAATGGATGAGCATAGTCCTAGTAAACTTCTCACTCGGAAACCCTGTGCCAGACTGTGTGCAGATGGGGCAGCAGTCATGACTGGCAGGCCCAGCAAGTGGAATCACATTTGCACATTGTTTTATTCACTGTGAACATTTTTGCAGGAAAAAAAGGAAAAACTGTCTCCCTGCTTAATGCAATTCTGACGCGATCAGTACAAATTATAAATTACATTTAAAGTGATGGTACAAATTAGTGAACATTTCCAGCTTTGTGTGACAGTTTGGGGTTGAGCATCAGCGTTTAATACTTGGTGTTGCCGTCACTTGGTTGTATTGACCAACATTTCTCAAAGTATAGCCCTAAATGACATCTGCCAGAAATGCAAATTCCAGGGCCCCCTTGGAACTTCAGAATCAGCATATCTGGCTGCAGAACTTGTAATCCGCATTTTAAATAAGTGCCTCCCCAGGTGATCCATGTAAAGCAGTTTTGTTGAGGCCCTCTAGTACATACAGTGGGAACGTTTGCAAAGATTATTTGTTATCTCAATTTAAGATACTTATTTTTAAATCCAGAGAATACAAATGTATAATGAAAGTTTGAGAGCAAAGCTGACTGATTTTGGGTCCATATTTTTACTTATGAGTGAGATTTGAGACTTCAAGGCACTGTGGGTAGTGTCTTCAATTTGTGCAATAAAATTAATTTTCAAAGTACAAGTTAGAAATTTAGTTGAAGGGCACATGTGAGAATAATTTTAAAATGCTCTTGCTGTTTTTCCGAATTCTCCAACTCATCAGAGTTGACTTAGAACAGCATTGCAAGTAGTCATTTAAAATACTTTCTCAATATCAATAAGAAAACTTGCATTTGAGAAAATCTCTGATTATTAAATCATTTGTGAATTCATAAAACAGTAAATTTGGAGAAAAAGGGACGAAGACAGAGACCCAATGTTATATCAAGGATTATAACTAATATTTAGTTCAATAATTATCATTGGGGGTAAAAGTAAAGATAATATTCATTCAGTTATCTGCAAAAGAGATGATGATGGTTTTATTAGGGTCTTCCAACCACATACTTACATGAAGCAGCATTTTTGGCCTTTAAAGTAAAGAAATCAAAGCCAAAAAGGGGTCAGTTTGTTTCTGGCTGTACTCTGTATAAAGTTATTAATTTTTTTTTTTTTTTTTTTTGAGACAGGGTCTTGCTCTGTCTCCCAGGCTGGAGTGCAGTGGTGGAATCACAGCTCACTGCAGCCTCGACGTCCTGGGCTCAAGCGATCCTCCCACTTTAGCCTCCTGAGTAGGTAGGACTACAGGCACACACCACCACGCCCGACTAATTATTGTATTTTTTGTAGAGTTGGGGTTTCACCATGTTGCCCAGGCTGGTCGCAAACTCCTGAGCTCAAGTGGTTCACCCGCTTCGTCCTCCCAAAGTGCTGGGATTATAGGTATGAGCCACCACGACTGGCCTAAAGATATTTTTAAGGGACTGACAATTGGGATTAGAGAGAAGCAATCACTTTGAATATCTTAAAACTTCTTTGAGTTTAAAAGTGATCTCACATAATGTATCTGTGCTTAAATATAATTTCTTAATGTCACTTGTGTAGACTTCAGTGATAGAAGAAATAAGATTTAAATAAAACTTTAACCCTCTGTTTAGTGAATAAATTTATATGTATATTTTTATCTTTATAATTTTAATGATTCTTGTAACGAATTGGTGTTTCTTTTTCCCCTGCTGAAACAATGTTTGGGCTGGGACACATTGGTCTCCTTTTCATCCCCTCTGTTTTGCTTGTCTTTGGGGACTCCTCACCCCTGTGTCTCATTCTCCTCCATCTCCTGTCCCTCCTTGGCAGCAATGGGGTCAAGGAGACTGAATGTGGACCTGACACATCCTACAGAGAAACCACACTTTGTTTCCAGGCAGGATCAGAAGTACTTGACTAGGCAGCATTTTGGTTTTGCAGTTCCGAGGCAACCCCAACGCTGCAAAGGCATCTTCACATTGGAAGAGGCACACTCGAAGGATGATTTCCTTATCTTCCTGGCAGTTGCCTGAAATCTCCCTTCTAGCACTGTGATCTATGAGCTCTCACGCACTCAATTTATTTTCTTTGCTAGGAATTGCTAGAGCCATGGCTGGGTCACCCTTTGCTTTCCTGGCAGCTGGCTTCACTCTGAACTTAATGAGGTTGCAGAGCTGAGGGGCCACGGAAGGGTTTCCCCCGTTGAAAGGACTCTGCTGCTTGTCCCTATTAAAAGAGTAAATGCTGACTGCTGGGTGACTCCAAGGAAGGGCTTTTCCAGCCAGTTTCCATGTGGTCAGTGTCTAGGGCACATTCCGGAGCCCGCCTGCTCCTCCTTTTCTTCTCTTTGGACTTTAGTGTAACCAGCAGTGAACAAGGAATGTATTTTAAATGACATGTAGATGTAACTTTTGGAGTCGCTGGGATTTTCTGTCCCTATCCACTGGTCCATTTATCAAAGTCTGTTGGCAAACTTGTGTAGCCATCCCGGATTTCATGCTACCTAAGGCCTCCCTGCACCTGATTCTCTGCATTTGAGCTTGCTGGTTAGTTGTTAGAGCTGCGATATTAGCAGAGGGGAATTTGAAATGCTTCATTACCATTCTGAGAGTTCAAGTGTTTTTTATTTCTGTTTTTAGTAAGTGCTTAAAACACATATTTTAGTTTTTTTCCCTTACAATCTAGTGTATAAAAATCTTTTAAACTTAGGCTTCACATTCTTACAGAAGAAAAAGCTTATTTATTTTTGTACTTTTATTATTAAACAGATAGGAAAAAAGTCTACAATTACATGCTTCTTAAGCTGGATTTCCTCCAGAAGTGTAATATATTCACCAAACTCCACAAATACCAGAGCTCCCTTTAAGCATATTGGGAACCAACCCAAGAGTTCTAAAGTTACGTTTTTCCTGAAGGATTTTTGTTGCATACTTGGAAAAAAAAAAAAAAGGTGCAGGGGAGGTGAGGTGGGGATTCTTGTATGGGACCTTTATCCTTTCCCCCATCTCTATAGTCTTCTTAACATGCCCTCTGTCAGACTTTTTGATGGTTTGCTCTCTAGATATTCAAGATATAAATTTAAACAGTGAGATCCACTATTCAATGCCCCACATTTAGTTCACATTTAGTGAACTTTTACTGAATGAATGAGCTCAGAAGCACCAAAGGACATTTGTTTGTGGACTTGCTTTAAGTTAAGGATTTTTTTTCTTTTTCTTTCTTTTTTTTTTTTTTTTTAGGAGAAAGCTGACCTGAGCAAGGTGGTGCATGCCTGTAGTCTCAGCTACTTGGGAGGCTGTGGCAGGAGGATCACTTGAGGCCAGGAGTTCAAGGCTAACCTGGGCAACATAACAAAGCCCTTTTCTCTAGATAGCTAGATAGCAATTTATGCGCCAACTCAGTACTTGTATATATGACTTTAGTTTTAGAGACACTTGGACCTATATAAATGTTAAGAAACCTTAGATTTTAATTCTCAACTGCTGGCTTTTCCTTTTTAAGAGAGGAAGGGAATGCCACAATGAAATTTTAAAAGCAATTTAGAAATATTTGAGTGCCCTCGTGAATGAACAAACATCATACAAGCACACATAGATGACTGTCTTCAGGGAGTGTAACATCTAGAAAGCAGAGCAGGACTACAGACATAGTAATTGTAACATCTCCTGCTGACATGGCTTGCCCCTTGTCCTGTTGGAAGGGCTTGGCAGGATGAGAGTTATTTGTTTTAGGGAGGACGTGTACCTGGACATTGCATTTTCTCATCTCAGTGTATTGATCAGGACTGTAAAGCCCATGACATTTGGAAACTGTGTTTTTTTCCAGCCCTGAAATGCTTTTTTTTCTTTTTTGGTAGGGATATTTTATTCTTTTATAGACTTAGGGGTACAAGTACAGTTGTATTACATGGATATATTACATAGTGGTGAAGTCTCTAGCCTTGAAATTCTATGATGCTCTGAGTCCTTTGGCCTCATGAAACATTCTTAAAGATGATATTGCCTTGTTTTTGTTCTTGTTTTTTTGAGATTGAACTCAATTACTGGCCTGTTTAGCAGACAGCCAAGGGCACTGCTGTCCTGTCGCCTGTAAAGTTCTGCACAAATGCAGGGTGCTGGATGGAGTCACTACAAGCTTTGTGTTGAGTTTTCTCTGCCCAAGGCAAAAGCCTTCATTCCTGGCAATGCCCTTGTCTCCATGCAGGGTCCAGTACATTGTTGTTAAAGTAAAACAGTGACTAACTAGAGCCTTTTATTAACCAGGATTCCACTTCTGACTCTTCTCACACTTCATTTTTGGAGTTAGAACAGGATAAATAAACAAATTATGTCAATAGGTGACCATTTACTGAGTTCTTCCTGTGTGTCAAGCACTGTGCTATGTGGGTAAATGGTTATCTCGATTAATCCTCACAACAGGGAGGTTAGTGCTGCTTTTATTCCCGTTTTGCATGTAGGGAAGCTGTACAGTGGTAGCGTCACTGCCTGAGCACCTAGAATTCTTTGCTAACAGGGTTGTGTGTGAATAATTTAATTCGTCTCTTAAGATCTCAACACACTCCCTCCCTGGCCCCTGCTGTAAACATCCTACACTGATTGGAATAGAATACATAGTTCTTTTCTTCCAACATGGTGTGTTCTATTGATACAAGTTGTGAATTGTGGCGACAAGGCCATTTTGTATTGAGAACCATTCTCTTTAACATTTGTTAGTTTGGAAATGCTAAACATCCCTAACTCTGTCACCTTTTATTCCATTGTAGTGGTTGATATCGTAGTGTCTTTATTTAGTTATAATAAGCGTCTTTGAGTTCTAAAGGATTTTTCGACACCTTTTATTTTCTGATAATTTTATCTTGTCATCCACCAAGGCAATTGGGCAGAAAAAAAGCTTCACTGTGGACAAAAGTGGCAAAATGTGATTTAGGGAGTGTACTCAGAAAATCAGATTCTCTCTCAGCAGTAGTTTTTGCTACCCATAAGCAAGAGAATACAAATGTAGAAACTGTCACCTATGATTGCTGCCAGCAAGGCTTCTATGGAGTTTTCACAGCCAAATGAGCAGAACAAGTTTGCTGGGAGCTCCTCTCCTGGGCAGAGAGGGTATATATGGTTGAGGCGTATTTCTTTTTTTTTTTTTGGTCTTATAAAAAGCACTGGGCACCACTGCCCCTCTTGTGGCCCAACCCGCTCACAGGCAGTCAGCCTGCATGCTCTCTCTGCCCCAGGGCCCCACCTCTACAGTGCATTCTGCCTGCTTCAGCTGGATCAATCACTGTCTTAACTTGTTTCTTGCTGCATAACAGAATACCACAGACTGGGTAATTTATGAAGAGTAGAAGTTTGTTTGGCTCGCAGTTCTGGAGGCTGGGAAGTCCTAGATTATGGAGGGGTCGCATCTGGTGAGGGCCCTCTTGCTGCATCATAACATGGTGGACTCATCCTTTTATGAGGAGCCCACTCTGGCAGTAACTAACCCACTCTCTTGATAATGACAGTAATCTATTCATGAGGGCAGAGGCTTTATGAGCTAATCACCTCTTAAAGGTCTACCTCTTAATATTATCACAATGGCAACTAGATTTCAACATGAGCCCTGGAGGAGACCTTCAAACCTTTGCAATCTTGAATTTGAAAACTTCTCTTCTGCAGAACTCTCCTTGGTTTCATGGCCCAACAGAATGTCATTGCCTGGTATTCAAGGCCATTTTGTGGTCTGTGTACACCATCTACATAATGTTATTTCCATATACTCTGCAATACAAACCCTTTGCATTAACTGAATTGGACTTGGGTCTATTCTGTGTGTGTTCTGTGCTATGTTCTAAACATTACCTATGTGAGAATTGCTTTGGAAACTCTAGACACTTTGTGAGGAAAACAGTTTGTTAAAAGCAGAAGACATGGTAGACAAGTTTTTGTTTGTTTGTTTTGAGACAGGGTCTCATTCTGCTACCCATGCTGGAGTGCAATGGTAGAATCATGGCTCACTGCAGCCTCGACCACCCAGGCTCAAAATCAGTCCCCCTGCGTCAGCCTCCTGAGTAGCTGGGATTACACGCATACGGCACCATGCCTGGCTAATTTTTATACTTTTGTAGAGATGGGGTTTCAACGTGTTGCTTAGGCTGGTCTCAAACTCCTGGGCTCAAGCGATCCACCCACCTCGATCTCCCAAAGTGCTGGGATTACAGGCATGAGCTGCCACACGCAATGTGGAAGACGGGTTCTGTATATCCTGGAGGAAGTGGTAAAGTTAAAAAAAAAGTTTTACATGTAAATGAAGTGATACCTAGCCAGTAACATCCATGAGTATTAACTGTGGGGAGAAAGAGGAGACTAGTTACTTTACTTCTTATGGAAAGTTATGAGAAGATTGTGCTCTTGGGGAAAGACCGGACATGTCACCTCATGAGGGAGAGAAAGGTGCTGTAAGCTCTTCAAAGGAGCACTGACCGAGACTGTTCTTTTAATTAGCTTGAAAAGACTCACCTCTCTATGGTGGGAATAGAACATCTGCTGCTACTCAGAGAAACCACGTGAGGAGAAAGTGGTTCTGACCCCCGCCCCAGATGCTATTGATGATGAGGATCATGCTGAAAGCAGCTAAAATTTATTAAGCATTTTCCAACGTTGTAATAGGCACTGGATGTACTGAATCTTATTTAATCTTCACCATAATGCTATGAGATTGATGGCTGTTATTATTCCCATTTTATAGATGAGGAAACTGAGGCTTAGCAAGGTTAACTGACTAACCACAGAAGACACATCTAGTAAGCGTCAGAACAGCAACTCAAATCCAAGTTATACTAAGTCTAGGTATGTTGGTGGGTGTTGTTGCTTCCTAAAGTCTGTTAGAAAATTCTGTAGGTGATCTTATTCCCTTTTAACTTCCCCTAATGAAGATTTTCTATAAAGAAATTGATATCATGAGAACTATGGGCTATTTGGTGCTTTTGTCAGCATGTGCCTGGGTGTTTCCCAGGTAAGTTGTGAAGCTTGGCATTCTCTTAGCTGGAAGATTCCTGCAGTAGAGGGCAGTCCATGGATACTCTTCCATGCTGTTTGTAGTGGCTCATCAGGGTTTCAAGGGTTAGCCTTATCTCTCCAATTAGAATATAAAGTCTCTGAGGGCAAGCACCATCTCTTATCTTGATTGATAACTTCAATAATTTTATTGCCACAGCTGGATGAAAAAGCACCCAAAGAGGATCCGTTTGTCTTTGTTTTAGGTCTGTATATTCTCCAAGCAACCTTTGTACACAAGAGCATCTTGCTGCAGGCAGGGACTGTTTTGTGTCTCCTTGGCTGGGTTCATGTGGCAAAGTGGAAGGAGCCTGGGTTGAGGAGCCGGAGCCAGGACCTGTATTCCAGCCTTCCCGCTTGCTTCTGCAAGACTTTTCAATGAGCCTTCTAACTTTTACTGAAGCTCAGTTTCTCCATTGGCAGAATAGGTGTAGAAACCTTACTAGGTGTTCTGAGGATTAAAAATGACATGATGTGTCAAGTGGCTGGTTCACAGTGAGCATTTAGGAAATGAAGAGATGGTTCTCCTCTGCTTCTGTAGTGTGAGCACAGGGCCTTGCACAGAATGCATACACAATCAGTGTGTTTTGATAATAATGGTTTGGTTCTTTGGCACCTGAACCTAAGGAGGGAGCAACTGTGAAGGCTTTTAAAACATGATGCTTTTTTATCAAGAATGTCCTTCATTGCCAGACTTGGCATAGGAAGGCAGACCTGGAAACTGACTGTTTGGTTCTTGAATCCTGCTTCAGTTCATAAAACCTGATGTTTGGTACAGGTAAGTATTGGTAATATCAACCTCATAATCAGATATACAATGATCACATTCATTAGTCTGTTAATAAACAAAGGATAACAAAGAATAGACCCAATACCTTTGCTAGAATACTTTTCCTTTTATAACACAACAATTTACAGTGTTTCATATATACAGTTATCTGTCAGTATGCTATAGAGATTGGTCCAGGACCCCACGTATACCCAAATCTGAGCAGACTTATGTCCTGCAGCGGGCCCTGCAGTACTCACATATAGGAAAAGTTGGCCATCCACATACGCAGCTTCCACATCCTACAAATGCTATATTTTTGATCCAAGTTTGGTTGAAAAAAATCTACATATAAGTGGACCCTCACAGCTCAAATGTGTGTTGTTCAAGGGTCAACTGTATTTTAAAATTTAATCTTAAGAACAACTTAATGGGCTGGGCACGGTGGCTCATGCCTGTGATCCCAGCACTTTGGGAGGCCGAGGCGGGTGGATCACCTGAGGTCAGGAGTTCGAGACCAGCCTGGCCAACATGGTGAAACCCTGTCTCTACTAAAAATACAAAAACTAGCCAGGCGTGGTGGCATGCACCTGTAATCCCAGCTACTAGGGAGGCTGAGGTAGCTGAATTGCTTGAACGTGGGAGGCGGAGGTTGCAGTGAGCCAAGATCGTGCCATTATACTCCAGCCTGGGCAACAGAGCAAGACTCCATCTCAAAAACAAAACAAAACAAAACAAAAAACAATTAATGTAAGTAGGTTTTTTGCTTTTGTTTTTGTTTTTTTGAGACAGAGTCTTACTCTGTCACCTAGGCTGGACTGCAGTAGCACAATCTTGGTTCACTGCAACCTCTGCCTCCCAGATTCAAGAGATTCTCATGCCTCAGCCTCCCAAGTAGCTGGGACTACAGGCATGCACCACAACACCCGGCTAATTTTTGTATTTTTAGTAGAGACAGGGTTTCACCATGTTGTCCAGGCTGGTCTCAAACACCTGACCTCAAGTAATCCGCCTGCCTTGGCCTCTCATAGTGCTGGGATTATAGGTGTGAGCCACCATGCCCGGACTAAAGTAGTATTTTTAATTTCCTTTTATGGATGAGTAAACCGAGGCTGACAAATTAAGGGACTTCTCAATTTGCACAGCCCTGCCAAAGTTTGGATTCAAATTGAGTTCTTCTTACCCGGCTTTTTGTTGCTTTCCTGCAGCCACCAGGCACATATACAACTCAAGTCAGAAGTGTGTGCCAGATGCCAACTGAGCCAGAGTCCTTGTAAGCCTATAATATAGGCAAATTGTGTGTGTGTGTGTTTATATGTGTGTTTGTGTAAATATAAACACAGAGAGACTAATTTTTATATATTAATATATAAATGTATAATGCCAACCTATTTCTAGGTAGTCTGGAAGACAATATAGATTTAAAAAAATACTTTCATTGAATTTTTGCTGTGAGCTTGATATTATGTTGAATGTTTTAGTGGTTTTATCTTGGTTTGAAGAAAACTCATTACAGAAATTTGTATTGTAATTTCAGTGGTTGGATGTTGTGCTTTTATACCTGATATATTCAAAAATTGCCTAAAATTAGGGTAAAAATAAACAAGGATAGATAAAAGTAGCTAATGTGATATGTTCACTGGATGAGTGATGGGAGCCAAGGTCTTGCATTTATTACAGTGAGGTGCTAATGATCTGATTTGGTCCATGGCCTCAGAGCCTGTGCTCAGGGCTTATTGATTTTGGGCCTGTATATATGTGTTCCACCTCAGTTGTTAAACAAATGCCACCGAGAAGAGAGGTTTTCTCAGAAAAGATGGTGTTTGCAGTGTTTTATATTACCTTTTTGGTAGGTTAGTATATATTCAGTTACAAGTTCAAAACTTCTTAAGGAAAATAAGCAATTCCTGAACAAGCCAGTATTATGAACTGAAGTATTTAAGTTATGTGTTTGCTAAAGACCCAAAGTCTTTTTACTGAATGGAGCCTCTGTTCCCTCATTCCTGAGCATGGTATGGGTCTGTACTGCAGATGTCTGTATAATATATGATGTGGTAAATACATAGCCTCAGGGATTTTGTGGTTTAAAAGGAAAGTTGAGAGGGAACTGTGGACTGTCTGTAAGAGCAGAGACCTCTCCTGCCATATCAAACCCACCCTGCTTTCCCATTTTCAAGCTCTAACAGACTGCTTTTCAGCTTTTTAACATTTTTTTTCCCAGCCATACACAGTACTTCTTCATCTCGTTTACCTATATTGTGGACTATGGCCCTACCTTGATTCTCCTGAGAATCCAAAATGCTTTCATTCATGGCCTCTCACTGGTAGACATTGTATAGCGACTGCTTCAGAAGAAAAATGGCTCTGTGTCCTGGGCTTGTGTTTATTATTTTGAGGTTATATATTTATGATTTAAACAGAGTTAAGATGTCTTGCTTTTATCTCATGAATTTCGGAATCTGCCCTATTTTGAGTTATCTGGATTGTCTAAGGAGAAGGCTCCAAATGTGCTGAATGCCACAATTAGACAGCTTTGTTTTGGTTCTGTAGACACAACCATATTTGGGAAACACGAATAGGCTAGTTTTTGCATTTAAGACTTGTCTTGGTTAACTGCGTATTTTAGAAACTGTGTGTGCCCAGAGTTTTACATATAAAGGATTTGAGAAGGAGTTCAGGGCTCTGGAATGCCATGAAGCTGGGTTAGAAGCAGGGACTTGGCAGTGAGCAGGCACTGGGAGCAATGGGGGTAGTTTGTGTGTTGTCACCTGGCAGCTCCTGCTGACTATTTTAAGATGAAATGTTTTGGTGCGATTGCTTCTTTAGGAAATCTGGCTGAACAGTCGAGTCCGTTTATTGCCCCCTTCATCCTCCTGAGGAACTTCATGGGAGTAGTTTGGCTTTCATTAAACAAAAGCAGTCACTGATGGTGAATGTTAGAATCCCACAAGTTCCGTGGAAGATGGCATCAGGTGGCTCTGCCATGTTCTAATGGACATGACTGTCAGTGGCATTTTTAGCTTGTCTCCTAGAATTTTTTCTTTCAGGTTCTAAATATTACACAATTGCATATCAAATGTCACGTAGGAGCTAAAAAGGATATTTGTCATTAGCAAAGAAATGTATTATAAGCACATTATAAACAGTTTAGAAAATAGAAAAAAGAAGTTACCCATAATTCTATGCTACCACAATCACTATTAGAATTTGGATATATTTTCTTTTTACTATATACATGCGTTTTGCCTATTATATAATTATAACCACAGAGCCGGGCACAGTGGCTCATGCTTGTAATCCCAGCACTTTGGGAGGCTGAGGCAGGCAGATCACTTGAGGTCAAGAGTTTGAGACTAGCCTGGCCAACATGGTGAAACCCTGTCTCTACTAAAAATACAAAAATTAGCCAGGCGTGGTGGTGTGTGCGTGTAGTCCTAGCTACTCAGGAGGCTGAGGCAGGAGGATCGCTTGAACCCAGGAGGCAGAGGTTGCAGTGAGCAGAGATCGTGCCACTGCACTCCGCCTAGGCAACAGAGTGAGACTCCATCTCAAAAAAAAAAAAAATTGTAATCACAAATGTCACACAGACTTATACCCTGCTGTAGTCACCTAATCTTACGAGAAGTCTTTTCCCATGTTGTATGGTCTATGTTAGTTATTCTCATAACTGTTCAACAGTCCCCACAGTGGGTATGTGGTCAGGTAATTAGCCCCTGTGTTATTGAACACCAGAGGATTTCAAGGCTTTCACTATTACTAATAAAGCTATGGTAAACATCTCTGTATGTATAGCATTATTGTCATTCAAGCTTCTTTCTTTAGACTAGATTCTCCTAAAGCACAGGGATACGAGGTGCATAGCTCTTGGTGTGTATTGCTGAAGATAATGATAAAAATGTAGTGTCATTGGCTGTGTAGGAAAAAGCCAATGTCTTTGCATTTGCCCACATTGTTAGTTTTAAAAAATTTTTGGACTAATATAAGAAGTAGAAAAAATGGTTAGTCATTATTTTAATATATTTTTTAACTAGTTGGGTTAAGTAAACGTTTTCTCATAGATTTGTTTATTATTTGCATTTTGTCTTCTGGGAATCATTTCTTCACGTATCTAAAAATATTTTTCTTGGCAATTAGTATGATTACATTAGATTAAGGATATTAACCCGTCTATCTTGTTTGCTGCAAGCCATGCATTTTAATATGTTAGACAATGTAATATATAATTACAAATTATCCCCTAAATTCTGTTGTTTGAAGCACAAATAATACTGCATTTATAAGACTTGAAACTGTTTGGGGGGCTGAATTTGCTTATTGGGTTGGAAGTCAACATTTTATATTTATTTAAAAGCTCCACTCAAGTATAAAAGGTAAAAAAAAAAATGATTGCAGATTTATTGGTGGTGAATGTTCTAGCTCCAGATCTGCCCCTTCTCTGGCATGGACCTGGAACGAGAGTTTGATATTGGTAGTGGAGTTTGGGCATGGGCTTTCTGAATATTGTGATCATAAATAGGTCTTATTAAAATGAGTTCTTGGCTGGGTGTGGTGGCTCACGCCTGTAAATCCCAGCACTTTGGGAGGCCGAGGCGGGTGGATCACTTGAGGTCAGGAGTTCAAGACCAGCCTGGCCAACATGGTGAAACCCCATCTTTACTAAAAATACAAAAAGTAGTCAAGGTGGCACGTGCTTATAATCCCAGCTACTTAGGAGACTGAGGCACGAGAATCACTTGAACCCAGGGGGTGGAGGTTGCAGTGAACCGAGATTGTGCCACTGCACTCCAGCCTGGATGAGGGGGCAAGACTCTGTCTCCAAAATAAAAGAGTTCTTCATCTTCATGACTTTTAATAGGGATCAAAACCAAAACTATTTCTAGCCAGTGTAACTACAGAAAATAAAATAAAATAAAAAGTAGATGAAAATAAAAACCTTTAGTTTTTGTTGGGCCAATGCATCTGGCTATTGGGATTGGCCTTAAATTTGGGGAGATGAGGGAAAGGGCATTAGTGGGAAGCAACAAGGTTAAAGGCTTAGAAATGGGAACTCTTGTCAGAATTCAGTAGGAATAGCAAGTGTGGTACATGTGGAGTTTAGGGCTCATGGGAGGATGTGAGGGAGATGAGACTGGAAAAATAACTGGGACATGATCCTGCAGGGTCTTATGGCACATTAAATTAGGACTTGAATTTTTAGATCAGTGTTTCCAAAAGTGTGACATTTGAGGTGATTTTAGAAGGTATGTCATTGAACATTGGAAAATTTTGGTATTTATTCATTCCTTATTCTCTCTGTCATGCAGAATTTATTCCTTTTCCTTTTGTGCTCCCATGACACTTAAGCCAGATTGCTAGCAGAAGGGTTATCCCATTGTACTATATTTAAATGGACCACATCTGCCACCCTACAGCCCTGTGTTGGCCTCAAAGACAGCAATCCTGTCTGATCATGTTGGTCTCCCCTGGGCCAAGCACTTTCCTGGGTGCAAAGTAGGTACTAAAGAAATGTTTTTGAGCTGTATCATCAGGCCTGTGTTTTAGATATAATATTCTTTCCGGAAGCCTTGCTGCCTTTCCCTTGCCTGCCATACTGCCCAGCCAACCCCTCTGAGTGTATAGGAGCCCTGCGGAGTTTTTTTCCCCATTGAAATTTGACCCAGGTTGAATTGAAAGTTGGGGAGTGCATAGGTGGGTGCCAGCACAGTGGCTGGAGGGGGCTCATGGAACCTCCTTCCAACACAGCTGGAAAACCAGGAAAATGGGCTGGGTAACCTATATAGATGCTTCTGGTTCTAAAGAAGTGAGCATGTAGTTGGAACAGAATAAAGACCAGCTGAGGGCCCTCTGGCTCCCTAAACTCCTGAAGAACTGCAGAGGCCCTGTTCTAGAAGGATCCTCATGGCCCAGTGTAAATCAGTTTACAGTGACACTTAGAAATCAAGACCAGAAAGTGTGGGGAGGAGGAAGGAGTTAACTGTCTTAAATGCAGTGGAAAGATCAGTGAAGCCTGGACCAGTGCAGAAACCGTTGGACTTGGCCATGCGTGTGCACTGGAAGTCTTTCTGAAGGCCATTTCAGATAATTGGTTAGAACGGAAACTGAGTTGGAGGGACTCCAGGAGGAAATGAGAGGATGTGGAGGATGGCCTTTCTGATGTGTTTTCCTATTGCTCCCTCTCCAGAAACATTGGTCTTTTTACAGAAACTTCGTGCTTGTTGTGTTCTGAGCTCCCAGGAGTGTCATGGGATTCTAGACTGAAGTTAATGTCAGGGTCAAGTTTATCCCACTTTCTTCCCCTTGAACGGAAGTATCAGCGACTCAGTGTTTATCCTTTCTGGCTTTCTGAAGAGCCTTCTGCACCCTTTGCAATAATGTAGAGGGTGCATTTGAAGAGAAGTGACATTAATAGAGATTGAGAAGAGAAGGAGCTGTTGAAAAATTGGAGAAACGTGGCTCTGCTAGTGGATCTGCAAAGTACAAAGAAATAAGGCCAGGCATTTATTCTGGGGCTCTGTGCGCTGTCTCTATTCTTTTCAAGCTGTTGGAAGTAGCTGTACGTATATAAAATCAAGTCCCAGATTAGATTTTTTTTTTTTTTTTAAATACAGGGTCTCACTCTGTTACCCAGGCTAGAGTGCAGTGAGCAATCTTGGCTCACTGCAACCTCTGAGGCCTCCTGGGTCCAAGTGACCCTCCCACCTCAGCCTCCAGAGTAGCTGGGACTACAGGCGTGCACCACCACACCCAGCTAATTTTTGTATTTTTGGTGGAGACAGGGCATCCCCATGTTACCTAGGCTGGTCTTGAACTCCAGACTCAAGCAGTCTGCCTGCCTCAGCCTCCCAAGTGCTGGGATTGCAGGTACGAGCCATGGCACCCAGTACCAGACTGGGTTTTTTTGTTTTTTTTTGTTTGTTTGTTTTTGTTTTTGAGACAGAGGCTTGTTCTGTCACCCAGGTTGGAGTGCAGTGGTGCGAGCTCAGCTCACTGCAACCTCCGCCTCCCGAGTTCAAGTGATTCTCCTGCCTCTGCCTCCAGAGCAGCTGGAACTACAGGCGTCCACCACCATGCCCGGCTAATTTTTGTATTTTTAGTAGAGATGGGGTTTCACCATGTTGTCCAGGCTGGTCTTGAACTCCTGACCTCAAGCACCGGCCTCCCAAGGTGCTGGGATTCTAGGTGTGAGTCATTGAGCCCGGCCCAAGATTAGATTTTAAAGCTAAGGCATAACCAGCATTTTGTTCAAGTGGGGAGCTGGCTCCCTTTTAAGGAGCCATGGTGGAGTTAAGGAGGCTCTTGATTATCTTGAAGGTAAGACTCTGAAGTTAGGTTCCGAAGGTTAAACAGAGGCGAGAGCAAAGGCCGTGACTGAGCACCTACTGCATGTCCAGTGCTGAGGATGATGCAGTTTTCCTTTCCAGATATTTACAATCTATTGTTGGGGATGGGGGAGCTATGGAGGCAAAACACCATAGTGCATAGGAGAAGCTGGAGCATGCTGGCTAGGAGATTTAAAGGCTGTTTGTTTTCCAAGAACCTTTGCAGGACCTTGAATTCATTTTTACAGACATGCTCAATTTCTTCCTAGTCATATATCCCTAAACTACCCATATAAGGACCTTCTTTCCTTTCCCAGTAACCAACCCATATTTAGTTGATTGTTTTTCAGCTGGAAGCATGAGTATAACTTTGGCTTTTTAGTAATTAATCACTTTGTGTCATCAAAACTTATCTTAGAATTATAGGGTCATGGAATTGGCGGGGTAGGGGGGACAATATGGAATGATTAATTATCTGGATG
Source organism: Homo sapiens (assembly GCF_000001405.40). NCBI lineage: Eukaryota > Metazoa > Chordata > Mammalia > Primates > Hominidae > Homo > Homo sapiens. The sequence continues at coordinate 95,446,269 of NC_000010.11, read as the reverse complement.
CTTTCTTAACAACTCTGGCCACTTCACATCTTGTTCTTCTCGTGGAATGTCTGTGTTGATGCCATGGTACTTTGACCAAGTACGGCAGGTCCAAGCAGCTCAAAGCGTGGAATGGCGGTTTGACTCCCCGCTGGCACACCCAAG